>NC_000002.12:105368405-105671436 GCF_000001405.40 Homo sapiens
ACTGCAGCCTTGAACATCTGGGCTCCAGGGAAACTCCTGCCTCAACCTGAGTAGCTGGAACTACAGGTGCACACCACCATGCCTGGCTGAAATCTTCATGTGTTACTTGTACATCCCATTTAGTAATTGCCTAAACCTACGCCATCCATTGTCTTTTGAATAACTATTAGCATTTGATACATTTCTACCATTTCTCCAAGTGAACTGAGGAGCTCTAGAGAACTGAAACACTTATGGGTCACCCCTGCCACCACCAAGCTGGACTCACTGCAAGTGCTCGGTGTCTGTTGACTGACATTTTTTCATTTTTGTTTGCCAGAAAGAAGTGTATCTATTTATAGTAACGGATGATTCCAGATAGGCGTATAAACAAGTACCCTTCATATAAAGCAAAGGTAAAGAACAATCTGGGGAAATAAGTATCAGGGACAAAGAAAGAGGAAAGTGTTGTAAGTGCCCGGACTAGCTGAGGGGCCTGGCCACTGTGTAAGACCAAATCCAGACTGCTGCCTGCTTTTCAAATGAAGTTTTATTGGAACACAGCCACGCCCATTAATTTACTTCCATTGTTTACATCCGCTTTTAAGCTAGACGGCCGAGTAGTGTGCAGCTGTGTGCAGTTGTGCAGTTGTTGTGTAGTTGTAATAGTTGAGTAGTTGTGACAGAGACTGTATGGTCCACAAAGCCCCAAATATTTATCTGATTTTTGAAGGAAAAATGTTGCCAATCCCTGGGGACTGTGGCATGAGGGTCACATACATGTGACTTCAACTGGGGGTCAGGGAATGATGGGGAATCAAGCCGACAGAGGGACTGCCCCGCTCCAGACCAGGTGGAAGCAGCTGCAGTAACACAGGTGGCTTATAGGAGTCTATAGACTAGTCCATAGCTCTCAGCCCCAAAATCTTATGGTCCCAAGGACAAAGCTAGGGGTTGTATTTTAGCTGGCTAGAAAGTTGGTCATGAAATGTCTGTCCTCCAGTAATTAGGAATGTGCTGAGAATTATCACGATTGTTATTTAGGATCATTTTCTCAGCTTCCTGTACTTCCAAGACCAGACATTTGAGATTATATAAAATAAGCAGGGTGTGTGTTGGGGGGCAATGTGTGAGAGGGAATTTGGGATGGTGACACGCAGCGATCTTTTAATTCAAAACTAAGCTGTACAATCTATGGAATTCAATTGTGGGGTGATGAATCCTAAAACAAACATTACATGAAGCAATTGAAATTCAAGTAAAAATAGTGGAAGGACTTTGAATTCACAAAGATTTTCTTCAACCTCCATGCATACTTTTGTCACTTGCTCTTTGGATCTCTGACATTCATTCTGATCAAGCAGCCCAGAAGCCAAAGGATTTTGCCAATGAATATGGGGCAATTATGACTCTCATGGCATTCTTGTCGAGTTCTGAAATAAGTCTGATCAGATCAACACCAGTTCGAGGGCAACTCTACGTGCAGGGAATGCACAGGGCACCTGGAGCCTCAGGGACATGGCGCGTGCACCTCAGGCATGGCGACAGCAGTGGCCGCAAGCCTGCATGGTCATATGCAGCAATACCGGCAGGTGGCAGGAGCGTTCCTTCTCCTAACTGAATCGCACACTCTGAACCAAGTCTCCCGCAGGCGGAAGCGCAGTCTTGAAGAAGGGATGTCTTAATCTGATTCAAATAGTCAAATGAGGCTGGCTGCGGTGCCTCAGCCTTGTAATCCCAGCACTTTGGGAGGCTAAGGCGGGAGATCTCTTGAGCCCAGGAGTTGGCGACCAGCCTGGGCAACATAGAGAGTCCCTGTCTCTACCCCCCCAAAAAAAAAATTAGGCGGGTGTGGTGGTGTGTGCCTGAGGTCCTAGACACGTAGGAGGCTGAGGTGGGAGGATCATTTGAGCCCGAGAGGTCAAGGCTGCAGTGAGCAGTGATCGTACCACTACTCTCCCGCCTGAGCGAAAGAGCGAGATCCTGGCTCAAAAAAAAAAAAAGTCAAATGAGGAGCCAGAAATTTGGTTGCAGGGTTGGAGACAGAATCGCTACTTGAGTCTGCTCAGAGGCTGTGGTGCATCTGTAAGCAACGTCTGCTAATAGGGGCGCGAGAGCCGGTAAACCCCAGCACTGGGGTTACTGATGGTATTCCAGTTTCCTGATTGGTCATCAGGAAACTGACTTGTGTGGGGGGTGTGGAGCTGGTGGGTGAGTTTTTCACTTGTCCTCTAAATGTAAATTCACCGCAAAAGCTGTGCACTGACGCTGTAAACCCATATTCATCTTGAATGGGTTCTAACACTTTTAAAAATCAAACCCAGGCAAGCAAGTGCTTTGATTCAGTGTTTTGTCGGTGCTGGTTTGTTTTGCATACACCGGGATTCTTCTAGACGCCCTGCCTTTGGTGCCCAGTCCGTTTCTTCTGGCAGAGGCACCTGTAAAATGGGGATGAAGCCATCCAACCCAGGGAACACCGAAGATTCAATGGGATTCTGTAAAGCAGCAGGGTCTGACGCCTGTGTGTGTGCTCAGGGGCTGGAAGCTGTAGCTGTGTTGTTATTATTACTACACAGCATTTCTTACCACAGAGCCTGAATTCTTGCTTCCCCCATTCCTTAGTAGAAGAGGCTGCCGGCCAGTTAATTCTCAGATATTCAGTATGGGTTACCTCTCACTGAACATTAGGTTTTTACTTCTTATCTGATCATGTTTTTCTTTTCTTTCCCTCCCCAGTAAACACCATGAGAAAGGGAAGGTGTGATGGTTAATTTTATGTGTCAGCGTGGCTGGGCTCTGGTACCCAGTTGTTTGGTCAAAAAACAGGTTTACTTGTTGCCGTGAAGGTGTTTTTTAGATGTGACTAACATCTAAGTCAGCAAGCTTCGAGTGCAGCACGTTACCCACGTATCAGGGCCGGGCTTCATCTAATCGGTAGTGGGCCTTAGGGGCAAAGACTAAGGTTTCCCTAAGGGCAACTAATTCTTCTCAAGACTGCAATAGACACACCCTGCCTGAGTTTCCAGCCTGCCGCCCTACGGAATTCAAATGCTCCCATTTGGAACTGCAGTATCATC
Organism: Homo sapiens; assembly: GCF_000001405.40. Lineage (NCBI taxonomy): Eukaryota > Metazoa > Chordata > Mammalia > Primates > Hominidae > Homo > Homo sapiens. The sequence goes on from NC_000002.12 coordinate 105,371,462, forward strand.
TCTTCCCTGAGCCTCCAGCCTGCTGCCCTGTTCTATAGATTCCAGACTTACCGCCTCCACAATCTCATGAGCCAATCCCTTGAAATCTCTCTCTCTCTCTCTCTCTCTCTCTCTCCTTATGTATGTATCTATGTGTATACATTTCCTTGATTGATTCTGTTTCTCTGGAGAACGTGACTAACACAGAAAGTCAAGACAGGTGAAAAATTCAAAATCCGGGAAATATGCATACTTTTTATGTCATGGTTGGTGCTAACAGTTAAAGTCTTTAAACAGCCCCTAGAGTCCCCAGTGGAAGCTTCCTTGGGCCCTTGTTCAGGAAACTAGTAAGGGTTTAATTTGTTTTTCAATTAATGTCGTGGTTCTTATTGTTACTGAGTGTTGTGTCTCTGCAGTGACTCCCTGTGGGGCAGGACACAGGTCAGCCTGGCTTTCTACGGGCTTCAATTCTCATTTGCACTGTCGCACAGCACTGGGGCCCGAGTTTCCAGCCTCTGCAGGATCCACATGATCTTAGAAGAGGCCTTCTTGCCTGGAGCTGCCCCATCTAAAGTCACCATGCAGCCCTTCCAGCTGTTTTCCCTTACAGCTGCCAACAGGGCTGGGACTGTGTCAGCCTGGGCATTTTTCTTCCCTGTCATAGTGTGTCACAGTTGTTTTAAAGTTATATTAACCAGAGAAATGTAGTGGCAGTAAGAAACCATCTTACCAAAGGTCAGATTACCTCCTTGCCTTTTTAAAAAATGATTATTCCTTATCCTACATAACTTTCTTTTTTTTTTGAGACGGAGTCTCACTCTGTCACCCAGGCTGGAGTGCAGTGGCGTGATCTCAGCTCACTGCAAGCTCCATCTCCTGGGTTCAGGCCATTCTCCTGCCTCAGCCTCCCGAGTAGCTGGGACTACAGACGCCCGCCACTATGCCCGGCTAATTTTTTGTATTTTTAGTAGAGACAGCGTTTTACCATGTTAGCCTGGCTGGTCTCAAACTCCTGACCTCGTGATCCGCCCTCCTTAGCCTTGCAAAGTGCTGGGATTACAGGGGTGAGCCACCACACCTGGCATCCTACATATATTTCTAAACTATTTCCCATATGTCAGTCTCTTCAGTATTTCTTTATTATCAAAAACAAAGCAAACCAACATGATGAAACCCCATCTCTACTAAAAATACAAAAATTAGCCAGGTGTGGTGGTGCACGCCTGTAGTCTCAGCTACTTAGGAGGCTAAGGCAGAAGAATCTCTTGAACCTGGGAGGCAGAGGTTGCAGTGAGTCAAGATTGCACCACTGAACCACATTGGCCAGGCCGATTTCAAACTCCTGACCTCAAGTGATCCACCCACCTCAGCCTCCCAAAGTACTGGAATTACAGGTATAAGCCACCGCACCCAGCTTCTTTCTGTATTTTGAAATTCCACATATTTTTGTCCACTTTGCTTTTTAAAATAAAAGATTCTGCTCTCCTACATAAAAAACAAAACAAAACAAATAACTCCCCCCACATACACACACAAAAAAACCATGAGGGACACAGTCCCATCAACACACAAGGCACCTTTATTGCCATCCTCGGCACCTGGCCCAGTTGCGGCTGTGCCCTTTTTGACTGTCCGTCTAGAACACCAACTCTACAAGGGCAGAGGACCAGGTGCACCTCGGCTCACACCCTACGAATGCTCAGCTCGAGCCCAGTGCCTGGCACGCAAGGGCACCATGCACACTTGGTGAAATAACTGAATGAGTACAAATTCAGCAGGTAGAAGGGAAGAAAAGAGAAACTATCTATGGTGGTGGGAGAGTGGGGGCTGATGCAGGAGATGTATTTTTAAGGGGGATACCCACCATTTTCTTACTCTAACAATTTGACTGCATAACACTGCCCCACGTGCACAGCAAAAAGATCCCGTTACTGCCCATGATAGAACCTGTATGTCCCTGCTTCGTAAGTACTCTAAATACTCCTCTGCAGTTCAAGGTCAAACTGGAAAGTCAACACGAGTGTCTGGAACCAAGTCAATGTGAACAGGGGGTCAGAGGAACGTGCACAAGGCTTGAAGCTAGACTGGCTCACGCATGAGAAAGGAGTGCCTCCTGACCTGGCATGATGGTCTTCTTGCATTCCTGGCACTTGGATGAGTACTCGTTGGAATAGCAGTCTGTACAGAGCAGCTGGTCCTCCTTGGCAGCAAAGGGCTTGTCCACCAGTGAGTTTCTGCACTGCGAGCAGTGGAAACAGGCTTCATGCCAGTGCCGGTCCTTGTAAGACAAGTCCTGTGGGGCCAGACCACACAAGACAGTCAGAGGCAGGACAGGAGGGCTTGGACCCACAGCATAGGGGCCCCTTGCGAATCTGCAGGGCAAACAAGGAAAGAAGTTGGGCCGAGGCACCCTGGCGCACCCACATTCATGCCCCAGGACCACCTAACTGCTGAAATCAATTAAGACTAGGCTGCTTTTCTCTTGCTGCATTTTAGAGCAACAGGTTAGACAGATGTGCATGTATGCACATGTCTGTGTGTGAGAGATGCTTCTAAAAAACAAAGGGATTTCCCTTATGTATTGCCTGCAAGAAAGAGAAACAGAAAACATGAACACCTATCAATTCGTCTCACACCACATCCGGTGACAGAGAAACAGACTGCAGGACATCCTTGGCTGAGGGAGCCCTGCCCAACTCAGATCACTGTGGTCACCGGCATGGCAGAGAGGCTCTGGGTGTCGGGATGTTCACAGGAGGCCCAAGGACTGTTTGGTGGGAGACGGTCAGGAGAGACTGTGTGTGTGGGTGCTACCTCTGTGGGTGGCCGTGAGCTGGGGGAGGAAGGGAATTTCAGGCAGAGAAAGAGCACAGACACAGAAGATCTGGGGACGGGGGGCATGTCAGATTGGAGGGACCACAGGCCAGGGGCGAGGTGGGAGGGCCCCCCGGCCTGGCTGGACTGGAAGATATGGCTGCCTTTTTGCCTTTTATGTCTGTGTAGAGATTCCATTGATCCTGAAGGCAGTGGACAGCTGCTTTTCAACAGGAGAGTGAAGTGCTCAGACTGGGGGACGGGTAAGGATGTGGGAGTGGAGGGGCGTGAGGGTGGGAGAAGTGAGACAAAAACTGAGCACACATGAGAGAGGCCCTGAGAAGACAGACGTGTGCTTTTGAGTAAAAGATGAGGGAGAGAAAGGAGCCCCGCAGAAAACTCGACTCCACACTTGGCTTCATCTTGCCTGAGGAATAAGAGAACCCTCCATATTTGCCTTTTAAAAATGACATACGGCATTTTTAAAGTGCCAACACAAAATTAAAATAACAATCTCTTTATGCCCAGCTTTATCTTAGAAAGGATATGTTTCTATTGCTGTCTTTGTGTTCCCAGCTCTGACCCCAAATCATCATCCATTTATACATGAGGCAGAAACAGAGTATTAGGCTCTGCACGGTTTCCTGGGCAGGCTTCCAGTTGGTAGGTATCCTGAACAGGGCACAGGAGGGCTGTTCACGCGATGGCCCTGAAGAAGAGCCTGCCCACGATGTCTCTGTTACTGAAACCGAAGTCGAAGCTGGAGTTATGCTGAATGTAGGATGTGAAGACATGGATCTTGGCCTTGATTAGAAAGTCCTAAAACACCAGCTAACTCGGAACCAAAACTAGAACAAACAGTTCTCTTTTGCTGAAGTATGTGTGTGTGTGTGTGTGTGTGTGTGCGCGTGCGTGTGCACATGTGTGCATGTATGTGTGTTTTCCCGGAACCTGGAACCAAACTAGTTATTTGATTTAGTGATCTCTTTGCGCATTTTGTTTTAGTTCAAGGAATTTTAAAAATGTGAACGCTGAGACACTTTGAAGACAGTCATGACTATGGCCTTTGTGAGGGGTGACCTCTTGTGCTATCCCTGTTGGAAGTTTGCTTCCTAGAACATCTGGGAATAGGATTATTGCTGACGCAAGACGATAAAGAATGAAGGAGAGGTCAGGAGTTCAAGACAAGCCTGGCCAACATGGCGAAACCCTATCTCCACTAAAAATACAAACATTAGCCGGGCGTGGTGGTGCATGCCTTTAGTCCCAGCTACTTGGGAAGCTGAGGCAGGAGAATCGCTTGAACCTGGGAGGTGGAGGTTGCACAGCCTTGGTGACAGAAGGAGACTCAGTCTCAAAACAAAAGGAATGAAGGTGAGAGGAGCATAGAGTGCTCTCAAAGCTGGACTAAATGCCCTTGTTTCTGCGGAATTCATTCTCACCTGAGCCCAGCACCTCTGGGTATTGTGGGTCCCCTGGGGTAGGCACTGCCTGTCAGGGGGACTCGGGGGCAGGTTGCTGAAATGCCCAAGCCCTCTTCATCCTTGAGAACCCAAACTGGGTATGCACTGGGAGTTGGGGGCAGAGGGCTAACCTGTCTTTTGTATTTTTAGCTTAAAGTATTTTCAGAAATCTGAGGGGAACATCACCTGTGCTTTATTGGTTATTTTGACAAGTGAAATAGAGGACAAACTGCTTTGATTTGAGTTGATGTCTACACATGTGAACTCATGAGAAACAGCAAAGCCCACAATCCACATGGACATCATCATCGTTCGGGAACAGGCATGGTCTCCATTCTTTCCATGCACACGCCCCGGCTTCAAAAAGACATCTGAAACACTAGTGATGACCATCATTACCCCATCTGTGAGCTCCAGGCACGGCACAGCCCTGCAAGGTAAATGTTATTACTGAAGGTCAGAGAAGTTCCGTAACTTGCCCAGTCACATACCTGGCACGGAGCTAAGCCAAGCTTCGAGCTCAAGTCCTCCTGATGCGAAAGTTATTTCCACTGAACCAGCCCAGGCAAAATCCTGGTCGGGTCTGTGTTACTCTTTGCTTTCAAAACAGATAGCCTTGAGGAGATGTGTGTGTGTGTTCATTTAAAAAAATCCAGAAACGACCAAACTCTGGCAACTTTCTAGAACATATTTTGTACCTAAATGAATGTGGCTCAGTATTGCCTTTGTTTAGACTTTGAATAAAATTGAACAAATCATTAGAAGCCCTATCCACCCAAAACAGTAATCTGCCTAATTTAAGAAGAGATGGAGATTTTATTCATGTTATCACTGTTAGAATGCTGATTGTGGAAGAAATGCATTAAGAATAAATTTTGTGTGGAAAACACCATGGCTGATATTAAAAGTAGAATTACCATATGATTCAGCAATTGTACTTTTGGATATATACCCAAAAGAATTAAAAGTAAGGTCTCGAAGATATATTTGTACATCCACGTTCATTGAAGAATTATTCACCATAGCCAAAAGGTGGGAGCAAGCCAGATGTCTATCAATAGGTGAAGGGGTAAACAAAATGTGGTCTGTGCATACAATGGAATTTTATTCAGCCTTAGAAAGGAAAGGAATTCTGACTCATGCTACAGCATGGATGAATCTTGAGGACATGACGTTAAGTGAAACGACAAATCGGTCACAAAAGGACAAATACTGCATGATCTCACACATGTGAGATACTTAGGGAAGTCACATTCATGGAGACAGAAAGTAGAAGAGTGGTTGCCAGGGGCTGGGATGAGAGGGGAATGGGAGTGAGAATGTGTTCTGTAACCCATTCATGCCTGAGGTTGCAATTTTTTGAATTTCTGCAATCAGACCTTGGCGATGATCTTGAGCAGTAAGATATACATAACTCCCACATGCTTAGCATTCCACTAATGGAATACTAGGCGTAAATGGGCTTGATGGGGGTAGTATTTCAGATTTGCAAGAAGCAAAAGCTCTGGGGATTGGTTGCACAGCCATCTGAATGCACTTACTACTGAACAGTACTCTTAACAGTGGTTAAGAAGGTAAGTGTGATGTTCTGTGTATTTTACCATAATTAAAAGAATAAAAAAGTAAGTTTTGGCCAGGCGAGGTGGCTCACGCCTGTAATCCCAGCACTTTGGGAGGCCGAGGCAGGCGGATCACCTGAGGTCATGAGTTCGAGACCAGCCTGGCCAACATGGTTAAACCCCATCTCTACTAAAAATACAAAAATTAGCCAGGCGTGGTGGTGCATGCCTGTAATCCCAGCTACTCAGGAGGCTGAGGCAGGAGAATCTTGAACCCGGGAGGTGGAGGGTGGAGGTTGCAGTGAGCCAAGATCGCACCATTGCACTCCAGCCTGGGCAACAAGAGTGAAACTGTCTCCAAAAGAAAAAAAAGTAAGTTTTGATTGTTATGTAGCAGGTAAAAAACACCGTTTCAGAAGTTACCTCTGTCCCCCTGTGCAGGCGAGCCACCTCATAGAGGACTGCTCGTTTGGGGAAAAGCTGCAGAATGTTTTCCATGACCCAAGAGTCACTGTCTGGCTGGGACAAGAGACCTGAAGGAGTAGGCGCCAGGGAGAGGGGAGGAGATCCTTGGCCTCTCTCTGGGAAGATAGTTGCTTTTTACATGGTGGCTGCCCTGCCCAGGGAGGAGGCATTACGCCCAGAGGGGTGGCAAGTTATCAGTGACAAGAGAGGGAAGAGAAATACAATTTCTAGAAAATTTGCCTTTTGGGACTGACCTTCAAGAAAAACTGAGAGAGAAATCTCCAAGGTCAACAGGAAAGCAAAGCCACTAGATGTCACCACAGCCAGTGCTCCGGTCATTAAGTCCCCAGATGGAGGAAAGAGCACATCAGCATGCCTGCACAGACATGGAAAAGCTGGCTAAGACATGCACATGGGTCCAAGGCACTGCAGAATTCCATTTTTCCTACAGTTAATATTTATGGCACAAAAATGCAATAGCTACAGTTTAAGACTGATTCATTGACACGTGACACTTGAAACTGTCCCTCTAAATGTGGATATTATCCACATGTTACTGGACTAAGCATCCATGCAAGACTTGGAGACCTTCTGCAGGCGCAGCCTGTCCCCCCACACCCTGCTCTATCGGATCCCACCTCGCAAGGTGAAGGCCGCATTCTCTCAGGACAACCTGGTCTGCTATATCCCCTGGGAACCATTTCGCCTTGGCTCCTGCCAGATGCTGCCCTTTCCCTTCAGGCTGGTGTAGAGTGGACACCTGAAAGTGCTCCCCATCCCATTCGGGTTGGGGCATGCAGAGATCCAGGTTTTGTCCTAAGAAACAAAAGACAGAGTGCCTTCCACAAAGTGCCTTTGCCTGCCCAGGGCTGCGTTATCTCGGCATCATTCCCTGGGGCCATCTGCACTCAGCTCCGCAACGTTTCTCTCAGCCTACCTTTATGACTGCACACACAAGCATTCCTGAGTGAATATGCGTGCAGCAGTTCCTAATTCTAAAACCTTCTAAAGGAAACTCTTTTCCCTGAAGATAAATATTAACCTATGCTCACGTTCTTAAGTTTTGTGGTGTACAATAACTAAAAATACTCTGTAAACAAGCTTGCATCATTGTTGTTGGTGGGTCCTCAGTGGGAACAGAACTGGCCCACCTCCCTGCTGCAGTACAGGGTGGTGGGCTTCCTGGGCCAGAAATGCCTGAATGCCTGCTGCATGCAAGCAGGATGGGAGAGCATGAGGTCCCACAGTCCACATCTCTTGTATCACTGTGGGTCAAGCGCCCGCCCCTCTGGGATCCCAGGAGCACGTGATTAAATTGCTTGGTTATTTCACCCTAGGGGTTCAATTCAAGGGCCCAAATGCCAGATTGACTAAACTTAAATCCTGGCTCTGCCCTATGCCACGTACATCACCATTGGGAAGTAATTGAACCTCTCTTGCCAGATTTCTGACCTGTACAGCAGGAATAATGGACCCACTACTGGCTGTAACAAGCATGTATAACAGTTGCTGGTATGTATTACAATTGCTCAATGGATGTTAGTATAAGTCATTATTTAGACCACAGCTAATAATGAGAAGAGTTGCCTCAATGTGTCACTTGCTGAACCTACATTTCCTTATGAAGACAGTCCTATCAATGAGAATATCTGCCACCTTAAAGCTCCACGTTGGTAACTCTACCACTCTACTTTTGTAGGTGCTTTTTCATTTTAAATCTAAAATTCTTTTTCTTAATTCTTCATACCTATTTTGAGCCATACGATAACTCTATGAAATAAAGTTTTATTCTTATAGATGAGCAGATTCAATGTAACGACACCAAAAAGTGTTTTCTCCAACATTCCCACTGCCCTTCCACCTGAAATGATCCGACAAAACTAAACTGTGCTCCTGTTTTTTACCTGGCACGTCAGCCCCTTTGCAGATTGACCCCAACTCGCTTTCCAACCTGACCCTCTGCTCTGGTCCCCTCTTCCTCATCTCCATGCCTTTGACCATACTCTGTCCCTGGCCTTTGAATGCCCTTTCCCTTCTCCCCAAAAGGCCAAATCCCACTTGGCTGCAAGTCCCAGCTGAAATCTCATCTGTTCTGCAAAGCTTCCTTGGCCAGGGCAATGCTGGCTTCAGGGAAGCCATGTGCCACGCCGGCGACCTAGTTTGTATGTCTCCTTCCAAATCCTATTTGGAAACTCGTAGGTAACTAATTATGCCACGGGGTTTCCCTGTCACTCTCTGAATGGGGCGCCCAGTTTGTGTTGTCTTTAGAAGTCTGAGTCAAGTTAATAAATTCATGTCACTGCTTCCTCCTGGACTCGCTTCTTAAGAAAGTTCACAATAAGGAGGAAGTGAGGAAAGACTTTATGATAAGAGGAAGGTAACTCAATACTGCCAGGTTTGATTGTTTTAGAGATCTTGGCCAACATGGTATTCTCTGAGTCTCAGCAGGAGGGAAGATTTTAGCCACACGATTCCCTAGAGCTTAGAGGTAGACTAGAAAATGCCACCAAAAGGCCTAGAAGCGAGATTGTCATTGATTAGACCCGGGTGCCTGAGCCTGTGCTTCCTATCACACTCTGAATCTTTACCTGTGAAGACCTAGTGCCAAGTGACCCTTTTCTTTTCTTCTATCTATCTGTTCTGTCTGTCTATCTATCATCTATCTGTTTAGAGACAGGGGTCTTGCTATATTGCCCAGGCTGGTCTCAAACTCTTGGCCTTAAGTGATCCTCCTGCCTCAGCCTCCCAAAGTGCTGGAATTACAGGCATGAGCCACCACGCCCGGCTCAAGTGACTCTTTCCAAACAGAAAAGCTCCAAACCGATTTTTAGTTTCAGTTATTAGCACCATGCCGGTAGCTTAATTTTGCTATTTCATTAGTACTCCATTGTGAACAGCAAACATGAGTGTAACAGAGATAGCACTTCGATGCTGAGAGGAACAGGGTAAGAAATATGGACACCTTGACAGACTTGCTCAAGAACTTTAAGATGGAAATATCCGGTTTTAAATTCCTCTAGAGAGAAATTGAAAACAAAAAGAAAGAAAAAAAAAGTCTTTTATACTTCCCAGAAAAAAATACCAAGGCTAATCTTGTGCTCACAGAAATGTCATACATTGCAGTAAAATGTTGATAAACATGTACGATTAGGCCCACACACTTCCTTTCTGGTTTTGTATTTTTCCATTGCAGAAACATTCCTAACATGGGCTGTGCCTGTTGCTTGGCTCCGAATGTGTCCTTTTTGAGACTTTAGCTGAGCTTTAGTGGCAAGTGGCCTGGAGGGAGCCCTGGACCCCTCAGTTAATGGAAGGTGGCTCTGGGTGGCAGGGTCACCCAGACTGAAACGTCTGGCTCTCATCCTCCCTCCTTCGCACCCCATTCCACCAGGGCTGGCACCAACCATTCTTCAGATCCATACGATTTCACTTCAGACATGGATTCTCATGTCATTCATGCTCAGCGTTATGAAAAGATATTTTCTGCTTGAGATCATCAGGTTTCCAACTGTACATTCTTTCAAATCCTTACAAATAAAGATGCAGAAAAATGGACAACAGCAGAAATGACAGCACTGTGTTGGCATGTCACAGGTGCTCCCTAGACGTTAACTCACTCAATTACCCCGACAGTCCCGTGAGCTAGGAACCCCAGTGTATAGACATGGAAACGGAGGCTTATAGGTGGCAGGACTTGTCCCCTTCGCGCAGCTTGTCAAAGGTGGAGCCAGGGAGATTTGGTTCCGGGGTCCAGCCTCGGTGCATGCGAGGTCACTGCTGAGCGCTGTGCACCTCTGCTGCTATGTCTTGTGGCTGAACTTTTGGTTTTATGCACTGACAGGCCAAGTTCGTGCACTGACAGGCCCTTCTCATGAAATCCATCCAGACAGCTTTGCTTCTGATCCTAGGACCCTGCTTGATTAAATTCCCTTCACAGACAGATTTTTGTCTTTTAGGAGGAAATCCAAATAAATACGCGTTTTCAGTGCTCGTTACAAACTCTGTGGACAAATTCTACACGGAAGAAGATCCAAGAAGGTAATTTGCTCATTGAGAACTTAAAAACCACCCCAACAAATAAAAAAGCACCAGGTTGGCAGGCTGGACCCTGAGAATGTGACTGGAGTAGGTGCTCTTCCCAGAAAAGGGTCCAGAAAGACCAGCGAGGGAGGCCTGTGTTACACCGAGGACAGAAGGGTGGGTTTTTCAAACCTGACCTTACACCTTTCACTAGGCTTGGTCAGAAACCTTCCAAAATATACTAGGGGCATCTAGATTTAACCTGTATGTGTGAAAACCTTCGTCTCCTATTTCAGAGCCCTGCCAGGTTGCTTTCTGCCAAAATATCACTGAACATTTCTGTCCATTACCAAACATTAACTGAGACTTTTACAGCCAATTTGATCATCACTTCAATGTTTCCTATTAGCTACAAAAGCTGGAAAGAGAGTTTGTGAAACAACTTGAGCCTCAATTCTGCAATGTAATCATCACCATCTAAAGGGGCCCATGAGAAGAGTAGGGGCCTCTGACTGAAGGTCACTTGATTGAGGCCAGGTGGTCACCATCTCTTACTCATAAGGACTGACCACATCTGGCCCGAGAGTCACATAGACAGGGTCCTGCCCGAGGCTGCAGGTAGCAGGTGGCATCACATGCTAGGTGAGGACCCTCCGGGTCTGGGCTCAAATTGTACCTCGGATACTTCCTAATCCCTTTAACCCTTGGCAAGATCCTCATCCTCTCTAGGCCTCAGCGGCTACTCCATAAAATGGAATGAAAAAAGTTCCTACCTATAGGGTGTTAGGAGAAATTTAGATCATGCAGTTTAGGCATTTACAAGTGCCTGGAACAAGTCATCAGGCAATACACAGTGGTTTCAAAGACTACCACTAGAAACTAAACCCTGAATGCTAGTTTCTGATCTGCAGATCTTTTGTTCTTGTTTATTATTTTTTTTTTCTCTTTGTAGCACCCTCCAAGCACATGGGTGGGTATGGTGGCCAGTCCAATTTCATGGCATTGCTTGCAGACCCATGGAACATTCAAAGTCTAGGTTACGTGTGTCGCCCAGGGCTTAAAATCACCAATTTGTTAAATGCACAGTATTAGCAGCTGTCTCTGGAGTTATTGGCCAGCCTATTTTTTATTTTTATTTTTTTAAGATGGAGTCTTGCTCTGTCACCCAGGCTGGAGTACAGTGGCGCAATCTTGGCTCACTGCAACCTCTACCTTCCAGGTTCAAATGATTCTCCTGCCTCAGCCTCCCAAGTAGCTGGGATTACAGGTGCACGCCACCACACCCAGCTTATTTTTGTATTTTTAGTAGAGACGGGGTTTCGCCATGTTGGCCAGGCTGGTCTCCAGCTCCTGGCCTCAAGTGTTCCACCTGCCTCGGCCTCCCAAAGTGCTGGAATTACAGGCGTGGGCCACTGTGCCCAGCCCTATTTTTTCTTTAGTTGGTTGAATTTTTGAAGCCCAGAACGTAGGCAGATCCCCCAAAAACTCTGTAATCAGTCTACGAAAATATTTTGTTAATGCTAACAGGTATCCAAGAAAAGGTTCAGGAAGCATGTAATGTCAGAGGATCATAAAATTGTATTAGCATTGTCTATTCTCCACTATTACACTGGCCATACAAATCAATAATCTTTACCCTTTGAGATCACAGCATTTTCCCAGAGTAACTTAATAGAAATAAAGATTACAATTCAGTGGCTACATAGAGAGGATGTTCAAACTATATAACAGGCTCTGAAGTCTTGCCTGTCTCATTTAAGTAGGTCAGGACTCTCAAAATTAGCCTAATTCCCATAGGCATGCCAACATTTAAAACTCACACACATGAACATGTCCTTTAGAGGGAAGTAGCTGAGGCCTGTGGTGGCTGTGCTATTTTAAGAGAAGAGATTGGCCACCAGACCTAAGAGCACAGTTCCTCTATCAGGTATCTCCCCGCCTGCCAGGATTGTGGGCTTTACTTCCAGAAAAAAACAGGAACATTTTTTTCTATCATTGCTTCCACTACAAACCCAACTACCCGATTATTTTTGAAAGTCAAGAAAAGCACGCCTAAAGCATCAAAAGCCCCAAATGCCAAGGTCTCGCTTCAACTCAATGTCTCTTTTTGTTCCAAAATGTACAAAATCATACAGTGTAACCCCACGTATCTCAAAACATTAATCCGGGTTGAAAAGTTCAGCACAATTCACTCCTGGCTTGACAGCAGCCTTGATGATTTTGGCTCCATTTGGGAGACTCTTGTTTATTTGCTCATAAAACATGCGTGGAAGGATGACGGCTTTTAAGGGTCTTTCCACTAAATCACTGGAGAAACAGCAAGTGATTTTTGTTTTGTTTTTATTTCAGCCACTGGTCAGGGATGATTAGCCCCAAATATCCAAAATCTGTCCTTGAAAGTGAGACTTACCTTTTGCCAGATGATATCTGAACCTCTCACCTACGTAAGTATTTCTTTTCCAGCTAAAGCTTTTATAATTATATTTTTCTCGGGCTATCTACTTCTTCCTCAAACTGGACATTTTTATTGATGTTTCCAAAATGAAAAGCGACAAAGAGAGAGGGTGAAGCTTCTGAAAGGTGTGTGGAAGGGACGTGTCACGAAAAGAATAAGGAAGTAGTCAGCAGAAAGGTGGCAGTCTGGAGCTTACCCTGTCAGCTGCTAGAAGAGTACGAGTGCGAGTGCAAGGGCTTGTATCTACATACTAGAAAGACCCTATGAAGCAGACCCCTGGTTCTCCCCAGTTTTTTTTGGGTCTTTTTTGAGACAGAGTCTTACTCTGTGTCCCAGGCTGGAGTGCAGTGGCATGATCTCGGCTCACTGTAACTTCTGCCTCCCAGGTTCAAGTGATTCTCGTGCCTCAGCCTCTCAAGTAGCTGGGATTACAGATATGCACCACCACGCCCAGCTAATTTTTGTATTTTCAGTAGACACAGGGTTTCGCCATGTTGGCCAGGCTGGTCTCGAACTCCCGGCCTCAATTGATTCACCCGCCTTGGCCTCCCAAAGTGCTGGGATTATAGGCTTTGAGCCTATGCCCCTGGCCTGGTTCTCCCCATTTTATAGATGTGGAGATGTGCACGGAAGGGTCAAGTAACTGACCCAAGGCCACACAGCAAGTGAGACACAGAGCCTGGGCTGGAACTGGGCAGTCTGGTGGCTGAGCTCTCATGCTTGTCCTGTTAAATACATGAAAAGGGACAGAGAAAAGTCGTCAGGTGCAGTGAGACACGCAGCAGGCAAGACAGGATACAGGAAGATACACAACTTTTAGAGTAGCCAGATCAGCTATTTTTGCTTATGGTATTTCAAAGGTTTGGCACAATACCACTGTTGAGTTTCGTTTCTTTTACATTCAGCACAGCATCTGCCCTGAAGCCAAAAGACACAGGGCTGCAGCATTGGTTTAGGGGGCTGGTGCTGTACCTCTTTCGTCTCTGCTCAAGGCAGAGGTCTCTTTCGCTACAAGATGGAAACCATCCCTCAACTGTCACTAAATCCCTGGGAACAGAAAGTGATGGTGCAGCCTTCTGATTCCTGTCTTTCCTAAGAATGATGTGATCAGAGAAGGAAATAGAAGGAACACATGTTGGATGTGCTAGAATGATCCAACTGCATGCATGGCCTAAGTCAATCAGTCAGCGGCAATGTGCTGATATTAACGACCAGGGAGGAGAGCAGCAAAAATCCCTACAGAGCACAAAGCAACGAGAGCAGAAAAGAGATAGTAAAATGCCATGAACTGACTTGGTGCCCATTCAGTTGGGAATTCCTTTAGAGATGCCAAAGGAATCCCATTTTGTAGCCAGTTTCACGGCACTCAGGATGACAGCCACATGAGGGGTTTCACTGGAGTGTTTTAGAAGCCGTTTGCGGGTGAAGGTATCAGAGAGTTCAGAGCTATGGATGGGTCCCCCAGGGTGTCCTTCAGCAATCCAGGTTGGAACAAGAGTCTGCTGAGAAGCGCAGGTCAGGGTTCACCACCCTCAACCACGGGGCAGTTGGTACAAGTGACCAGTGGTCTTTGCTGAACCACGCTGTGACATACCAGGAGAGCCATGAACACATTTCCCCATTGAAAGGAAACAATACAAATCCTGTCCTTCTCTCATTAAAGGAAAAGAGCTCACAATCTTCCAAGGACTTTGTGCTTTTATGTGCCCATTTATCCAGGAACCAACTCTGGTTCTCTCATGTACACATTCATTCATCAAATATTGACTGAGCACAGCACCTGCTCCACGTTACTCACCACGGGGCAAACAGACAAGAGGAAGAGAGCACCACCCTTAAGAAAGTTCCAGTATTGGTAGGCAGCTGGGTAGTTAGATAAGGGCACTAATTGCTAGAATACAGAAAATGTACTTAGAGATACTAAGCACAAAAGTCCTGGCAAGGCCCTCACCCAGTGCTTGTGGGCAGAGATCACATTCGCTAGAGGGAAGAAGCTTCCGAAAGGCTACACGCAGGGTCCACGCCCCTCAGAGGGGGCTCAAGAGACAGACTTCAGTGGTGGATCAGGGCTTCAGCACAAACCACAGAGAAACCCGTGTTTCCTAGGGGAGCGCCGGGGACCCGCAGAGGCCCGCAGCAGGTACCTTGCAGTCACAGCCGATGGGCTTCCCACACTCCTCGCAGGTGTTGGCGAACAGGGTCTCAAAGCACACCACGCAGTAGGGGCTCTCCTCCCGCAGGATGTACTTCTTGCCAAAGAGAGATTCGTTGCAATGGTGGCAGTCAAAGCGCTCAGTCATTTTGACTCCTGGCTTTTCAGCAACCTATCAAAAAGAAAAGAAAATCCAAGTCCCATTAAGCACTCTCTGAAAGGGGTGCACGCAAAGGCATTAACTGTCCCACTGTCTGTCATCTTTAGCCGAAAGGTGGCTAATTCCTCTGGATGAATAATTAAAACTCACCCTTTAATCGGTCATAATTTTTAATGATAACACCTTTTTTCATTAGCTAGGGCGGTTTTGTGTTTGAATGCATTCCACTTTTTTTTTTTTTTTTTTTTTTTTTGGAGACAGAGTCTTGTTCTTTTGCCCAGGCTGGAGTGCAGTGGTGCGATCTCGGCTCACTGCAACCTCCGCCTCCCAGGTTCAAGTGATTCTCCTGCCTCAGCCTCCCAAGTAGCTGAGATTACAGGCACCTGCCACCACACCCAGCTAACTTTTATATTTTTAGTAGAGACAGGGTTTTACCATGTTGGCTAGGCTGGTCTCAAACTCCTGACCTCGGGTGATCTGCCCACCTCAGCCTCCCAAACTGCTGAGATTACAGGCGTGAGCCATCACGCCTGGTCACATTCCACTTCTTGAAAAGCACAAATTATTTTTTACTGTGTCAGAAAAAGCTATCTCAGTTTTAAATGCAGGTAAGGGCTGACACCAGAGCCCCCATCCTGTCCGGCTGTGACCCGGCCTTGCATCTTCCCCTTCTCCCTGCCTCCAAAATAGAAAGGCAGGCATAGAAATAATACGTCCATTTCTATAAAAAGATTTTCCGTGAGCTCCTCTTTATGATTCATGATTTGAATAGGAAGAAATCACAGTGGCAAAAGGGAGGGAGATCTGACCTGGGAAACCTGAGATTAGATGCAATGAGGGCACTAATACCCTTGACCTGGGAGTGCAAGCTGCCCTTGCACAAGAAAAACTGCCAAAGTCCCTGAGGATGAATCATTGCTCCCTGCGGGTAAGATCATCCTGCAGCTGCCCAGGTACCCTGAGAGCAGGATAAATGGAAAGACTCACTTCCCAAAACAATGATATCAAATAGTCAGAAATGCAGTGGCTGCAGTCAGTGGCTCTCTGGGCAACACCTCAAGCCCTTCCAACAGGAACAGGACACTGGCGAGGTTGCAGAGAAAAGGGAACATTTATACACTGTGGGTGGGAGTGTAAATTAGTTCAACCCTTGTGGAAAGCAGTATGGTGATTCCTCCAAGAGCTAAAAACAGAACTACCATTTGACCCAGCAATCCCATTACTGGGAATACACCCAGAGGAATACAAATCATTCTACCATAAAGACACATGTACATGAATGTTCATTGCAGCACTCTTCACAATACCGACAACATGGAATCAACCTAAATGCCCAGCGATGACAGATTGGATAAAGAAAATGTGGTACATATACATCATGAAATACTATGCAGCCACAAAAAAGAATGAGATCATGTCTTTTGCAGGAACACGGATGGAGCTGGAGGCCATTATCCTTAGCAAACTAATGCAGGAACAGAAAGCCAAATACTGCATGTTCTCACTTGTAAGTGAGGGCTAAATGAGGGAACACATGAACACAAAGAGGTAAACAACAGACGCTGGGGTCTACTTGAGCGGGGAGGGAGGATGGCAGGAGAGAGAGGAGCAGAAAACATAACACTTGGGTACTAGGCTTAATACCTGGGTGATGAAATAATATGTACAACAAACCCCTGTGACAAGAGTTTACCTGTATAACAAACCTGCACATGTACCCCGAACCTAAAATAAAAGTTTAAAATAAGGGGTCTCCATGCCCGGCACACTGCATTTTTCTAGGATGAATACGCAGTGTGAATAAGCAGCAAGTGATGGGCCCTCCTCTTATGACCATTCCTATAAAATCATGTTAGAATGATCCTGGAGAGAAAAAGCCTACCACAGGAATAGCTGGTGTGGAGAAACGGCCATAGGGCATTAAAAACACAGACAATTTTCTTCAGGAATAAATGGCAATATTCCATTTGCTAAAAGTGGAAAGTTTTCTCTGTTCTTAAATAGGTACACTGGGCTGGGTGCAGTCACTCACGCCTGTAATCCCAGCACTTTGGGAGGCCGAGACAGGTGGATCACCTGAGGTTGGGAGCTTGAGACCAGTCTGGCCAACATGGTGAAACCCTGTCTCTACTAAAAATACAAAAAAAAAAAAAAAATTAGCCGGGCTTACTGGCACATGCCTGTAATCCCAGCTACTCAGGACGCTAAGGCAGGAGAATCATTTGAACCCAGGAAGTGGAGGTTGCAGTGAGCTGAGATGATACCACTGCACCCCAGCCTGGGCAACAGAGCGAGACTCCGTCTCAAAAAAAAAAAATAGGTACACTGGTTGGCTATGTAACTCTGAGCAAGAGTTCACAGGATCTAAGAAAACTTGGTTCAATTTGCAGTCTTCAAAAGATAGGCGAGTGAAATGCCAGAATCAGACCTTCTGATGCAAATAAAATATTGCCGCCTGGTTTGTGATTACAGTAATTTTGTACTATTGCGTATACACGATCCTGACAACTGTAAGCAAGGAAAAGATCATCTTTCAAGAATTCATTCTTGGATATTTCTGTGTTTACAGAATAATTCTCTTCCAAGAGCAATAAATATGCAGCTGGACACATGCGGCAAGATCCGTCCTTCTAAATCACTCTTCCTGGAGTTAAAGAAAACATTGTCTGGACATTCTTGTGATAACATCACAAGATGAGGCTCTTGAGCACTTGAATTATTATTCTGAAGCCCAACGTATAAATATCCTTTGTACCGCAGCCATCTCGAGTTGGAGCAGCCATGCTGGCACAAGATTCAATGCTTTCCTGTAATTGTTCAGTTATTGGCCTTGAAAGTTGCTGTCATTTATTTCATCACAATTGAGAGCTGTTTTTCCAACATATATGTTTTTCCAATAAAGGGTGTGATTTAGCTGTGGGACAAGAGGCTCACTGCCCATTCCATGCCCACAAACATAAGAATAATAATTTGGGAATTTGAAATAAGAACGATGAAAGGACAGAGAACTATAAATTGCGGAATTGTAAAAGCTGGAAACAAATCCCCAGATTATCTATGACAACTTCCTCATTCTATGGATGGAAAAACTGAAGCCCACGCATATTTATGAAAAAGAGGGTCCACTGAGCTTTCTCAAATAGCCGTCTGACTTACAGAAAATGAACTCCCAGTCTAACTTGAAAGGCCGTCTGTGTGGGTCAGGACAAGCACCAGCCCTGCTAGGGAAGGGAGACAGTCTACAGCCTCTGTTAATGTCTGCAGAGCTCCATTTATGTTGGCAGCTGGTGAAAGGGGTACACCTGTTTTCCTCTGAGGTAATAATCGTGATCACGGTGCTCATATACCTGATATGTGTTTTCCACTTCCTCTGATTCTACAGGACCAGGACAGAAAAAAACAAAAACAAAAAAAATCTGGCCAGGTGCGGTGGCTCACGCCTGTAATCCCAGCACTTTGGGAGGCTGAGGCGGGTGAAACACGAGGTCAGGAGATTGAGACCATCCTGGCTAACACGGTGAAACCCCATCTCTACTAAAAATACAAAAAAAAAATTATCCGGGTGTGGTGGCGGGCACCTGTAGTCCCAGCTACTTGGGAGGCTGGGGCAGGAGAATGGCGTGAACCAAGAGGTAGAGCTTGCAGTGAGCTGAGATCGTGCCACTGCACTCCAGCCTGGGCGACAAAGCGAGACTCCGTCTAAAAAAATAAAAAAATAAATCTAAGAGAATAAACTCTGAAAATAAGTAGGGCTCCACATTTGCTCAAAGTACGACTGAGGTTATGAATGTCATCATGGTGAATGTCATCATCAGTGATATGATGAATATCATTATCAGTGATACCAGCTCCCAGCAGGAACAGTAGCAGCTGCTATCTGCTCAGTGGGTCCACCTGGGAGGAGGCACTTGGCCCTGTGGTTCAGCTCCTAATTCTACAGAATTCTTTCTGAGAGTGGTGGATCCCTCTTCTACCTTGTTCCTCATCTTCTAAGAGGACACTAGAGTTCTACAAAGAGCAGAGAGCATTTCTACTCCAACCAACAGGGCAGAGCATAAAATGAGCAACTGCTGCTACCTAGGAGCACAGCAGGATGCACTGTGTGAAAGCAGGCCCCTGAAGGAGTTCCACACAGTTACATACTGCACAAGCCCTGAGCATCAGAATAAAAAGTCCATGAGCTAATAAGCAAGCTCAGAGCTTCCCTTCTATTACAACATGTTTAAAAGTATACCTATTGTCCTGTATTAGAAATCTCCTATAACTTGCATTTTTTTTTTTTTTTTGAGACAGAGTCTTGCTGTGTCACCCAGGCTGGAGTGCAGTGGCATGATCTCAGCTCACTGCAGCCTCCACCTCCCGGGTTTCAGTGATTCTCCTGCCTCAGCCTCCTGGGTTGCTGGGATTACGGGCACACGCCACCACACTCAGCTAATTTGTGTGTGTGTGTATGTGTGTGTGTGTATGTGTATTTTTTTTTTTTTAGTAGAGACGGAGTTTCACCATGTTGGCCAGACTGGTCTCAAACTCCTGACCTCAGGTGATCCGCCTGCCTTGGCCTCCTAAAGTGCTAGGATTACAGTCATGAGCCACTTGCATTTTTTACATCCCATAAATACCTGATTGCTCATTCATTCACTGAATAAACATTGGTTGAGCTGGAACTATGTGTCTAAAGTCATGAAAAGTGCAGAAGATACAAAGATGAATAAAATGCAGGCCCCTCCCCTCAAGGGACTTGTTATCTAGTGAGGAAAAGAGATATATACCAAACAGACTACCAAGCCCCTTACTCAGTGCGTGCTGGAGGTGCACAGGTATGATGGGCACGCAGAGGAGGAGCCCCTGAGAGAGCAGGCAGGCATCCCAGAGGAGATGCTATCTGTGCTAGGAACAGGTCAGCCAGGTGATATGGCAGGTCAGGTCAAGGGGTGGAGTAGGCAAAGCCAGAGACATGAGAGACAGAGTAGGGTAGGCAGAGAGCCCAGGAAGATGGAAGACCCAGTCAACAGCCAAGGCAATGAGGGCCTGGATGCCTTGTTCATGGACTTGGGTATGCCTCGCAGGCAGTGGAGAAACGGACAGCCCAGTGAAAGTTTACTGCATGGAAGCCTGCCTTTACTATGCAAGACAGGGGGCAATGACTCCTAAAAAATGTATCAGGGTATCAGAGCCCATTTCTGAATGATTTCTTCAAATAAAAGTAGGACATCTTGGTTCTACAAGGACTTATTAACCTAATTGTGTACAATCCATTTACTCTCTGTGAACTCCACATCCCTCCTGACAGGTTATCAATAATTCCTGCTCCTTAGCTGGTACACAGGAATGCTGAAAGCATCAGGCAACAGCCTGCAGGGAGATGCCCAAACATAAGGCGCAACCCCTCCTTTTTATTTCACTGAATCAAATTCCAAATCACAGTTTCCTGGAGTTCTTATTCCTCACCAAGCTAAATCATTCCATGATGTCATTACCCCTTCGGCCCTGAATAGGGTATTTGAAAAAGCTGGATCTTAGGGTACAGGCTTGACTCCAGGCCAAGGGAACTGCAATGGGTGAGGCAGGTGCCAGGTGCAGCTCGGAGGTCTGGGGATGGCCCAGGGAAGGCTTTGATCTCTGAGTCTCTCGCTAGCCCAGCTTTGACTCAGATGTAAGAATAGGTCGGGTACAGAGGCTCATGCCTGTAGTCCCAGTACTTTGGGAGACCGAGGCAGACATATCGTTTGAGCCCTGTAGTTCAAGACCAGCCTGGGCAACATGGAGAAACCCCATCTCTACAAAAAACACAAAAAATTTGCCGGGTGTGGTGGCATGCATTTGTAGTCCCTACTACTCAGGAGGCTGAGGTGGGAGGATCTTGAGCCCAGGAGGTCGAGGCTGCAGTGAGCCATGATAGCATCACTGCTCTCCAGCCTCAAGGAAACAGCCTCATGGTGACACAGACCATGTCTCCAAAGAAAAAAAAGAAAAAGAAATAAAAAGGATGTAAGAATAAAGGTTCAGAGGGCCAGGGAGCAACAATGCACTCTACTACTCACAATTCATACTAATTTTAAAAGTTCACAAGCTCATCAGTGTGATCTATTTTTAAATTTTCAGATTCAAAAACTGTAAAACAAAGTATGAGTGGGGAAAGTATCAAAGCTGGAGGAAAATAAAGGGAAAAGGAAACAGAAAGAGTAAAGAGAAGGGGAGAAGGGTGGTGACAGGACAAAAAAAGGAAGGAGGAGGGTAAATGAAATGAGGCAGAAGAGAGGCAAGGACCCTGCATGCCAGGAAGCTTTTTTTTTTTTTTTTTTTTTTTTCTTGAGACAGTGTCACTCTATCACCCAGGCTGGAGTGCACTGGCCCTATCTTGGCTCACTTCAGCCTCCACATCCTAGGTTCAAGCAATTCTCCTGTCTCAGCCTCCCAAGTAGCTGGTATTACAGGCGTGCATCACCGCACCCAGCTAATTTTTTTTTTTTTTTTAACCAGAAAGATTTCGATCAAAGGAGGGGCTGCCATGACAGACAGCCTCCCTTGGCTTGCTGGCTCAGGCCTTGGAGTTCCAGGAGCCTGGCAGATCCCTACAGGTAAAGCCTGAAGAGGTCAGATTAGCAAAAGAAGTCTATTTAAGCATCCTTTTCAATGCACCTTTTATTGACTACCTACTTTGATCTGACCCCAATGGGCCCATTTTCTCCTCCCCCTTTGAAACCCCAAGTGCTTCTCCCTATCAACCCTGCTGCAGGAGGCTCCTCTAACATAGCCATTTCCTAAGGAGAAATCTGTGAACGTCCCCAAGCCCTTCCTGCATGCAGCCCTTCAACACATGCAAAAGCAGCTTCGGTAAGTCAGTCCCTGTATCTTTAGATGTCACCGGGGATCCGCAAGGGATATTCAATTACTTATCAATAATCAACCAGAGCTTTCCAGAGACAATTAGGAAAACTGGTCTATGTGGGCTCTTTTAAAAAATACATTATAAAAGTGCAGTGTTTTCATGCAATTGCCCCGTCTTCTACCAACCGTAAGCATTGGGAAGGGTGCCCACTACCTGTCGCTGAGACCTCACCAGCAGGGAACACACACAGGACCAGGGGCTTTGTGAATACTTGTGGAATGGATGAACAAATGAATTGACGGGTGGATGAATACAAACATGTCAGAGTACAAACATACAGGCAAAAATCAAGCATGAAAAATTAGAAACATATTATGTGAACAATCCACTCTGCATAGCAAACCCAACATGTAATGTGGTTTGGCATATGACATCATGAGCTTCCATCGCTGCCCTCGTCCCTCCTTCCAGATAAGCTGCTGCTTCCGCAGCGGATATAACTCTTCTTATTGTGTTTGGACTCCAATCCCATGTGAACACACAGCTGCACAGTCCAGGATGCAGCCTGGCCAGGTCAAGAAGCAAAAAGCCAGCTGGGAGTCGTGCCCACTTTGGGAAGAACGCACAGATCCCCAACACGGGCTCCAGGTGTCAGCAGAAGGCCCTGATGTTCTACAGACATGTGATGCCTATAATCAAAGATCCTCCATTCAAAGGCACGGGACTCTCACACCTGGAAATGTGCTCAGAGAATACCCCGCACCATTTTATTTTCCTACGGATGGGAGTATCTACACACAAAAACCGCTCACCCCCAACACTCTTCATTTGTCTAGCTAAACGGGTTGTTTTAAACAGAAATTCTGATAAAACGGAGAGGGCCATCATGTCAAGGAAAGTTGCTGTTTTATAAACTAGAATAATGGATCAAGCCTTGGAGTCCCTAAAGAGAGAGGATCTCTTGAGCCCAAGAGTTCGAGGCTGCAGTGAGCTGTAGTGCTGCCACTATACTCCAGCCTGGACCACAGTGTAAGACCCGGTCTCTAAAAAAAAAAAAAAATTTATATCAGTTGGATATGGTGATGTGTGCCTACAGTCCTAGCTACCTGGGAGACTGAGGCAGGAGGACTGCTTGAGCCCAGGGGTTTGAGGCTTTAGTGAGCTATGATGGCACCTGTGAAAAGCTACTGCACTCCAGCCTGAGCAACAGAATGAGACCCTGGGAAAAAAAAAAGAAAAGAAGGAAAGAAAGAAAGAAAGAGAAAAAAGAAAGAAAGAAAAAAAGTATCTAGCATCCACTTGAAATCTATTTTTAAATTGTTGGATTTTAAACAATCTTAGTTTGTAAGGTATAAAATTGACTATGCTTACCACTGTATAATATATTTACAGATTAATTTAATAAGCCTTTACTAAATGCATGTACAGACAGGTGTCAGAGGTGTATTATAGTTTACATAAACTGGTAACTTCCAACTTAAAAAAAATAAATAAACATCTTCATCTCTGGTGGTTCTGCATGAGGCAATGTTTGAATAAGGTAAACTGCTGTCTTCTGAATTATCTTTTGAATATTGAATACTAAAAATAAAGGGAAAACAATAAATATCAAATTTCTGATCTGAAGTCCATGACTACAAGAGGAGTTACACTTGTTTTGATGTCGTTCAGCCTTTTGAACCCAGCCGACAAGAATGTGTTGAGTAACCACTGTTTTCCATGTGCTACGTGAGGCACTGGGAAGCTGAGATAAAACACACAGTCTATGAAGGAGTTCCAGTCTAGTTCTAGCTCCAAATAATTTAAATCACCTTTAAGATCCCATCTTGTCATTTAATCTCAAAACACATCAATTGCAGCCATGCAGGACAACCATAGCTGCACACGCTAGAATGGCGGGTGGCCTCGGGTCCGTCAATCACACCAGTGTGGGGACCAAGGGAGACTCCATCCTGCATGCTATGGCTCTACCATGCCTTCCCTGAGTGAGTTACGAACACTTCTACACCTACAAAACGAAAACCACCCACTCTTCTTCATGGCAGGGGTCTCCTCTCACCTCCCAAGTGCGGCTCACTGTTCACTCTCCCAGCTATCTGAGGTGCCTATGACCCCCACCCCCATGCTGGCCTTTCTCTTGGCATCCAGCAGCTTCCATGAATGACTGGCCACCTCCTTCTCACTGCAGTCCTGCCACTCTGTGGGGTTTCTCTGGCGCACTGCAACAGGACTCTGTCCCGAGAGGCTTGCACAGTTCCTTCTGCTTCCTTCATTGACTGCCTGCTTCTTAGTGACTCCAAAAGTTGTATTAACCCAAGCAGACAGGTCTATTTCCTTGTTGACTGACAAGCTCCATATTTACATACTGCAAGGACATTCTGGCATTAATTCTGTTCACCCATGAAAACAGGGCAGCTGCTTCTGCCACAGACATCCCACATCTCACTCAAGACCATATGACGGGAGGATCTTGAAGCCGCAGACAGAATCAGGCTAGTAAAGGCGTGGGCCACCGAAGGCTGAGGATGAGTGTGAAGTCTAAGTTCACACCAGGCAAGACACCACCCACGAGCACTGGGATGGACCTGGGAGACCAGACGCTGCTCCAGACCCCTCGTGACATCCCCATGCAGAGAGCATGTTTTACAGCAAGAGGAAAGCCAAGACTCCCAGGAGCAAAGTAGTGATCAAATCTTAAAAAAAGGGAGAATGACAGTTGGTGGGGAGACTTTTTAAATAGATGTTACCAGAGAGCTGTAATAGTCAGGGTTTTCTAGAAAAATAGAACCAACAAGAGATGTACATAGAGAGATTTATCGCAATGATTTAGCTCACACAATTACGAAGGTGAAAAAGTCCCAAGACCTGCAGTCAGTAGGCTGGAGACCCAGGAGAGCCGATGGTGCAAATTGCAGTCTGAAAAGAGGAGACTCTATAGACCCAAGAAGAGCCGATGTTTCAGTGTGAGTCCAAAGGCGGAAAGGACCAATGTCCCAGCTCAAGCAGTCCGGCAGGGGGGCTTCCCTCTTACTCAGTTTTTTTGTTCTATTCAGGCCTTCAACTGTTTGGACAAGGCCCACTCACATTATGGAGAGCAGCCTGCTTTACTCAGTCTACCCATTCATATGTCAATCTCATCCAAAAACACCCTCCCAGACACACCCAGAACATATGACTGAATGTTTGGGCACCGCATGGCCCAGTCAAGTTGACACATGAAAGTAACCATCACAGTAGCTAAAACTGAAATCCACAATTTAGGATAACAGAGGAAATTCACTTGACTCACCCCAAAGTCAAAATGCCAGCCTAGTCTCCAGGAAGACACAGTTCTCAGCCACTAGAGAAAGCACACGTGTTTTGTTTCAGATGGTCATCTTGAGGAAGCGAACTCAGTATAATGCAACTTGAGATGGACACTTAATAAATGTGGCTTTGATCAAATTCTCATAATAAAACCGCACAGAAGAACCCAATGTCTAATGTTTCCATTCACCCAAGCTCAAGGAACTTTGTACCTCAGGGCATCTGAGTCAGAGAGCCGCTTAGCGACTCAGGCCCGGTGCTGACAAAGGAGGCTGCCTGAGTCACTGAGGCTGAGTAACTGGCCCTCGGCACAGGACAGGAGTAAACTACTCCTGATATCTAGTCTGTTTTTTTTTTTTTTTTTTTTTGGCAATATTCTATTGGGCGTTTTTGACTGCAATTTAAATATCTTTCAGTACTGGAAATGGTTTAACACGCAATCTTGGGTCAAAGTATGCATCATAAGGCCTCATAGAAATATTCAAATGTTAAAAAAAATAAATAAATATTCAAATGTTCCTCCCGTGGTGCGTTTAGTGGTTAGAACTCAGGTTCTCCAGTTAAGCTGCCTGGGGTCAGATCTCAGGGCTACCATTTACAGCCCGGGAAACCCTGAGTTAAAGTTACTTTGATCTCTGTTTTCAGTGTCTTTACCTGTAAAAATGAGGCTATCAAATATGTATACACTGTCTATGATGTCCAGGCTTCTTAACAACCCTAACAAAAAGACAACATCATTGTCCCTGTTTCCCAGTGGAGAAAACCGAGACACTACGAGATTAAGTGACTTGGCCCAGGCTGCACAGGTTGAGGGACCCGGATGTAAATTTAGGCAGCCTACATGCAGTCCCCGGCATCCCCTAGCCTACTGCATCTGCCTGTGGCTATTTGTGAGACGGTGAGCTAAAATGAGACAGAACCTATGTGCCCAGAACAGTTTCTGGTCTGTAGTAAGCCCATCATTAGCCTTCATCGACATGTTATGGTGTAAACGCATTTTAAACCATGGCAGGCTAATAAACACCGTGGAAACACAATTCTGTGTATTAACTGATGATCTTCTAAACTGGGGGGTGATCTAAATCCAGTAACACTTGACAAAATTTTATATAAATGCACAATGAAATGTTCTTTGAGTTTGGTTTTATTAAAGTTTAATTGATAGACTAGGAATTCCTGTACTTCTAAGACTTGATGCAAATGGTTTTTGTTTTTTTGTTTTTTGTTTTTTTTTGTCTAAAACATCTTCAGGATAGTGCAAAACCTCTTTTCTTTAATATATTATTATAAAACACTCATTAGTAGAGTCAGCACCAAAAATGTGAGATGTATTGGGAGTTGTGTTTTGAAGACAGTTCTCCTGATTCTAAACCCAAATTGTGATTTATTACCTTCCAAAATATGTGGAAGGGAGTGCGGGCCTTAAGTTCAGTGATGTCTAAGTACACTGCTGCTTGCAAGCCAGCTACACATTTCAGCTAACCGGATTAGCCTACTTCCAGTTAAAACCCGACTGAGGATATGAAAATAAATATGACTGATTCATTTAAAATCAGAAAAACACTCAATATTTTCTTCCCTCTATTTCTGGTATGCTAAGATATCACACGAGTGCGACTTAAGAAAAACTTAGAATCTTTTCATTTAAAATAAGCCATTTTTGTTTTAACCGAATGGTTCAGTTATTAAATGTCTACCTGAGTCAAGGAGCGAGGTCACACTGCAAACTCCACTTATTTCTACTAAAGGGAAATGGCCCGGACTCCCCCGCGCAGACCACCGTGCCAGGACAGCCCGCTCGGGAGTCGGGCCTGGAAGCAGGCGGACAGCGTCACCTCCCCGCAGCCGCCGGCTGGGACCCGCGGCCAGCCTTTACCCAGGCTCGCCCGGTCCCTGCCCGCATGGCGGTGCCCCACCTGGTGAGGACGCGGGCTGCAGTCCTCCCTCTGGGGATGAGTCGGTGGGCTCCTCTGAGCTCCAGCGCCCCCAGGGTCTAGACCCCTCCCATTGCTCCGCTCCCCTCTCCCCGTGGTCTCCCCACCCCCAACCCCCAGGGTTCGGCTCTCCTCTCCCGGGTCTACCCCACAGCTCAACTCCTTTCTCCCGGCTTCTCCCCGCACGGTTCGGGTCCCCTCTCCCAGTGGTCTTCCCGGACCCACAGCTCTGCTCTCCTCTCACCAGTCTCCCCAACTCCGGCTCTGCTCCCCTCTCCTTGGGTCTCGCACCGGATTCGGCCCCCACTTCCGAGCCCTGGTGGCTAAGCCCCTCGGCCTCCCTCCGGGGCGCAGGGGGTTGGAGGTACTCACGGCACCGCAGCGGGCCGGGGACTCCCGGACGGGGCTGGAGGGCGCGGGCGGCTGGTGGCTGCGGCTCCGCTGCCGGCCGAGTGGAGCGCTGCGCAGCTCCCGCCCTCGAGAAACCCCGCCGTGTCATTTGACCATATAAGGAGATGCACGCCTCGGCTCGCTGGCACCGGGCGTGGGGCGCGGGGGGCGGGCGCCCCCAGGCCTCGCGGTTGCCGTGCCCCCGCCCCGGGCTGCGGCGGTCCCGGCCCGTACCCTTTGTTTGCCAGGGCTCCTTTCTTCGTGCCCTCCGGGTCTTGGGAGCACAGTAGTTATCGGGAGCGTCGCCTCCGGCGTGGGCTCTCGGGCGCGAGTTTCGGACGAGGCCTGGGCGCGGTGGCAGGGGTCTGCCCACGCCGGGATCTCTGCCTGGTCCCAGGAGCGGGAGACTGGAGAAGCCCCAGGACGTGCCGGGGGAGGCGGAGGGAGGAGGGGGTCACTTCTCAGGAGGCATGTGCCTGGGATATATTTGCAAGGTGGACGTTTTTCCTTCTTACCCTGCAGATGCTTCTTTACGAAATGAACACCACAGATGACCATAAAGAATCCTTCGTTCCACTACGGAGGGGACTAAAGGAAGGTCCTATCCCCACCTCTCCCTCTCGGGGCCAGAAGACTAGTTAGACATCTTGGATTCCCCTCCAGGGCGGGAAAACCAAAGTGAGCTGGGAGCGTGCCTCCCACATTCCAAGCCCGGGCCCTCTGCGTGACGCTGACGCTGGGTAGGGACAGATGGCACTGTTCAGCATTGTCGCAGGGAGAGCACAGGTTGAGCCCATCCCTGGGAGAGGGTGCGTCGTGATGGAAACATTTGCTCCTGAGCAGGTAACCGGTCCACTTGCAGAAACCGGTGGACGATGAGTAGGTGGACCACAAAGGCGTCCTCGGCACTTTGGGGGCAGGTGTATTATTTTTAACATTCGGGGCAGCTCATAGGAATACATCCTCCAGAGAAGGCGGGAAGAACTCCGTGATTGCTTTCTTTTAATTGATACTCTCCGTCTGGTAGGCCTCATGGGTCTCCATCATGGAATCACAGAACTTGAGAATAAAGGGGCTTCATCACCTTAGCTTCCACTCGGTGAGCACTAGCTCTACCTGGTATCTCATTTGATCCACACTCCTTTAAGGTAAAGATTTTTACCAGATTTACGGTGAGGAAAGTTCAGCTCAGATTTGCTCCAGGCCACGTGAACGGTAACTGTGCCAGCTGAGATTTGAACTGGGATGTGGTAGATGGCAAAGCCATGTAAGTATATTACGGGATCAGAAATGCCTCTCATCCCTCAGTCACTCAGGTGACTCCAGAGGACTGAGACTTGCCATAAGCCCAGCCAGAACTAGATGTGCGGAATACAGCCCTCCCCCGACCCCACCCCACTGTGTCCCTGAAACAGGACGCTTTCCTGAAGAACCTGAGTTAAGGCCACCCTACCTGAATTTCCACTAAGTGTCAAGACAGGCTAGTATTTTGAAATTCAGAGCAAAGTTTGTGTAGAAAAGGCTCCCAGCCCCTGACAGCTACCTAGATGTGTTGTTGATATCGTTACAAATTAGGAAATGGTCTCCTAGTTCTCAAATGGTGAGTCTTAAGCTTCAGTTTGTAAAAACAAGCCCTAAAATGATGAAACATTAATTCTGCATTTATCTTCTTTCTGATTCCTTTTGTCTTATATTTTAATTTTTTTTTTTTTTTTAGCTTTCTGACTTACGGGTGTAATCCATTTAGCTTTGCTTTTTTACTGATAGAGTTATTTAGTTCTGTTATTTTTCTTCTAATAACTGCTTTAGCTGTGTCACATAGGTTCAGCTATGTTGTGTTTTATTATTAAGAAATTCTGCAATTTAATTTTGTGTTTAATTTTTGACCTAATGGGTAGCAGAACATTTTAAATGACCCTGTGGTCATTCGATAGGGTCAGTAAAATCCGGACTCTGGAAACAAACATACCCAGTTTCTACAACAACGATGCACAAAGAAAAACAAGAGAGATGGAGACAGAACCAAGAGATTAAAAAAAGACTTAGCCAACTGCCATGTATGGATCTTATTGGATTCTTTTTTTTTTTTTTTTTTGGATCTTATTGGATTCTAATCAAAGAATAAACTAGTAGAAAATCAATTTTTATGAGACAACCTTGGAAAATATGACACTGACAGGATATTTTCTAGTATTAATGAACAATTTATGTTAGGGGTGATAATGTGATTACACACACACATATATTTTTCTTTTCTTAAGTCCTTGCTTTTCAAGAACAGTGCCAAAATATTTCCTAGTGAAATAACATTATGCCTGGAGTTGTTTCAAAATAATTTGGGGTGGGGAAATGGATAGGGCCTATATATATACGAAATACTATCAGCCATGGATTGTGGATAATCGCTGAAGCTTGATGATGGATATGCAGCAGTTCATCTTACTAGTCTGTCTCCTTTTGTAATGCTTGAAAAATTCCATAATGAAAACATTTTTAAATTACAGATGAACATACCATTTTCTCTTTACCCAGCATTTCCCTTTATAGGAAATTATCTTGTAGATATACTTGCTCCTGTGTAAAACGATAGACACACAAGAGTAGTCATTGTAGAATTGTTTGTAATAGAAAAATACTGGGCCATGTTATGTGTTCGTCAACAAGGGCTTAGTTAAATACAGTATGGTGCATTTTAGAATTATTTACATATGCGGCTGTTAAAATGAACGAGGTAACTATATTTACTGATTTGGCATGATCTCCAAGATAAATCAACTGAGAAAAATAAAAGTAGAGAACACTTTGTAGGTAGAAACCAACCATTTGTGTTCATGAGCAAAGAAAGGACGGGGGAAGACAATGTATATTTATAAGCGGTTGCTTCTGGGGAGATCTGAGTGGCTAGGGGTCATGGGGTGGAAAGGAGATTAATTTTTACTGTACACATTTTTATTTCTTGTAAATTTTGAGCTATGTTAATGTACTCATTCAAAAACTAAATATATATATACACGAATATATACATATATACGTATATATACACGAATATATATATACGTATATATACGTATGTATGTACATATACATGTATATATGTGTATATATACGTGTATATATACACGTATATATACATATATACATATACACATATACACACATATACACATGTATGTATATGTATATATGTATCTGTATGTATATATGTATATATATGTGTATATATGTATATATATGTGTGTATATATATATGTGTGTGTGTGTATATATATATGTATTTGAGATGGAGTCTTGCTCTGTTGCCCATGCTGGAGTACAGTGGCACTGTCTTGGCTCACTGAAACCTCTGCCTCCCAGGTGCAAGCGATTCTCCTGCCTCAGCCTCCTGAGTAGCTGGGACTACAGGCATGTGCCACCATACCCGGCTAATTTTTTATAATTTTAGTAGACACGAGGTTTCATCATGTTAGCCAGGATGGTCTTGATCTCCTGATCTTGTGATCCACCCACTTGGCCTCCCAAAGTGCTGAAATTACAGGCGTGGGCGACCATGCCTGGCCCAAAAACTAAATATATTTTAAAAATAAAAGCAACAGACTCCTTTAAGGAAAATAGGAAACAAATTTGTTAAACTGATATTAATAGTAAGTCAAAGGAGGATGGCAAGAAATTGAGGAGGGGAATGCAATTTCTGGGTTTAATGACATATGCTTTCATGAGCAATTCCATCGAAGGACAAAGTATTAAAAACAAATTTTCATGAGACAATCTAAGAAAATATGTTTTGAAAAGTTCCATCCATCTTGTACATCATTATATTCCTAGGACCTAATTAATTATAGAGCATGGCACATAGTATGTGCTTAATAAATATGTGTATTGAATAAGTGACAGATCACAGAATTGTTTGTGACAAGTCTTTCACTATAGAAAGCGTAATGCTGTCTATGGCAGCATAGCTTGATCTTTGAAGTCAAGCCAGGATTTGAATCTCTGTTCTATCTATGACTACTATGATCTCCAGTAACTACAAAACTTCCCTAACCCTCAGTTTGCTAGTTTGTAAAATGGGCTAATAACATATAGTCTGTGAAATTGTGGCGAAGGTCTTTTGAGATGCACATAAACCACTTAGAACTATTAACACATTACTTGGCATGAAGTAGGCCCTTTGTAAAGTCCTCTGTTTTATTCAATGGCAAAGGGGAAATTAATCCAGAATAAGAAGGAAATGGACTGAACTCCCACCAGAAGAAGAATTAAGGTTCAGATCCTGTTCAGATCCTGTTTCTTCTTGAGAGAAAACCTCTCTGCTATGGATAAAAGGCTAGTTCATGGAAGAAAATAAAAACAAAAAGTACTATTTCCTGGGGAAAGGATCAACGGTGACTGTGATCAGTTATTCAAGTTCTTCTTTTGTTTATTCCAATTATCCTGACATTCCTTCTTGAGACAACACTGCCCATAACGTTTTCCCGTCTCTCCTGTAGGTGGGCTTCAGGGAGAGGCACAGCTAGGAAGGGAGGAAAGAGAGGAAAAGACTTCCTGCGGCTAGCAGGTCTCAAAGCCTTGTCCCAGAGTGCAGCAGGATCCCCTGCAAACCTGTTAGAAGTGCACATTCTCAGGCCAGCTCCTGCTTTAACACGCCCTCCAGGTGATTCTGATGACTAAAGGTGATTTGAAGTAAAATAAATACCACTTAGGGCTTCCAACTCTGGACTCGGTAATTTACCAGAAACCTACGAAATGTCAGTTTAGGGCGTGGGGGAGGGACAGGGAAATAGAGATAGACTAAACATAGACTAGACTCAGGAACTCTAAAATCCAGTTGGAAGTATTACTTCCTCTGTCAGTTACTTCACTCAGGGAAGCAGGAGGTAGAAGTTTGAGCCAGGAGGTAGAAGTTTCAGCCAGTGGGTCTGAGCTGTACAAATGCTGAAATTTCATTCTCTGGGAGAGGCCAAAGAAAGGCAGGGCTTCTAGGCGTGTGCTCGCAACTGCCACCCTGTGGTGGGGTCGTGGGGGGGAGGCTGGTGGGCTAGACCCATCTGTGCAGGGGCCAACAGTAGCCTCCTACCCGGATGGGGGCTACCCCAGGGGGATTAGGATGAGCTCACCATTACCAGGTAGAAAGTGAACACAGGAAAACATGAGCTGGAGGTCAGACC
Organism: Homo sapiens; assembly: GCF_000001405.40. NCBI lineage: Eukaryota > Metazoa > Chordata > Mammalia > Primates > Hominidae > Homo > Homo sapiens. Next base: position 105,404,153 of record NC_000002.12, read on the forward strand.
GCCCTATGTTCGTTACCCTAACTGACCACTGCCATCAAGATTGTTAAGCATTTTGTCACCGTTAAAGGATTTCACACAAGCTGTTCCTCCCACTCAAACCTTGGCCAGGAAACTGGTGGATGATTTGCCCTTGATTCAGAGGCAATCATTCTTAATTGCCTCACATGGTTGGAAGGTGAGTAAGTGTCTAAGATCATAAATGCTGGCGGGAAGGGGTCAGGAGTGATCAAACCAGCACCCCTCCTGGCAGTGGGGTCAGGAGGCAAGTCCCTGCATGCCTTCCCATGACACAGTACCAGATCCCAGGGTGGTGGCACAGAAAGCTGGATTCGCTTTTTCTGGAAACACTATTTGCCCGGATCCAGCAGGGAAGTCTATGAAAGATGACTCTACGGGCAGGGTATGCACCTGCCTGTGCCCGTGAGCTGGGTGCAGTTGTGACGGGAGACCCAAGGGCCTCCAGCAAACAGGAGGAACTTGATCTGGTTACAGGAACGATCTTGCAGGATCCAAACTTTGTTTCTCTGCCTGTCAGACTTTCAGGAAAAGCTCAGCTTTCCACAAAGGGCAAGCTCTTTTCCTTTTCTTCTCCCTTCTGCCATGCTCTGGTTAGGAGGGAAAATGATTGGCTCTTTCTTGAGATACACAATTTCCATATCCCATTTCTTCCCTCTCTCCTTTTTCACAAACTATTTGTTGGATATAAATAATCAGTGTTTAAAGCCTCAAAACATGCCTGACTTTTAGCCAAATCCACAAACAACTCCATGATTCCGAGTTTCCCATCCTTGGTTAGAGTTTATTTGGAGCGTCGGATACAGTTTCCACTGTGGCTTTGATACCTCTTTAAGAAAGACTCTGTTTGGTACATTAATGACCAATAGAATGAAACTATTCACACCCATAGTTCATTTGGGCCAGTAAATGTTGCTGGATGGTTTCAGATGAAAAGTATTTGTAAGGTAGACTCTGAAAAACTTTGCTTCTTATTTGAGATCTCTTTGTCTCTGATTTCAGTCCTTTTCAGGAGCAATCCATTCACTTCTCTGCCTGCCTTCTCTTAGAGTTTTACTCTTTTTTTCCTCTGTCAATGATTCCAAAATCCATTTAAAGGAAGTATTAATGTCTAAAGTCTGTGCAAACCTGGCAAAATTCTCTTTTGAGTGAACGGTTTGCTTCCCTAAAATACCTGAAATGGGAGATTCTTCCAGGCATTTCTGAAATGGGGGAGTCTCATGCCTCACTTGTTCCTCAGAATGTTTATGTTATTTTATTTGAGACAGAGTCTTACTCTGTCACCCAGGCTGGAATGCAGTGGAGCAATCTCCGCTCACTGTAAACTCTGCCTTCCCTGATTCAAGTGATTCCCCTGCCATGGCCTCCCAAAGTGCTAGGATTACAGGCGTGAGCCACCATGGCTGGCAAGAGTGTTTATTTTAAACCACACCAAGATCTGTTATTCTTTGTGAATTAACTTTATGAGTCAACATTAAAAATTTGAAATCCCAAGTTCTCTCTTCACTGCCACCAAGGTCGTTTTGTGCTATTTCCACTTTGATTAGGGTCATTAACAGAAAATCCCAATAGTCTAACTAGAAAGAGCCTGGACTGGCCAGGCTCTAGGAGGCAGGGGGTGAACCCCAGGTCCAGGAGCTCCTATGGAGCAGTGTATGTGGCCACAGGTAACACCCTTCACCTTTGTATGTCTTCTTTACATTATCTGTGAAATAAAGAATGTACCACCTCTCTTCTTCCTTTAAAGAGTTATTTCACATTATCTAGTTTTTCCTCAAGCCACTTTTATGGCTAATTGACAATTGAGAATGTCTCCTGTGGCTAATTCTGCCCCATGGTACAGATTTGTGTGTGATGAAAACCTATGCTTTAAGTTCTAGAGAGCATGTTTAGGAATACCTTTCACCTATTTCAGAAGGTACTTTAAAATTGGACCTGGGAGTCATGACAGAGCTTCCTGGAACAACCAAGCATCTTTCTCCATCCTTGCAATAGTAGTTGACTGCTGAAGTACCAGAAACAGATTTTCTAAAATATCTGACCTTCAGCATCTCCTGGCAGGACTGTTTGGCAAAAATAAAAAAACCTTCAAAAATTCTGGGCCATCCTAACACTATAAATATACTTGGAATCGTGTGTACAGTCAGAGATGCTGAGCAATTACTCCTCAGTAAGACCAGAGGAGTCATTGTCTCCATGGAGGGCCGGAGGGGTTCCAGCGGTGAATCACCATCAGATATCTGAACTATTCATGTAGCCATCTTTAAACTCGAGGGCTTTTTCTTATCTTTTTTTTTTTTTTGGCCTTCCTTTTGATAACTTGAAATTCAATTTCCATTTGGCACATGGCTGTAATGTAATCTAGCTTCCCAGCCATTGCTAACACTTTCTGGACTCAGTTCTCTGTCTCACGCTCTTTGCATGGAGGGTCTGTCTGTATTGCTGTATTGCTTCTGGTCCCTTGAATTTCCAGGTCAGGGTAGAAGCAGATGGAAAGAATGCTTGAGAGGTTTTCTTTTTCTAAGAATATGTTTGGAAAATGATGAGGTCAGGAAAGCAGACACTGCAATCCTGCGCAGGAGAGAGTCTTTGAGAGCCCTCGCTGCTCACTCTCTTTGCACCTCACATGTTCTACCTGCGGCCAGTGAGGGGAGAGCCTTTCATCCTGTGACTGCTGGAACTCCCTTCCTCACTCTCTTCTGCCTGGTGGACTCCTGTTTATCCTTAGACCAAATAAGGTATCCCAACTAGGAAAGCTGCATGGATAGCCATCATAGCCTCATTTTTGACCAGTCCACTCCTTCTTTCCCATGTTTATAACAACAGAGGAGACTGTGAGCTCCTTAGGGGCAAGAACTGAGACATTTGAATCTGTGTTCACAGCACTTTGCAGCTTGATCAGTATTACTGAATTTAATTCAGTTTTCTTGAAAATGCCTAAGCTGCTGGGCGTGGTGGCTCACGCCTATAATCCCAGCACTTTGGGAGGCCAAGGTGGGTGGATCACAAGGTCAAGAGATAGAGACCATCCTGGCTAACACGGTGAAACCCTGTCTCTACTAAAAATACAAAAAATTAGCTGGACGTGGTGGCGGGCGCCTGTAGTCCCAGCTACTCAGGAGGCTGAGGCAGGAGAATGGCATGAACCCAGGAGGTGGAGCTTGCAGTGAGCTGAGATCGCTCCACTGCACTCCAGCCTGGGTGACAGAGCGAGACTCTGTCTCAAAAAAAAAAAAAAAAAAGAAGAAGGAAAGAAAATGCCTAAGCCAACATAAGGCTGCTATATAATGGCTCTATATGACCCTGCTCAGAACAAACACATCAAGCCCATTTCCCATTTAGGCAGTCGAGTTATCTGGGCTTTGCACCGAGATCCAGTTGGCAAATAACTTGAATTAAAGCAAAGCCAAGAGCTTGGCCTTCCAGATATCAGCAGATGCAAACTTGGGAATCTCTGCCTGAATTAAAGGAAGTAACCCCCAGGTTACAGCATCCGCAGATACAATGAAGAGCTGAAAATGAGGCTGCAGGGAAGTGTGCATGTGGACGTTCTTGGGATGGTGCTTCTCTCTCAGAGTCCAGCTTTTCTTTGCTAGTGAGGGGCTTCTTCTCCTGCCCCAATCCTCCCCCCGCTGCCACCACCACCACCAGCCTAGGCCTTAATCGCAGAGAAGGCCACTCATTGAGGGACTTCCTTGAAATCTGCATCCTGCAAACGGAAGCCACCATCTTAATTTTTAGGAGTCTATCTGGGGAATTCATGGCTTTAGTTTCTGCTTGAAGCTTGTTGATTTTCTATCAAATGCTTTAAAAAATTTCTGTCTGCATAAATGGTAACATACAAAGTTAAACAAAAATTCTGTCTCCCACAGAAATTCCATAAAGGTTCTTTCATCTCTACCAGCATGAGCATGTCTCATTTGTGGAAGCAGGCCTACTTGCCATGACAACAACTATTCTGTGGCTTTGCAGAGGTACCCTCACAGTTGCAGTGTGCTTTTGCTAGGCAGCCGGCAGAGATGGCCCACATATGACCACTGCCTTTCAACCCTACCTGTTTTAAGGTGGACTCACTTGGATTGAGAAACTGGTATTTTCCCCTCACTTGCACGTATTTTGGATGTATAAATATTTTCAAAAGATAAGTTTGACTAATACATGCACACCTTCCTTGACTATCACCATCCAAACCCACAGAGATGACTGGGAATTTCCAAGTCATGTAATCCTAATGTTGATTTGAGCATCCACAGCCTGTCTTAGAACACTTTCCAACCAAGACTGGAACCAGCACTTTGGCACTTGCAGAATCACAGCCTTCCCTTCACAGCCTTCCCTTACGAGAAGTACGGCTTCACCCAGCCAGTTGGCTTTGTATCGAGAATTCATTTATTTTGGACAGGTCACTCTTCCTCACTTACAACTGGCACGTGGATGCAGAGAAAGGACAGCAGCTCCTGGCTGGAGCAGAACTAATGGGGCAGACAGTTAGTGAGCATACACATGATGGCCCTGATCCTAGATGCAGAGTTTGGAGGAGCAATCTTTCGTCATCACTACTACCACCATGATTGCCACTATGATGTTCATCTTATTTATTAGCATATTTTGACTGCTGATAGGGTGACATTTTTGGTATAGGAAGGTGAGATCCAGAGTGGATCTTACTCTTAGAGTCTTGAAAGATTACTTTCTTCCCCTTTCCGTCTGAAGCTCTCAGAAGACAGGCAGTTTCAGAGGGACCCTACATCCAACGTGATGTAGCAGGCAGCAGAGCAAGGGCAGAGGGGAGACCAGGCTGAGCCAAGGCAGCACCAGGTCATGGTGTCCTCTCTGTGGGTGCAAGAAAGCAGCAGGAGGTGGGGGTAGGAATGGCTGAGAGAGGGTGTTGTGGCCCAAAGAAGGAGAAAGCCTTCATGCTTTGAGGCTTTAGCTCACAGAGAGGGAACCTCAGAGACCAGTTGGGAGGAGCAGGCCCAGTGAGAACAAAAGGAGACCCTCTGCAGGAAAAATGGGCAAGTGAGGGAAAGAAAGAGACTATGGGGAGAGCAAGCCAAAGGAAGTTTTTGTTGGGGAAATATTCAAGGAGTCTGCACTTGGCAGCTGTGCAATTTATATGTGCAAACAAGGGCGCTGGGTGTAATTCACCTGCTGATTTCTGGGAGTCGGGAATCATTTTAGAGGAAGAAGCTGAAGTTGCCCCCAGAAGTCTCCCATGATGCTCATGTGTGGCTGTGGCTATTCTAAGTAGGCCCTGGCATTGCAAGCCCAGCAAGATAGCCAGATAGGGAAGGATAGGGGAGATTTGCCAGCTCTTTAGGTCAGCCCCCAAGTTAATAGTAAATTTTACATTTTTGTGCCATAAAGGCATTAACATAATTAACAGCTTGGTGCCAGTTTAAATATGCGTATGTGCTTAGGATCAATGCTACCATTTTGATCATTGTTTGAGAGAATCCCATTTCTGATGTGTTAGTAAATAATATGATATTATTGTTCACATGCCCATCTAGGCTCTTTGTCCCAGAAAGAGGATGCGAAGGGGTGATATAAAATCCACCTTGGAGCCATCTCAGGGCTGGTTGTTCTTGATTCCTCTGAAGACCTGGAGCTGCCTGTGTGAATCAGACTGGAAAAACACGTGGCTGCACTTTTCCATGAAGTAGGTAACAAAGCCACAGTTCATGCCTGGGAAACTTGCCCTAGCATCTCCGCCAGGAGAGCAAGCCGACTCATGCCTGGACTCCCACACGAGGGCCAGTGCCAAGTACGCTGGAATGAAGGGACACTGCCAAGGATCAGGAATACCAGGAGCTCAGCCCACTTACCAGGCTGAGCTGGGGATGCTGAGATTACTGTGCACACTCAGGCAGAGCTGGAAGCTGAGTCTGCCATCCAGAAGGCTGGACCCAGACAGAGTTCAGGGATCACACCAGAATCGGGACACAGGAGAAGTTTGCTAACCTAGGTCCAACCCAGAATCAGATTCAGATTCAGAGCAGGAGGTCAGCAGGACAGCTTTGTCCCCCAAAAGGAATCAGGCGGAGGCCGGAGAGGCAGCTTGCCAGCTAGGAGAACACCTGAGCAGTCTTAAACCCAGGCAGGTTACTGGCAGTTGCTTCACCTTCTAGTGGCCTCACTTGCACACCAGCTTTCCCCAAGCAGATAACCCCACATAGCTGCAAAATGAATTATTTTCTCTTGTCTGCTTCTAGAGGGTCCATGACCATTCTATTGGCAGTTGGAGAGGTGAGAGTTAAACTGAATGTGAGCCTGTGTCAGGGGCCATGACCCATTTTAATGGAGGGTCTCTAACAGCACCAGTCTCTCGGTAGATATCACTCGAATGGTGCTAAGCTACCTACTAGCAGATTTAGCAGGGTGATGCCTTTTGAAGTCTAAAGTTTTGACTGCTAATCTCTGGGAAACATGTCACATCGTATGCTATTATTTGGTGGTGGTGTCCAAAACCAACACATTGGTCTTTCTCAGACGAGAAGGATTCTTGGCACAGGCAAGCAGAGGGAAGTGTGTGGTATGTGCGTCTTCCTGTATCAGCTTGTGTTTCTCTTATGCTGGAGACCTGAGGTGTCCACACTGGTGGAAAAAAAATGCTGCCAGATTTAAGGTGAGGAGCAATGGCATGAGTAATCCTTTCAGATAGAAGTTAGCAGTGCTGGACCTTGGAGGTTGCAGTTACAGCTGCCAACATTCGAAAATGGACTTAGTTATTTTAGGAAGCCAAGTGCTGCACATAGAGCCAACCTCAGTTGAGATGCCTTGGGACCAGTACATAGAAGGTGTTTAAGATTCTACAGTTCCATTTCATCCTTTACAAAATGTCCACCCTGAATCTACAGCTTGCTTATTGAATCTTTGTGAAATTTGAAGGGGAGAGGGAAACAGTAATATGACCCAACATAAGAGAAGTACCAGCGAGCCTCTGTGGACACAGGTGTGTGCATAACCACCATCGCTCTAATCCTTAGGTTCATTCTTTCTCATTTCAGTCAAAAAACTGATTCTAAAATTAAGGCAGACTGACACCCACTGCGTCCTAAACTGTAGATGCATTAAAGGTTATTAGCACAATTTCCTAGTATTATCTTTGAGTTTGTTTTAAAAAGTAACTTTTTAAGATAAAGACAAATTGTAACTTTAGAAAGAATACTATGAACTGTCAATTCTGTCACATACTGAGCAAATTTTAAAAAAAAGTATAATGTACAATTTTTTTTTCTCATTCTTTTTCAAGCACAGCTTGATAAACCTTGTCTCTTACTCCTGGTTTTAGATGGAATTCTTTTTTCCTACTCACCCAGAATCCTCATCTTTGAAATGATGAATTTGTAAATGGTCCTGAACTTAGGGTTTTTTTTTTTTTTTTTTTTTTTTTTGACTTTAAAAGTTCTCATGGTTCCCAGCACTTTGGTAGGCCGAGGCGGGCGGATCACTTGAGGTCAGGAATTCAAGACCAGCCTGACCAACATGGTGAAACCCTGTCTCTACTCAAAATACAAAAATTAATTGGGCATGGTGGTGAGCTCAGAAGGCTGAGACAGGATAATGGCTTGAACCCAGGAGGCGGAGGTTGTGGTAAGCCGAGATCACGCCAGTGCACTCCAGCCTGGGCAACAGAGCAAGACTCCATCTCAAAAAAAAAAAAGTTCACATGGCATCCTTCTCCTAGTAATTGGATTGAGTAGAGAGCCCGAGGGAAACTATTGAGCAGAAACTTGTTGATTGCTAAGTGACTCATCCTCACAATGCCACCAAGATGAATAAATCTCACTCCATCCCTTCTAAGGGTTAAAGTCCAGTGTGACCAGAAGGGAGGGAGCCAGCTGAGTAAAGATGAAACTCCAATAAGTTCCGGTCAAGGTTAAGATATGAAAGTATACCCCACTTCTGGGTATATATCTAAAAGAATTGAAAGCAGGGTTTGGAAGAAATACCTGCACACTCATGTTCATAGCAGCATTATTCACAATAGCCAACAGGTGGATGCAGCCCAGGCTTCCATAGATAGGTGAATGCGTGAACAACATGTAGTACATCCATACAATGGAATCTTATTCACACTTAAAAAGGAAGGACATTCTGACACATGCTCCAACAGGGATGGACCTTGAGGTCATTATGCTAAGCTTGAATGAGAATTGCTTGAACCCAGAAGGCAGAGGTAGCTTGGATAACCAAAAGGTATAATCATCAGGAAAATAGAAAAAAACAAACTGGTGGTGGAGGATGAATTCAATTTTGACTTATTGAAACAGAAGCAGTTTGGGGACAGCCATCCAAATAGAAAATTTTCCCAAACTTGTAGAAGGATGAGATTCAGGGAGAAGGTTGGAGCTGATGGTATGAACATAGGGGTCATTAGCCAAATGGTAGGTAAAAACCAGTAGAGCAAAAGAGCAAATAAATAAACCAGGAGAGTGAGTGAGGTCGTGCAAGAAAGCACGTGGATGGTTAGGAGTGGGTCGAAGGTCAAGCTCCAGGGGAGCCTAAGGTTTAGGGGGCAGCATCCGCAGAGGTGGCTGAGAAGGCAGCGTCAAGGAAGGATGAGGAGAAAGAGCCAGAGGCGGGGGCAGTGAAGCCAGTGACTGACACAGCCGAGGAGCAGTGGCCAGGGGGTGCTGAGAGTGTGTTGCACGTGGCAGCACAGTGGCTGTTGGTGACGTCTGAATGTGATCAGTGGCATGATGGGGACAGAAGCACATTGCAGTGGGCTGAGGGTCAGTGACAATGGAGGGTGTGGAGACGGTGATGTAAGAGGTCTGATGGGAAAAAAAGGAAGAAATTCCACGTAGCTCAGTAAGGAAACTGAGGCCCAGAGAGGGCAAATAATGTACTCAAAGTCAGAGTTAATGGTGTAGAAGGACAGGATGCAAATGAGGACAGCGTGTGACTGGTGTGACTGCTCACGTTTCCTGGTTCCATCCCTTCCACCAGGCTGCCTCCTGAAGCAAGGCAGCGATCAGTTTCTGAGCTCTCATGACCCATCTTCATAGCGTCTCCTTCTCAACCAGCACAAGAAATACAATAGTCAAAACAGAAAGGCAAAGCCTCTCTGCAACCCTCTTCCCTATTTCTTCACTCTCCTGACAAAAAGGGACTGAAAAATTTCCAAAATCAAGAAGCATAAAGCCTGATTTCTTTTTCTAGTCAGACTAACGAAACGATTTATTTTCTTTCCACTCTCTTTTAAAGAAAAGAGGAACAGCACCGCTCCCTGGAGCTATTCTAGCAGTTAACAACAAAGCTAAGCACTACTTACCACAGAACTTTGTAAGATATCAGAAAAAAAAAACAGTTTACAAAAATTTTTTTAGAGGCAGGGTTACCCGGGCTGGAGTACAGTGGCATGTTCACAGCTCACTATAACCTCAAGTTCCTGGGCTCAGGTGATCCTCCCACCTCAGCCTCCCGACAAGCTGGGACCACAGGTGCTCCACCACACCCAACTAATCTTTTTTTAATTTTTGTTTTTATAGAGACAAGGTCTTGCTATGTTGCCCGGGCTAGTCTTGAACTCCTGGCCTCAAGCAATTGTCTTTCTTTGGCTTCCCAAAGCCCTGAGATTACAAGTGTGAGCCATCACGCCCAACCCCAAGCTGTTTTTCTTCTACTGGATGCTCACAATGCAGAACACTTCTGTGACCCCAGATGGGGGTAATTTTCCCTCCATATACCAAGCAATTCTGCAAACGATTCTCTAGAAGACACCAGCTGGGTGTCCTCAAATTCAATTCTGACACTATCTACCTGGAGTTAGATCCCACAGGATGAGGGCTCAGTCCCACAAGACTGCCACTCTGTACTTCAGATGCCGCTTGCAAATAGTAGGTTGTCACCTATACTTCTGACCAACAGGCTATTAGTTGGGGAGGGGGTCCTAGAACCCCTCCTTGGCTTCCATTAATTTGGTAGAGCAGCTCACAGAACTGAGGGAAGCACTTTATTAATATTTACCATGTATTATGAAGATATTGTGAGGGATACAGAACAAAGCATGGGGAAAGACACGTGGAGCTTCTGTTTCCTCCTTGGGGTCACCACCCTCCAGGAACCTCCCTATGTTCAACCATCCGGACACCCATCTGAACCCTGCCCTTTAGGGTTTTCATGGAGGCTTCATTGCATAGGCATGATTGATTAGACCATTGGCCACTAGTGATCAACTTAACCTTGAGCCCCTCTGCCCTCCTGGGAGGTTGGCGTTGGGGCTGAAAGTCCCAACCCTCTAGTCATGCCTTGTTCTTTCCAGTGACCAACCCCCATCCTGAAGCTAGCTAGGACCCGCCCCCCCTCCGCCGCCATTATCTCATTAGCATACAAAAGTACTCTTGTCACTCAAGAGATTTAAAGGTTTTTGTTTGGTTTGGTTTGGTTTGGTTTTTGAGACAGAGTCTCGCTCTGTCGCCCAGGCTGGAGTGCAGTAGCAGGATCTCAGCTCACTGCAACCTCTGTCTCCTGAGTTCAAGCAATTCTCCTGCCTCCGCCTCTAGAGTAGCTGGGGTTACAGGCACACGCTACCATGTCCAGCTAATTTTTATATTTTTAGTAGTGATGGGGTTTTGCCATGTTGGCCAGGCTGGTCTCCAATTTCTGGCTTCAAGTGATCCACCCACCTTGGCCTCTCAAAGTGCTAAGATTACAAGTGTGAGCCACTGTGCCTGGCCAGATTTAAAGGATTTTAGGAGCTGTACATCAGGAAACTGAAAGAAGACCAAATATCTGTTTCACAATATCACCAGCTTCTTTACAATTCCTCAGTAACCTATGACTTACAATTTTCTCTAATACAACTGTAGTCTAAGTAATGTTGGCTTACATATCTTTTGATCCTTAAAGTTATATTAGTATATGTTTGTTGTACACAAACGCAGATGTATACAGATACTAGAACATTCTTTAAGGTAGCATAAGTTGGGAAACAATCTAAATGTTTATAGGTAGGGGCAGAGTCAAGTCATTCGTCCATACAATGGAGCAAGCGCTACACCGCTATAAATAGTGAGGCAAAATCTCACTCTCTGGGACAATCTCCAAGACAGGGTGTTAAGTGAAAGAGGAAAGTGCAAGTCATTGTGTGGAGTATCCTACCATTTGTAAGAAAAGGATGTGTGGCTATTATACATGTTTGGAATATCTGGAAGGATGCACAAGGAGTTGGCAATAGTAGTTGCTTCTGGGGAGAACTAAGGAAGAGAATGGAGGGAGGGGGAAAATTACTTTTAATTATTCTCTTTTTGTTGCTTCTGAATTTTGCACCGTGTGCATTGATTACCTGTTAATAACTAAAATAATATAAAGTAAATAAATAATCAGCATATCTTACCACAGCAAAGGTGGTTTAAATAATGTCTTTAAACAATTAAATTCAATAACACTTTTAAACAGAGATTGAAGGTGGCTTCACAATGGGCAGGGAAATAATATGTGACACAGTTTGCAAGAACGAAAACCGTGTCTGAAAATCACATTAAAATGTGTTGGGAAACAGCCTGAAGAAAAACTGTTCCTAAAATAGAACCAACAATAAATAAATAAACAAATGAAGTAAGCAATGCAAATTTCTTAAAAGCACCGGGATTCCTGTGTTTTTAAGTTATTTCTTTGTGGCCCTAACCCCAAGTTAAGTACCAGGGACTCCTTGGAACCGAATGGTACCCCATGGTGGGAAAATGGCCCATATGGTACAATTATCTAGATGATTTCAGCAAAAAATACGTCTTTGACTCAGTGTTTTATACAATAGGAATAGATGGGGAATATTAACAAGAATTGAAACTGTGTGTGGAACCATATTCAATCAATTTCAAGTTTAATTAAACCAGCTACTCTTAACCCCTGTTCTTAAAGAGTGCCTCAAAGAGTACAGCCCTATCTACTCTTTAATATTATTAAGAATCCCAAAGGGCTTTTGTTTATGTAGGTTATATCTATTATATTTACTGCATTAGAAAATAAAACTTAGAAGCTAAAAAATTAATTCATTTAAAATTAACATTAAATCCGTAACAGGTAACATAGAATGTTTTCATGAAAAATAATTACACTTTCCAAAACAAAACAACTAGTAAGAAGAGTGGTGTGGTTTTGAATTTTTGCAAATCTCTTTAACATTGAGCTTAATAGAAGACAGCTGGAAAGCTCAATGCTCATGTCTGCTTCTGCATTCGATCTGTGGAGTATGTGGTTTTGGTTGAAATTTATGAAGGAAATGCAACCTTATACAGAAATGTCGTTGGAAAAGAGAAATATCTTGATAGCCATCTCAGATCATCATCTCTCTCTATAAATGGATAGATTCTACACCAAAATTTGAAAAAGAGATGTTTCTTAACTACTGCTTAAAGATTGCAATGTGGAATCTGAAATCACATCAATACTTTTCATATTCTATTACATTAAAGCCCATTTGGTCTATCTTAAGCTTTAAACAGATCTTTAACCTACACATTGTTTTGTTAGATTTAGAAAATATTGCTTCTATAGATCTTCCAAATGCTGATACATTTCATTATACAATATTAACAAATTACAGTAATTGATATCACCATCCATCTAATCAGGAAAGTTTTTACACACTGGGAAGCTGCCACACTCACAGTTTCCCAAAATGCTAATTTTCACCTGAAAACTCAAATTTTATCCTTGAAAACAAAAACAAATACTGTCAGTTGTTTCCCTTAGAATGACAGGCTACTCTGCATTTTTGGGAAAATATCTACTGCCAAAATCTAAGTATGCTTTGTCTGTCAGTTGTTCTTCCAAGTGAAAATGGAAGAAACATCTTGTTGAACTCACGACTTGGGCCACTGCACAACTTCCTTTCCTCAAGACAGTCACAGTTCTTTGATATGAGCAGAAGTGCTTCATGCATCTTCCCTTTCATCACTCTGAATACTAAAAAGATGTGTGTTGCGGCCGGGCGCGGTGGCTCACGCCGGTAATCCCAGCACTTTGGGAGGCCAAGGTGGGTGGATCAAGAGGTCAGGAGACTGAGACCATCCTGGCTAACACGGTGAAACCCCATCTCTACTAAAAATACAAAAATTAGCTGGGCATGGTGGCACGTGCCTGTAATCCCAGCTACTCGGGAGGCTGAGGCAGGAGAATCGCTTGAACCCAGGAGGCAGAGGTTGCAGTGAGCCAAGATCTTGCCACTGAACTCCAGCCTGGCAACAGAGCTAGACTCCATCTCAAAAAAGAAAAAAAAAATGTGTTGCTGGGCACGGTGGCTCACGCCTGTAATCCCAGCAATTCGGGAGACTGAGGCGGGCAGATTGTCTGAGCTCAGAGTTCGCGATCAGCCTGGGCAACATGGTGAAACTCAGTCTCTACTAAAATACAGAAAATTAGCCAGGTGTGGCAGCGTGTGCCTGTAGTCCCAGCTACTCAGGAGGCTGAGGCAGAAGAACTGCTTGAACCTGGGAGGTGGAGGTTGCAGTGAGTCAAGATTGTGTCACTGCACTCCAGCCTGGGCAATACAGCGAGACTCCATCTCCAAAAAAAAAAAAAAAAAAAAGAAAGAAAGAATGAAAAAAAGAGGATGTGTGTGTTTAAGGGTCCAGATTTAATAACATTAATAATTGTTACTGTTGTTTTGTCAAGGTCATTCTGGAATGCAGCTGGGCTTTTCTTTTTCCCCCTACTGCTTGGTGATGAAGAATATCATGATTACTAGTTTGGTTTGGAGCCACCACCTTGATTCCTGCTAAGGCACTAGGAGTCTTCCCACCACAACTTTTGTACCAGCATAAATGTCAACACAGTGAAAAGATGAGTCATATCTTAATAGTATCAAAAAAATAGCTTTAACCACAAAAACTCCTTGAAAAGGACTCAGGGGTATAGGGACCACACATTGAGAACCACAGAATTAAAACACTTTAGGCTGGGGAAGTCATTATATTTTGTAATAGGACTGGAGGTAGTGTATTTTCCACCATGTGGGTAAATGGTGGAGATTCAGACACAGTCTGTATAGCTAGTGTTTCATATCTGTCCTTATTTTTGACTCTGCGAATGGCCACCCAAGGCTGCCAAGGGCTCATCATTGAGATAGTGCTGGGCTTGTTAAGCTGGATATCCTAACTCCTGGGCCTTCTGGTTTGAAAGATGTGGGGACCAGGCAGATAAGCACCAGGGCAAGCCACCTGGGCCACAGGGAAACACTCTCCCCAACAGAAACCACTTATTTTCCTCCTATTGAAAATAAGCCTCAGAGACCCAGGTGGTCAAACAACATCAACAAAAAAAAAACAAAAAACCCATTTTAATCTCATAAGTAGGTCAGAGTTGCACATTTCATGAGAACTGGGTCCAAAAGACCAGGTACCACTAATTATCCAGATATTTCAGTTGAGCTGATTTAGTGAGCAGTTTCCGTTCTGCACTTTACATTTTTATGAATACAACTGTGGATAAAGTATGCGCAGACATAGAGTATTCTATTTCTTCTTCAAGGATATATCTCTCTATAAAGTGTATTTATTCATACAGTAGCGCCCTCCTCCCGCTCCCCTTATCTGCAGTTTCTCTTTCCACGCTTTCAGTTACTCATGGTCCACTGTGGGGCTGAAAATAGATTAAGTACAGTACAGTACAATATTTTGACAGAGAGAGGCCACATTCACATACCTTTTATTACAGCATATTGTTATAATTGTTCTATTTTATTATTATTTATTGTTAATCTCTTACGGTGACTAGTTTATAAGTTAAAATTTATCATATGTATGTATACACAGGAAAAAACATAGTATATGCAGGGTTTGGGACTATCCACAGTTTCAGGCATGCACTGCAAGTCTTGGAACTTATCCCCACCAGATAAGGGGAGACTGGTGTGTAATATTTGTATACAAGTATTTTCTTTAGTATATGTCTGTCCACAAAGTAGGCTTTCCTATACCCATACATCAGAAAGACAGACATGTAGATCTATAGAAGGCCACTGGAGAATCAAAATATGCCAAACCAAAATATGTCACACCAGAATATGCCACTTTGGCATAAGGATTTTTAAAAAATTTTTTTATTTTCATAGGTTTTTCGGAACTGGTGGTGTTTGGTTACGTAAGTAAGTTCTTTAGTGGTGATTTGTGAAATTTGGGTGCACCCGTCACCCAAGCAGTAGACACTGCACCCAATTTGTAGTCTTTTATCCCTCACCCCCTTCCCACCCTTTCTCCAAGAGTCCCCAAAGTCTATTGCATCATTTGTATAAGGATTGTTTTGAGGTGAAGGCAATTAAGAAGCAGCAAATGCAGAAAAAGGAGGACATAAATTTCCCTTTGTGAAGGTGTTTCTCCTCCCATCTTCCATACCAAGAGGAGACCAACTCTTGTCACTGGAAACAGAAAGTCAGCACCAAGACAGGTCTGCACAAACAAACCTCACCAATATCACCCTTATCTTTCATTAGGTTCCCCTATATGTGTACTCTCCCAGTCCTAGAAGCCCAGGTTGCTTTTTGCTTGTTTTGTTACTTCTCTGCAAATTTATCACCCTTTGTTAAAATGGTATATAAACTCCTGGGTCTAACAGCCTCTTTGGTTCTTCACTTCTTTTCTATGAATGTCCCTTCACATAAAAATTAAAATAATAACATAAAATAAGATTTGTCTGTCTTTTCTCCTGATGGTCTCACTTTTGCCAGTGTAATTAACAGACCCCAGCTAAGGAACAGAAGAAGGTTGAGGAAAAGTTTTATTTTCCTCCCCTATACTACATAGTCCAGTATGACTGAACATGCATTGTCATTAAGGGAAAGTGTTCAGTTGAGGGTGGGAGGGGATGCATTGGCCAAGGTCTCAAGAGGAGAAGTGACTGCTTGGATTCAGTTCTTCATTTGCTCAAAGATAAGCCACCCAATGCCCCATTGTGTTAGTCTGCCAGGGCTGTCATCACAAAGTACCACACACTGGATGGCTTAAACAACAGAAATTTATTGTCTCCAAGTTTTGGAAGCTGGAAGTCCAAGATCAAGGTGTCAGCAGGGTTGGTCCCTTCTGAGGGCTGTGAGGGAGCATTTGCTCCATGCCTCTCCCTAGCTGCTGGTGGTTTGCTGGCAATCTTTGGCATCCCTTGGCTTGTAGACTCACTTCCCTGATCTCTGTCTTCACGTGGACATAGTATCTCCCTGTGTGTGCGTCTGCCCAAATGTCCCCCTAATATCCCCTTTTACAAGGGCACCACTCATATTGGATTAGGGATACCCTAATGACCTCCTCTTAACTAATTACTCGGTAACAACCCCATTTCCGAATAAGGCCATAGAGTTATTAGGAGTTACGGCTTCAGCATATCAATTTGGGGGAGAGACACTCAACCCATAACACCTTCACTAATAATAGTAGCAAATTATTCATAACTAATAGTAACATGAGGAAGAATCTAACAGATGTGGGGCAGAGAGAGGGATGGCGAGGAGGAACTAGTGCAGATATCCCTAACCTTTTTGGCACCAGGGACCCATTTTGTGGAAGACAATTTTTCCATGAATTGGGAGGTGGGGGGCAGAGGGTTTCAGGATGAAACTGTTCCAACTCAGATAATCAGGCATTAGATTCTCACAAGGGGCATGCAACCTAGATCCCTCACATGTGCAGCTCACATTAGGGTTCATGCTCCTGTAAGTATCTAACGCCTCCACTGATCTGACAGGAGGTGGAGCTCAGTGGGGAATGCTTCTCGCCTGCTGCTCACCTCCTGCTGTGTGGCTGGGTTCCTAACAGGCCATGAACCAAGTACCGGTCTATGGCCTGGGGACTGGGGACCCCTGAACTAGTGGGACAAGTTTTAGGAGAAAACGGGGCTCCATCCACACCATGAGAATGGGGCACTGGGGTTGTACAGAGCCAGTGGTGGCCCAGTGTCCCTGTCCTATACTGGATCCAGCTCATGAGACAGATGCAGTTTATGGTCAGACTCCATGTGGTCCAGTGCTCCCTTGATAAAGAAGGTAATCCAATGGGAAGAAAGTGAACTGTCCCTGGTCCCATCGTCACTGGGTTCTCTCTGGCTTGTAAGGACAGCCAGTTTCACATGGAATGTCTGGGACAGAGTCCACACAAATTTGATTTGGTGTCAGTGATCTGGGGCTTTGTGGCAATGTTCTGCCCTGCTTGAGGTTACAGGCCAAAGTTCAAAGACCAGCAACCCAAAAGCCTGGTCACTGGAGTGTAGATGCTGGGTGGAGTATTCACAAGCACGCTACAGAAGGCCCAATGCCTGAAGTTAAGACCATAAGCTCAACTCTCCTGATCAAAAAGACAAACACTATTCTCTTAACACAAATGCTGTCTCTAGGACAAATGCTATCAGGATGATGAAAATCAATTTTCTGCCCATTTTTTGTTGTTGTTGTTGTTGTGACAGATCTCTGGCAACAAAATGCTCCAGATGAAAGAAATCAAAATTAAATACTGTCTGCAGTTTAACACTGCCACCAAATTCCATCTTTAGGTTGATTTTTGTGTCCTCTTTATCAAAAGGCTGCTTGATTGAGAAAGTGTCTAGCTCAGTTATACTATGGCTTGCATTGACCAAGAGAGGTATCCCAGCCTCATGACACTGATATCGTAACTGTCAAATGGAGGCACTTCTGTGATGCAGAGGGCACAGTTCCATGCATGAGCTTGCAATGCAGTCTCTGCCATCAGGGACTCAACATTCTAGGATTTAGTTTTCCAGATCTGTTTCTTTGATTTAATGGAAAAGATGTTTCTATTACCCACCATGCTAGTTTTATATTAAGACCAGAGTTCACTGGTACATCTTTTTGTTCCCATCAGCTTTTTGCCCCTCCTGGGGTCCTGTTGCGTGCATTGGCAGCGTAGCTCAGAGGAGTTGCCCTAGGAAAGAATCACGGTGGAGGGCAGTCCTTCCCCACATACATGCAAGTCCTCCAACACCATGCATGTCCAGCAGCAATCTTGGCCGCGTTGTGGACCAGAAAGGAAAAGCCATAGTAAGAAACAGCTGTTTGGCTTGAAGATGTGTTGGTTTGCTTATGTTTGTAACTTGTTTGCTTTTATGCTTTGGGTTTTCAAGATGCTGGTGTTATTGGTGAGAATGGCAAGAACTCCCATGCCTTGTGAACCACAACCAGCTCCTGGCATTCTCAAGTTGGTGGCAAGATGCATATGGAGGTGCATGTCATGTGCATGGGAATTGCAGGGGCCCTATGTGGATGGATCCTTGGTGCTTCTCAGATAAGACAAAACTACTTAGGAAGCAAAACTGTGATGGGAATAGTGGATCACATATAAGAGAAATATTTTTTTTATTTATAGTTTCCTCTTGGTTTAATTTACTTTTTCATTATAGGATTATAGCTCTAGATAAGACATGATCTACAAACTAAACCACAAGCCACTTAGAGACAACAGGACCATGAAAATCAATTTTCCGCTAATTTGTTGTTGTTGTTATTGTTGTGACAGATGTGATTCATCTCTGGCAAAAAAAAAAAAAAAAAAATGCTCCAGGTGAGAGAAATCAAAATTAAATACTGTCTGGAGTTTAATACTGCCACGAGATTGCATCTTTAGGTTGATTTTTTTGTCCTGTTTATTTTATCAATTGATTACTTGATTGAGAAAAGGATTGTCTGTATCAGTTATACTACAGGTTGCATTGTACAAGATACCAAAATCATTGCAGAACCACTGTTTTTCGTTCTGACAGTTTTACTCAATAGACACTGTACCTCTCAGATAACTAGGAAACGAGAGTAAAGTCTTCCGTCAATAATGTCAGAACACTAATTTACTCTCCCACTTCTTTCCTTTTCCTGCAGCTCAGACGGCATGGGAACCCATTACAACTCCCTCATAGTGGAAAGCAAGCTGAGGATGCTTGCATTGGGCCTGACTCAGGAAGTGGTATCAAGCGTCAGGTCCCTGGGGCAGCTCTTCCATTCCTCTCTCTGATGTTTGCCCCCAGAGGAATGAAGATTCTTCTAGATTTTAGTACAGAATGGAGGCTGTCAGTGATACCCATATGTTAGAAAAAGCCAACAGAGCAATAATGTCTCCAAAAAATGAAACATGAAGCTTTTAGAATGATTGGAAATTACAGTTCGATTTTGAATTATTTGCAAGCCACTTGAAGATTTCATAAACCTATTGCATCAACTCTAACAATAGTCCTTTACTGGTATAATTATCTGCATTTTGCAGGAGTAGAGATTGAGGTACAAACAGAGGACACATTTTGCTTGCCTGAGGCTTCGATGAAACTTCTGACAATATCAGGGGACATATTTATACTTCTAACAGTATTTTTAGCTATTTGATAGACAACAGTTGCTTCTCTTTTCAAAGATCACAGCCATTGAGGAATCCACCATATTTCTGTAGCAGGAAGAATGTTTATCTCTGTGTCTTGTCTTTCTGGTTAAAGGTATTTACTTCCATCACACTACCTGACTTCAAACTATATTACAAGGCTACAGTAACAAAAACAGCATGGTACTGGTACCAAAACAGATATATAGACCAGTGGAACATAACAGAGGCCTCAGAAACAACACCACACATCTACAACCATCTGATCTTTGACAAACCTGACAAACAACAGAAATAGGGAAAGGATTCCCAATTATATAAATGGTGTTGGGAAAACTGGCTAGCCATATGCAGAAAGCTGAAACTGGATCCCTTCCTTACACCTTGTACAAAAATTGACTCAAGATGGGTTAAAGACTTAAACATAAGACCTGAAACCATAAAAACCCTAGAAGAAAACCTAGGCAATACCATTCAGGACATAGGCATGGGCAAAGACTTCATGACTAAAACACCAAAAGCAATGGCAACAAAAGCCCAAATAGACAAATGGGATCTAATTAAACTAAAGAGCTTCTGAACAGTAAAATCAACTATCATCAGAGTTGAACAGGCAACCTACAGAATGGGAGAAAATTTTTGCAATCTAAGCCATCTGACAAAGGGCTAATATCCAGAATCTACAAGAACTTAAACAAATTTACAAGAAAAAACAAACAACCCCATCAAAAAGTGGGCAAAGGATATGAACAGACGCTTCTCAAAAGAAGACATTTATGCAGCCAACAGACACATGAAAAAATGCTCATCATCACTGGCCATCAGAGAAACGCAAATCAAAACCACAACGAGATACCATCTCATGCCAGTTAGAATGCTGATCATTAAAAAGTCAGGAAACAACAGATGCTGGAGAGGATGTGGAGAAATAGGAGCACTTTTACATTGTTGGTGGGAGTGTAAATTAGTTCAACCATTGTGGAAGACAGTGTGGCTATTCCTCAAGGATCTAGAACTAGAATTACCATTTCACCCAGCAATCCCATTACTGGGTATATACCCAAAGGATTATAAATCATTCTGCTATAAAGATACATGCACACATATGTTTATTGTGGCACTGTTCACAATAGCAAAGACTTGGAACCAACCCAAATGCCCATCAATGATAGACTGGGTAAAGAAAAAGTGGCACATATACACCATGGAATACTATGCAGCCATAAAAAGGATAAGTTCATGTCCTTTGCAGGGAAATGGATGAAGCTGGAACATTCTCAGCAAGCTAACACAGGAACAGAAAACCAAACACCACATGTTCTCACTCATAAGTGGGAGTTGAACAATGAGAACACATGGACACACGGAGGGGAACATCACACACCAGGACCTGTCAGGGAGTGGGGGCCTGGGAGAGGGATAGCATTAGGAGAAATACCTAATGTAGATGATGGATTGATGGTTGCAGCAAACCACCGTGGCACATGTGTACCTATGTAACAAACCTGCACATTCCGTACATGTACCCCAGAACTTAAAGTATATATATATTGTAGGGAAAAGAAAGAGAGATCAGACTGTCACTGTGTCTATGTAGAAAGGGAAGACATAAGAGACTCCATTTTGAAAAAGACCTGTACTTTAAACAATTGCTTTGCTGAGATGTTGTTAATTTGTAGCTTTGCCCCAGCCACTTTGCCTCAGCCACTTTGACCCAACTTGGAGCTCACAAAAACATGTGTTGTATAAAATCAAGGTTTTAAGGGACCTAGGGCTGTGCAGGACGTGCCTTGTTAACAAAATATTTACAAGCAGTATACTTGGTAAAGGTCATTGCCATTCTCTAGTCTCAATAAACCAGGGGCACAATGCACTGCAGAAAGCCGCAGGGAACTCTGCCCTTGAAAGCAGGGTATTGTCCAAGGTTTCTCCCCATGTGATAGTCTGAAATATGGCCTTGTGGGATGAGAAAGACCTGACTGTCCCCCAGCCCAACACCCGTAAAGGGTCTGTGCTGAGGTGGATTAGTAAAAGAGGAAAGCCTCTTGCAGTTGAGATGGAGGAAGGCCACTGTCTCCTGCTTGCCCCTGGGAACTGAATGTCTCGGTGTAAAACCCGATTGTACATTTGTTCAACTCTGAGATAGGAGAAAAGCTGCCCTGTGGCGGGAGACGAGACATGTTTGCAGTAATACTGCCTTGTTATTCTTTACTCCACTGAGATGTTTGGGTGGAGAGAAACATAAATCTGGCTTACGTGCACGTCCAGTCATAGTACCTTCCCTTGAACCTAATTATGACATAGATTCTTTTGCTCACATGTTTTTTGCTGACCTTCTCCTTATTATCACGCTGCTCTCCTACTACATTCCTTTTTGCTGAAATAATGAAAATAATAATCAATAAAAACTGAGGGAATTCAGAGGCCGGTGCCGGTGCAGGTCCTTGGTGTGCTGAGCGCCGGTCCCCTGGGCCCACTATTGTTTCTCTATACTTTGTCTCTCTGTCTTATTTCTTTTCTCAGTCTCTCGTCCCACCCAACTAGAAATACCCACAGGTGTGGAGGGGCAGGCCACTCCTTCATATATAATATAGATGTATTTGGTATTTGCTTCCTCTTCGGCAATGTAATGGCCACACTATGTCATCATCGGGGGTGTCTTTCTATCTTGCATGCAAGCTTTTACCCGGTGCATTTGTCAAAGTGCTCTTAGCTCTTGGAAAAACAGGTTCTCTGCTGCCATAAGGAAGTGAGAAGAAAAGAACTTTCCAGCTTTCTAAAAGGCAATGTGCATTCTGTCTTAGCCACTTCCCATCACCCCCAGCCCCACTAGGAAAAGTCAGTATTCATTTTTGACGTATAAAAGTAATTGCATCTATGTTACCTTAACCAGGCTCCATAATTCAAGTCAAAAGTAACCAAAAGCAGAATGAAAAACACATGGTAAAGAATGGAAACAGCATGGTCTATCAAAATACCTTTGCAGTTTGCTTTTATCTCTCCTTCCAGACATCCTGCCTAGGGTCGCTCTCTTCTGCTCTGCACCAGGGTCACCCTCCTCCCTTCCCTGAGCCAGCAGTCCTGGAAGGCAGCCTTTGATGTGAGGGCTCCCCACTCCTGCACCTACCTTCTGCAAAATTACAGGAAGAGGCTAGAAGCCCCTGTGCTGCTGCAAAGACCCCGAAACAATGCAGAAGGGGGGCCAGGCACTCAGGCGGAGATATTTTCCACTTATGTTGTGGCACAGAAGGGAGGTGCATGAGAACACACGCACAGCAACACCCAGCACTCCCACACTTAGGCACAAATAGTGCTGGGGTGCAGATGCTGCCGAGGAGGTGTGGGGTTGCTGAGAATTAGCCGGGTTGCTTTGAAGCTTCTCAGAGATCTCTACTCACATGGCCCTTATCACTCCTTGGTGAATGGTGCAAGGTTTTGGCTTTTTCTTTCTTTTCCTTTTTCGATAAAGACTTATGTTGATAGAACTGATCAAATAGGAAGGCATTTCGTTGGCTCTAGCCTAAAGGATCAAACTAAGCCATCTGCAGAGAATGGAGGATGCCTGAGAGGGGTGTGTAGGAGTAAGAGAGCCGCCCTTGGCACTGTAAGAATCCAGGCGAAAGGAAAAAGAAAACCTGCAAAGATGGTTTATAGCAGGGGACTGCAAATTTTGGTGGCTGCCCACACCAGGAAGTACATTTTTTACATCATAACCACATCAATCACCCTCACATTTAATGCTAGAAAAATATACTGTCATGAAAAAATTCTGGAAAGAATTTCTTACTATGTGAAAAGCATTCTATTCCCTTTAATTCTATTTTTTCCTGCTCTAGTCAATTTCATTTTGTTGTTAAAAATATGCTGATCTCAATCCACTGAACTGATTTCATGACCCATGATATGCACTATGAAACTCACCCGGAGCTTGAAACACTTCTGTTTCAGTGAAGTCTGGACAAGAGAGAGTGTCTTGTGAACATGTGGAGAGGGCAGCAGAAAAGCACCTCAATTTAGAACAATGTCACAAAAGAAAAGTGAGCTCCGGGGCTTGGGGGATGGAGGTGCAACTCTCAAATGTCAATAATCAATAGGATAAACGTGTCCCTGACTTTCGAACAGAGGCCCTTGTGAGGGAGTTACATCATTGGTCTGCCTCAAAAGAAACTTTATTCAGCATTTCTTGTCTTGCATGTGAAAGGAATGAGAGTGTTTGAGGTTGCAGGCAAGCATTTAGATGTTGAATAATCCCTCTAAACCATTGTGCTTACAGCTAAGGCAGCTTCACTAGGCCCTGGGTGCCTGGGTGTGAGGCTTTGGGCTCAGAGAAGGGACCCCCTCTGACAGGGCCCCGAGAACCAGCAGTTACACCTGTGGACCTCACATACTTATTAAAAGTGCTCTCAAAAGTGCCTCAGTTTGGACCATAAATTCAATAGTCACTCTAAGTATGAATAACTGAGGAAAGTATGTCTAGAGTATGCAGTCTACTTTATTCTTATTGCTTTGTCACAAAAACACACAGCCCATGTAAATTCACCTCTGATTTCTAACACTGTGATGCTCACATTAAGCAAAGGATCAAAGCAACTGGGTACCAGGTAAGTAATCCTGTTCTGAGAACTCATGGTCATAAAAGGTCTCAGTCAACTAGAAGCCTGCTGAGGGTGGCCCCTAGTCTTTCCCACCTGGAGGAACAAAGGTCCTTTTAGATTCCAGTCCTGGAGGCCCTGAGCCACCCCCAAGTGAGTGGAGGTATGCGTATATGTGTAAGGGCGGCCCGTGCCACCCATAGGTGAGGTCTGGACATAGCTCAGCTGACACAGATTTGGGAGCCAGGGGCTTGCTGAGCTGTGAACACCCCATCTTCCCCAAACTACAGCTCATCTCCAGCTTCTAGTTTCCCTGCAACCCCACTTCTTTTGTACCCAAATAATTCTCATGTCCTGTTGACTTGCTCCCTCCCTGGTGGATCAAACCTGGCTGGTTTGCTGGGCCTTGGAATTACCTTCGGGATCTTTCCATCCCTGAGAGGTTGGGCTCCTCATAGGCCGCCAGCCTGACTCGGAGGACCGTCTACTACCCTCTCCTGCGGACAGGCCCGCCCATGGCTGCCCCATGACCATGCTTGCCCTGTCCCTTGGCTTCGTGTGGGTCAGCTTGTTCTGCCACCTTGCTAGGCTGGTTCCTGGAGCTTCTATCTGTTGTGGCCTGGGTTGCCACGCTCTCCCTGGTCACCTGTGTGCCCGGACCCTGTGTCCCTCACTGGAGCACTCTGAGCTAGGCCGCCTCAGCTCTTCCTTACCTGCTCCTCTTACTGTGGGGATCCTGCTTCCAGGTCTGCCCTTGGCGGCTGCTCTGTACTCTGTACAGACACCCTGTTGGATGGGAGGCATGTCATGGCCTGTCCCCATGCTAGGCTTTCATTTTTACTTTGTAACCTACTTTTATCAAACGTCTGTGGTTGCTTAAAAGTCAATAATATATTTGGAGATGGGGTGAGATGGATTGTTTTAAACCTTACCTTCATAAGATAAAACAATGTTGAAAGTTAACTGTGAGCCTTTGGCGTCCTATACTGCAGAGGAGAAGGGCAGAAGGGGATGACCTGTCCTGT
Source organism: Homo sapiens (assembly GCF_000001405.40). Lineage (NCBI taxonomy): Eukaryota > Metazoa > Chordata > Mammalia > Primates > Hominidae > Homo > Homo sapiens. The sequence goes on from NC_000002.12 coordinate 105,429,092, forward strand.
TTAATGTGGCATACAAAACCTGAATCTGGGATCCAGAGGTTTCCACCCTCCCTCCACTGCCACAAGGGGGAAAAAGGACTTAATAAACACCAAAGACTTTGCCCCACAATATGATGGTCAAGAAATCGGCTGGGAGTCAAATCGCAGTTCTGCCTCTTAGTAATTGGTAGCAAAATGATGGTCTCCCAAAATGTGCACATCTGAATTCCTGGAACCCATGAATATGACACCTTACATGGCAAGAGGGGCTTTGCAGATGTGATTAAGTTAAGGATCATGAGATAGGGGGATTATTCTACATTATCTGGACATCCCCCAATGTAATCACCAGTGTCCTTATATATGAAAGATGGAGACAGGAGAGCCAGGGTGAAAGAGAAATGTGAAGATGCTATGCTCTGGGCTTTGAAGATAGAAGAAGGGGCCATGAGCCAAGGAACGTAGGTAGCTTCCAGAAGCTGGAAAAGGTGGGGAAACATTCCTTCTCTAGAGCCTCCAGAATGCAGCCCTGCTGATACCTTGATTCTGGCCTAGTGAGACCTGTTTCAGACTTCTGACCTCCAAAAATGAAAGTAAATTTGTGTTGCTTTAAGACAGTAAGTTTATGGTAATTTGCTACGGCATCCATAGGAAACTAGTACAGCAACTATAGCTCCTTAGTTCAGATACTTTTCTAGGTTTGTTCCCTCATCTGCAGCCTAGGAATTGTAATTGTCCCTGCACCAGGTGGCTGCTGTGAAGACGGGACAGTGCAAAGCAAGTCAAGAGTATGGGGTACTTTCTGTGATACAACGTGGGCTCAGTTCATGGTAGCCATGGCTGTTAGTGCCTCCTTGAATCCCTGCAAGTGACCGACAAGGTTACTGTTATTATTCCCATTTTACAGACGTGGTTCTGGGAAGTTAAAATCTTGCCTGGGCCCAGTGTGAACAGCAGAACTAGGACCTTGTGCCCTGGCAACCTGACTCGTCAGCTCCCACCTCCCTTCCTTGACAAAATGCAAGTGTAGTGGAAATTTTTAAAGTGAAGTTTAAGTGGTGAACAAGGGACATTAGACTTGAATCCTAACAAGAACACTGTGACCAGTGATAGGCATCGTTGGGGCTTAGCAAACGACACCCCAAAGTGTGGCGCTGTGGCTTGCTGAGTGCTTTGAATTGAAGCACACTGGAAAGGCCTCTGAAGCAAAGTCTCTGTCTGATCTTCTCCTGTCCTCCTCTTGTTTCCTTTCCTCCCTTAAAGCAGGTCAGAGAAGCCAGAACCACTCTTCCTCCAAAATAAAACCTAGAAATAGGCCAGGCGAGGTGGCTCACGCCTGTAATCCCAGCACTTCGGGAGGCCAAGGCGGGCAGATCACCCGAGGTCAGGAGTTTGAGACCAGCCGGGCCAACATGGTGTAACCTCGTCTCTACTAAAAATACAAAAAATTAGCTGGGTGTGGTGGTGGGCACCTGTAGTCCAAGCTACTCTGGAGGCTAAGCCATGAGAATCGCTTGACCCTGGGAGGTAGAGGTTGAAGTGAGCTGAGATCGCGCCACTGCACTCCAGCCTGGGCAACAAGAGCGAAACTCCATCTAACAAAACCCTAGACATATTACTTTAAGCTTTCCCCAGCCCTTTTGTGTAGGAGTTGGGTATAAAGAAATTCCCAAACCTACCTTGTCTGAAAGGAGATCCTAAGACCTCATTCCACAGAGGTCCTGCCCTGTGTCTGGGAGAAAAGACTGCCCCATACAGAGGCCAAGATGAATCAGAGCAGACAGGCCTTGCTGGGGTTCCCCACTAAGTCTGTTGCCATTAGGCCATACCCATTATGTCCAATCACATTTTTACACCACTGTACACTCTTCCTCGACTCTAAACATAAAAATGGACAGTTTTCTCTTTGATCTTTGGGTCTTCCTTTCTCAAGCCTCCCATATCACGAAATAAATTAGTTATGCTTTTCTCTTGTTAATCTAGATTTTGTGATAGGAATGCCTGCCATGACCCTTATGATGGGGAGGAAGAGTTTTATAACATTTCCCCTCTACAATATGAATTACAGTCAAAAAGTTTCTAAGATCTCAAATTAAATACATGAAAATAGATTATTCACAACTTCATCGTTCAACAGACATTTATTTAGCATCTAGTAGACACCACTCACTGCTGTAGGTATTGGGCATATCTCAGTGAACAAAATAGAGTCTCTGCATTCATTGGAGTTCACATTTTATTGGAGGAGAGATAAACATATATGTAGGTGGATGTGTATATGTGTGAGATAGCAAGTGAACCAGGGTAAGGAGCTAGAGATTGATAAGGAGTGTCATTTTAGATGAAGTGTTTAGGGGTAGCTCTCAGATTGGGTATGAATGAAGGAAGGAGGAAGGCATGTGATTGTCTTGGGGAAGAGTCTGACAGAGATGCCAGCAGGTGCAAATGCCCTGGGGCAGGGCAGTGCTTGGCACAGCTGGGTCAGGGCAGTGTGACTGGTGCCTCTCTAGATGGACAGAGAGAGAAGGAAGAGATGAGGTCAGATTCCTAGGGCCTGGATCATGTAGGGCTCTGTTGGCTATGGTTGGAGTTAGGATTTTATTTTGACTTGGGAAGCCATTGGAACGTTTGGGAAAAGGAGACACACTGTCTAATTTAAGTTACAAATATGATCGCAAATTTTAAACAGAGACCTGTGGTTAAATTGGGCTCACATTGGCCTCTGGGGTTGCCTGGCTGCTCCTGCCCAAGGCTGGCGGAGGTTTGCTGACACTTCCCAGGAAAGAGTGAAGCACAGCAGACAAAAGTAGAAGCAGCTCAGGGCAGCAGGCCAGGATCCTGCCGGAGCTCATCAGCAGCCAGAGTGGAGGATGTGCTGCTGCTGCTGCTGTTAATAAAAGTAGCTGAAGGGTTTATCAGTCCTTCTACCCAACTTTCATTATTCAAACAATGTTGAACTTGCCACTATGAGTTTCCAAACTGTCTGACTTGTGGAGAGCCCTGTCTTAATTAGAAGGTCCTCATCCCACTTTTCCTTGCTGCCTGCAGAGATTTTCCTTCTGAGAGTGTTTGTAGACATGAAATTGTGGGTGTGCTTATTTCTCCCCTCACTTGGATGATCGCCCATGCTGGTTCATTTGAGTCCCAACACATTTGCACCTGCTCATAGATTTTTGCATTTTCAATTTGCAGGAGTAGAGAAACAGGGACCTAAAAGGAGTTTGTCTCATGCACTTTCCACATCTCAGCTTTATGTCTTACACTCGCTATTATTTTTTCTCTGAACCTAACTGATTTGACTGTCTTGTTTGACCTCTGTCTTTGATTTTGGGATTGGAAGGGCATAACATTTGGCCATTGGTTCTCTATTCAATGTAAATAAAGTTGAAGGAAAGAGACTATCCTCTCTCACCTGCTTTTTCGGTTCCTAAATTATATTTAAAGAGAGCAAAATATTACAGTTTCCTAGTAAGTTAATTAAAAGATTCTGAAGAAAATTGGACGCTTTTCAAAAAGGAAGTTTACAGAGTTTAGAATTTTTTCAGCATTTCCATCCTCTTCTCTTCCCCCAACACAAACAGACTTATACAGAGGCACACACAGACACACGCAGAGACATGTGTACACAGAGACATGTGTGCACACAGGCACACTCACACAAACTAATAAATTAGTAAATGGAAGCTTTCAAGTCAGAGAATCTACTCCTTAAGCATACATTATCATCAAATGTTAATACTGATTGCGTCCAAAAAATTCCATGTAAAAAACACGTCCTTGTGCTACGTATTGAAAGGTAGGGAGTGAATATGAAACCTGGTTCCCAGCCAGGATTGCAGAAGGGAAAAGTACTAGCCAAGAAGAGAAACTTCTAGCTCCTTCCTTTGGATTTCAACACTCCTAGAACTCAACTGAATTAAACACAACAGTTTGGTTCAGCAAATATTTATTAGTCAGTTGTGCACTGTGTGCAGGTTACAGTGCTAGCTCTCAGGGTTTAACTAGGATGGATGAATACCCTTCCCAGCCTCTTGAGAAGGTGCTGAAACTAAAGGGAGAATTAAAAACGAAAAATAAAAATAAGTTCAAAGTCCTCATTCTTCTTCTTCTTCTTTTTTTTTTTTTTTTGAGAAGGAGTCTCTCTCTGTCACCCTGGGTGAAGTGCAGTGGCACGATCTCAGCTCACTGCAACCTCCACCTCTCAAGTTCAAGCAATTCTCCTCCCTCAGCCTCCTGAGTAACTGGGATTACAGGCACGCTCCACCATGCCCAGCTAATTTTGGTATTTTTTAGGAGAGGCAGGGTTTCCCCGTGCTGGCCAGACTGGTCTTGAACTTCTGACTTCAGGTGATCTGCCCACCTCGGCCTCCCAAAGTGCTGGGATTACAGGCGTGAGCCACCGCGCCCGGCTTCATTTTTAAGATGAGGTCCTTTCTCCGTTGTGGAGACTTTTCCAAGTTTCTAGTGGGATTAGTGTGAAACTGGCATTGCACTGCTTGTATTTAAATCTGGCTTCCCCTGTACTGCCTCTGTGCCCCTTTGCCTCTCAGTGCCTCGGCGTCCTCACCTGTAAACAAGGAAACCAGGAACACTCCTCATAGAGCCACCCTGTACATCCTGAGTGTGTGTGCAGCATACACAACACTGCTGCACACACCATGAGCACTCGAACGCCAACAACTATTATCTCTCTAATTCAGAGCTTTATTTTATTTTAAATCTGGAATCCAAATCAGTCCTATTCCAGATTCTTTATGAAAATGATTTTTTTCTTTTTTCCCCTTTTACTTTGGGGAGTCAAGAGACTTTCTTATTTCATCTTACAGAATGTTGAGTTTTCAAAATGTCCAAAAGAGAACAAAGAGAAGTGAGGTAGCCCTTGTCCTTAAGTCATTACCCACCCCTCAACACATTTAGCATATTTTCTGGTACCTTCAAAGGAATCCTATCACTTTCCATCTCCATATTGTTCACATTCCTTCTCACCTGTAATGTTCTCAGCCTCTGCTAATTTCTCCTTTCCTTGAGGCACCACGTCCCTTTCTCTGCAAACTTTATCCCAAGTATTTTAAAACATTCATAGATTTTGCCCTCAATACCTGAAGCATTCATTTATGTCATTCAAACCATGCTGTCCCTTGCATATGGCAACAGGGTTGCTCTTTTGCAATTGAAGTCTAATGCCAACTGGATCGGAAAGTACTGGAAAGAAAGACATTGACCAGGCACGGTGGCTCACGCCTGTAATCCTAGTACTTTGGGAGGCTGAGGTGGGCGGATCGCCTGAGGTCAGGAGTTCGAGACCAGCCTGGCCAACATGGTGAAACACTGTCTCTACTAAAAATACAAAAATTAGCAGTGGTGGCCTATGCCTGTAATCCCAGCTACTCAGGAGGCTGAGGCACTAGAATCACTTGAACCTGGGAGACGGAGGTTGCAGTGAGCTGAGATCTTGCCACTGCACTCCGGCTTGGGCAACAGAGTGAGACTCCATCTCAAAAAAAAAACAAAACAAACAAACAAAAAAAACAAGACATTATCTTTAACTTGGTTGCACCCTCGGCAATGAATAACATGGTTATAAGCTTCAGTTTCCTTCTCTGAAAATAGGAATAATAACAAAATTAATAATAATGTTTACCTATAGTGCTGTTGTATTAAATGAGCTAAAACATAGTTACTGGATATAATGATCTTTCAATAAATTTCAACTTTTTTTTTTAAATGGGGTCTTGATCTCTTGCCCAGGCTGTTTTCAAACTCCTGGGCTCAACCAATCCTCTCACCTCAGCCTCCGAAACTAGCTATTATTTTTAATAGACTAAATCATTCTGGTTGGTTATTTATGATTTTTATAATTGGTGGTAATAATTAGACTGTTTTATGTTTGCATAGAATTTTGCATTACGAAAACTTTCATGATCAGACTTAGTATAGAAAATTTAGTAAACTATTTAAAATGTAGAGAAAAATGTAACATTACTACCAATCTTATCCTTCAGAATCAATAATTTTATATATTTTGGTGTATTTTTTCAGTTCATATATTATGAATATTGCTTTCTAGTTTGAGTTTTAAAAATCAAAAGTTCTATGCAAACTTTATTTTTGATGGTTGCATATATTCCATACTATGGCTAATCATATTTTATTTAACCATACTTCACTTTTGAGCTATTGCACTGTTTATTGGTTTTAGTTATTACATATTATTACATATATGTAATGTTTTCATATAACCCATTGTGCCTTCATCTTAACCATTTCATCTTCCTACAAAGGATACGACTTGGAGTAGAACATTCAAATCATGTCATTTTCTATTTTGTGTTCATACGAAACCGTGAACTGATACCTTGAAATTACTCTAGATTTATCTGCACAGAACTAAGCCCAGGCAAAAAGCACTATGATGGCTTCTACTTAACGTGAAAGTAGGTGGTTCCCATAGCCGCTTCAGATACCATCTAGACATGCTTACTCTTTAAAGACCAGAATGACAGCACTTTGGGAGGCTGAGGCAGGTGGATCACCTGGGATCAGGAGTTCATGACCAGCCTGGCCAACATGACGAAACACTGTCTTCACTAAAAAAACAAAAATTAGCCGGACATGGTGGCAGGCGCCTGTAATCCCAGCTACTCGGGAGGCTGAGGCAGAAGAATCACTTGAACCCAGGAGGTGGAGGTTGCAGTGAGCCGAGATTGTGCCACTGCACTCCAGCCTGGGTGACAGAGTGAGACTCCTTCTCAAAACATAAATAAATAAATAAACAAACAAACAATAAAAAAAGACCAGAATGAAATTCTTGCACTTTCTTCTTAATATCTAATTATCTGCTCCTCCTTAATAAAACAGATCAAGTATGTTTTATGCATTGTTGCCTTGATATGGTCTTAGTTCAGTTTAATTTTTCAGTATTACTTTTTAACTATAACAAAAGTCCTGTGTTAAAATGGATTTTTATTCCTCTTTTCTCCATCTAAAATGTATCCATTAAATTCAAATGAAGTATCAAATTGTAAAACATTAAATTGCTCAGAACTTATGTGAGTTCTTTTCTATTTTTCATCCACATTTTAGTGTATTAGAGATTAAGTGAGGAGGTGCTGACAAATCAACGGTAATAAAAAAAAATCAGTAAACCAGATTTTGTGGGGTGTGGAGGGCATGCAGATCAAGGCGCAAGGTGGTTGAGTTTTTCATGATTCAAAAGGGACCAGTAATAGTGTAGAAGTCAATTACCAGATCATACTTTGAACTGATGTTATATTGCTATATTCTAATAAAATGTCTTATCTAAATCTTTATCCTTTTTTACTTCTCATCTATCCAACTATTATGAATATTTTAATATGTTGACTAAACAAATTGGTCATAATGATATATAGAGATAACCAATTTTCAAGGAATTAGATTTTGAATCTACAGTAAAAGACATTGGCCATAAATTGGAAGAAAGAAGATTAGCAAATAACTTGATTTATATATACATATATATATGTTTTGTTAATTATTATTTACAGTTTCCCACATAATTTAATGTTTTTGGATTCACCTTAAAATATCTCATAGTGGTATTTTTTTAAAAAAAACGAATATTAAGTTAATGGTTAATCTTTCAATCAAAGATATCTTAGAATGAATAAATAATTAAGATAAACAATTAACTGCAAAAATAGTTATCTTTGAGTAGTAAGACTATATATGATTTTCCATTTTCTTCTTTTTGCTGGTCTGTATTTTTTATAGTAAACAGATTATTTGTAGAGTGAAAAAGATATAAACAATCAATATAATTTTACCTCTTTCTTTGGTGGGGAGAGAATGAATTAGAATCAGTCTCTGGGCCATATCTTGTAAATATGAAACATTTCAGAGATCGGTAGAAAGAGTGCAGGTCCCTGTGCTTTAGGTCATGGGAATGCAGTGAGAGGCATGGCTTGGCCTGGCCTTGGGGATCTGAAATCAATGGAGAACTCTGGAAGCCCTGAATAGAACAATGAAACCTAAAAGTACGAAACCTGCTGAAAGGCAAGATGGTGGGTGAGCAGTCAGGGAACCCCGTATTGGAAAATATGCAACTTTTCATGGAAGTTATGCATTAAAATATTTTTTAATATAAGAAAATGCCTCCAAAGTGTAATCATTTGAGTGGATTAGTCACCTACTCAGTTAAATACAAAAACTTGTGTAAGGGGTCGGGTGGATCTCAACACATAATAGACCTTATTCCAGCCCATCCTGGATACCCCAAAACCCTGACTTGGTCATTACACATTCTATGTATGTACTGATACACATTCTATGTATGTACCGAACACTCACATGTACCCCATAAATATGTAAAATATTATGTATCGATAAAATTTTGAAAGCCTAGCAATAAAATAAAATTCAAATAATATTCCCAAGAAACAAATAAAACAACTATAGTAAACTTACATATAGCAAATATGAGCTACAATAGCATTAATCTGTAAGGCAGGTGTTTATTAACACTATCTTTGGACGTCAGAATAATTTAGAAAAATAAACTGGACTGACAACTTTATTTTTCTTTTTAGATTAGACTTGATAAAGTGTCTTACATGGAGTCTGGCTAGAGGATGTTTATATATATGATGTCTATTATCATATATATGGCATCCTATCAATATTGAGATTATTACACAATTGGCCAGGGCATTACTCAGGACTGTGCATTTTGGAGTTTGCCCTGCTCTGGAAATTGTAAAATATTCATGCATTTCCTTTTTAAAGCATGCAATAGCTCTCTGGGCTTTCAAACCATCAGCTGCGAAGAGTCATGTTGCATAAACACACTTTCCCAGAGTAATCAGACTCATCAGTAATTTGTCTTTTCATCCCAGGCTTTCCGGAAATTCTGTCAGGGAGAAAAAGTTCAAGTGCACTGTGGTTTTCTCCCTTTCCAATGTTTATTTTATAACATTTCTTCTTTTGCTTTCCCCTTAAAAAATGTTTTCCGTTGTTCAAAACAGATTCCCACTGAAAGGGGGCAGAGGTTCAATTTTATTTAAATCTCTCCTCATTCCCAATGAGCAGGGGTTCTCTATCTTCAAGCTGACACCCCCTGTAGCTCTGGGCAGGGTGGCTTCTGTTCTTGGGCTCTGCCGTTGGTGGGAGCCAGCTGCCAGCAACACCTGCATCTCTGCTGGGGTCAGCGAGCTCCCAGTGCCTGAGAGCTTCCTCCCAGGGCTGGACACTCCCTCTGCATGCAACAAGATGCCTACAGAGCTGCTGCAGAGACAGGCTGGGAAGGATGGCAAGGGTGAGAGAAGGGCACAGGGGAACCAGTGGCCCTTACCTGTGGTTTTAGGGTTCTGTCTTCTGTCCTCCAGCCCGATGAGCAGGGACAGCTGCTGTGCAGGCGGACTGCCTGGTTGGATGGCCCCAACCTTCTGTGCAGCTGCCAGCCAGCTGCGCTGCCCTTGTCAGTGGCGCTATAAATAAGGCACGTCTGGACATTGGCCAGGCCTAGGAGATAAGAACCCAGCCCCTGGCTCCCACGTGCCTTTTAAGGTCTCCAGATTAAAGAAGCCTCAGCTCCCAGATGGGAAGGGGCTGCCATGTCCTCGTTTGTCCTGCCTGCTTCAAGGACACACGAGGCCTCATATTTTCCAGGAATCCAAAGGGTGGCTAAACTGGGAAGGCCACCAGCACCAGAAAGGGACCTCACTTTGTCATACAAGAGGCAGAGCCTCCAACAGGCTGCTCAGCTCCACCTCTGTGCACCCCCCAGATTAGGTAACTGGCATGGAGGCCCAGGAGTGAAAGGACACTTCCCCCAGGCTACACAGCACCTCTGTGAGCTGGGAAATGTGGATTTCTAGTGCTGCCTTTGGAACGAGCTCTCTAGCTTACAAGGGCATTTGCTTGGGTGAGAGGATGTTGGGAAGATCGAACAATCGGCTTAATAAATGCCAGGCATTTGTGAAGCCGTGGAGTGGAATACATTCGCAGAAAGTTCTCTCCCTCCCTATCCTCCCTGCTCATGCATGATTATAAGGGTTTCTTGAGCCATACACTGTTTTCTCTATAGAATTAAAACAGTGAAATCTTCCCAGAGCATTTTTAAAGCCATATGCTGGGAGAGGAAGAGAAACTGATTTGGGGGACCAACAGCTCCTGATTCTTCCTTAATGTCTTACTTACGAGTATGCTGAAAAGGCACTCACCCATGGCGAGGGCCAACTTCTTCTGAGGACTATTTGGCGACAGCTGTCTGCATTACCACAACAATTCTAAGCCTGCAGATTTATCCCGAGGAAAGAATAGTGGATGTGGGCAGAGATACAGCTGCAAGGACATTTCTCGAAGCTCTTTTTATCTTGGAATTAGGAAAAGTTGGAAACAACCTAAATGGCTATCAAAAGGGGGCTGATTAAATGAGAAATAGTATATAAAAAAGCAGAACAGACCAATCACAGTGGCTTATGCCTGTAATCCCAGCATTTTGAGAGGCTGAGGCAGGAGGATCACTTGAGCCCTGGAGTTCAAGGCTGCAGTGAGTTATGAACGTGTCACTGCACTCCAGCCTGGGCAACAAAGCAAGGCTCTGTCTCTAAAAATAAAATCAAAAATAAAGCAAAGCAAAACACGCTGCAACCTTTAGAAATGTCAAAGGAGAATATTTAATGATATAGGAACAATACATATAATTATAGATTGATAATAAAAAGCAGGTCATGGCCCACGCCTGTAATCCTAGCACTTTGGGAGGCCAAGGGGCGGGTGAGGGGGGGGCAGATCACATGAGTTCAGGAGTTCGAGACCAGCCTGACCAACATGGTGAAACCCTGTTTCTATTAAAAATACAAAAAAATTAGCCAGGTGTGGTAGTGGGCACCTGTAATCCCAGCTACTTGGGAGGCTGAGGCAGCAGAATCGCTTGAATCCAGGAGGCAGAGGTTGTGGTGAGCCAAGATCGCGCCATTGCACTCCAGCCTGGGCAACAACAGTGGTCACCCTTGAGGGAAAAAGGCATATGTATAACATGAAGTTACTACACACAGGTAAGCACCCCCCTCCCACACACACACATACATCCTGAAAGGATGTGCCACAAATGTGGAAGGTGTTGATGGCTGGAGGAACGGATATAGCTCATTTTATTTTCTTCTTTGTCTTATATGCAATCTCTAAATTATTTACAATAATATTGTATTCTTTTATAAGAAAATTAACTTCATCTAAAATCTTAGTTTCCGAGACTCAGAAGACAGCTTTCTGTGTTTCTGCACTAATGAATCTCAGTTTATTTTAAGGTTACAGAATTCCTTGGGGTTTCCCCACTCTTTGGAAAAACCTATGTAAGGCCCAGAAGCTCTTTTTCATGCCAATTCCAATGATCTGATGTAGCTGGACCTGTCAAATCCTCTAAGTGTCCCTGTCAAGGCAAAGGCAAGGCAAGAAAAGAGAAAGAAAAGAAAAAAAAACACTAAGAGAAAAAGAAGGAAACAGAAAATAAACAATATAATATATGTAATCATAATGTATAATTTTATCACACAGGTCACTTTTATCTGACCTAACATGCCCCAATTTATGCTCCAATCAGGACATTAGAAAGGCACTTAATGGGCCTTTTATTTAAAGGAGGTGCATGTTCTGATGATTATTTTGTTTTTTAAAAATTGTTTTTAACTTAAGTAATGACCTCCTGATCTGACTGTGTGATATAGAGGAATTCTTCTTTTACTTCCAACTCATTTTCAGTGATATGTATGATGGAAGAGGGGACCCCTCTCCTGACCTGGCTCCTGCAGTACAGAGGGTCCGAAATCCTTTAATTCCCTCTTCTGTCTACAGACACCAGCATGGGGTTGCCTCCCCCATGAATAGGACCTGGCCTAAGACATAGCACGGGGTAGTTTCAATGCTTTTGTGTTGGGTCTTACTGCCAGAGGAGCCTCTATGACAGACACAGCCCAGGGCAGAGCCTGCAGGCTGAGCCCCATCCTCTGGACTCTTATTTGAATTTGCAGTGCCAAAGCCCTGCTTGGACTATCCAAAGTCCCTCTCAAGTAAGTGCTGACTGCCTACCTCAGAGACTAGCCAGCTGAACCATGGAATGCATCCTACAGGTGTCCAGGGAAGAGGGGGGCTTCCAGTCTTAGGTCAGCCTCTGGAGTAGGGTAGACTTTCTCAAGAGAAGGACAAGATCAGGAAGAGATGGCACTGAGAGTCCTAAGGAAGGACCTCTCTTGGAGGAAGCTGGGCTGGAGGACAAGGAATTGGGGTGCCCAAATAAAGGACTTCTGAAAGGACTCACCAGTTTGCAGGGCTCATCTTTGATCTCTGGGAACAGCCCCCCAAAATGAAAGAGAGGAAAAACAGTTTTCTCTCTACCCTTCATGAGTTCTTAGCTGGGATGCCCTGGAACACAAGACAGATCAACAGGAGAAAAACAAACAAGTTGAATATTAAATAGCGTGGATACCTTGTATATCCATGGGAGTTACACAGTGAGCTGAGCAAATCTCTAGGGTAGATCCAAGAGGGAGTTGAAACTTTGGGCTGAAATATCATTTTCTGAAACACAGAAAGAATGGCGTGGGAAAACCCTGTTATGGGGGAGAAGAATGCCCAGAAAAAGCACAGAAAATGAACAAAATGGATCATGTTAAGTTGGCACCTTCTCCATAGATACATCTCGAAGGATTTAGTCATCCTTCTCTTCCTGGTGCAGGAATGGAGATTTCCTTTACAGATGTAAATCCTCTTTGAAAGGGTAACTTTTCCAGCATATTTAGGGGTGGTGTATTTGGTCTCTAACAACAGCATCTGTTGGGACTCAGGAAACAATAGTCTTTAGTATGATGCTTTGGCAAACTGGCTACTCAGAAGGCCTCAGCCGCAGCCTCAGCAGCAAGGCCCTCTGACCTTTTCCAGCCTTCCTATCTTCCACCTCTTTTCCTCCCCTGAAGCTTTCAAAGAAAGCGGAATCCTCTTCCCAAGGCGAGTCATAGAAATCAGAACTCTCCTGCAAAGCCAGCCTTAAATCCTGAAAGTATTACTCTACCCTTTTCCTACCTTTCTGGGCAAGAGCTGGCTGTAAAGAAATTCTCTGAGCTGCCATGTCTGAAAGTAGATCATAAGATCTTCATTCCAGAAGGTCTCTGCTCTATAGCTGGGAGGAAGGATTGCCACACAGAGAGGCCAAAAAGAATCTGAACAGACAGGCCTTGCTGAGTTTTCCCACTCAGCCTGTTAGCGTTAGATCATTCCCTTTTCATCATGTTTCCACGTGACTGTCCATCCCTCATCAAATCTAAGCATAATAATGGACAGCTTTCCTTGGGCCTTTTGGGCTTCATTCTGAAGGCTCCCATGTCACATAAAGCTTTGATGAAATAAATTTTTTTTCTCGAAAGGTCTGTTTCTGTCACTCAGACTGGAGTGCAATGGCATTATCACAACTCACAAAATGCTGTCTCAAACTCCTGGGCTCAGGCAGTCCTCCTGCCTTAGCCTCCTGAGTAGCTGGAACCACAGGCATGCACCACCATGCCTGGCTAATTTTTATTTTTTATTTTTTGGTAGAGACAGTGGTCTTGCTATGTTGCCCAGGCTGGCCTCCAACTCCTGTGTTCAAGTGATCCTCTTGCCTCAGCCTCCCAAAGTGCTGAGATTATAGATGTGAGCCATCGCACCAAGCTTATTATGCTTTTCTCTTGTTGGTCTGTCTTTTGTTAGAGAAGTGTTGGCTGTGACCCTGCTGAAGGCAAGGAAAGGTATTGTACGCTTCTGCCTCTATGCAGCCCTGTTTGACATTCTTCCTGCTCCACACTGACTCACTCTCACAGTCTTGGGGATGGGTGAGATGTGAGGGAGGGTGCCTGCCTGACATTCACTACCTACAGCAGACACTGTGGGAAGGAGCCATATCTACAGGGAGCGCCGTGGCCAGGACTTGGGGCTGTGGTCAGGACTGGGCGTGCCAAGGAGAGGAACTGCCCATGAATGTGGCACTTGCCTGTCTTTTATGGTATCATAGGGGAAAGGTGGACAGATACTTTTTGGTCATGTTTTCAAAAACTTGGAGACCAAAACTACAAAACAGATAGGTCTGAAACAAGCATTTTTTATTCAATTCGGGAAATATGTACTGAGCCTCCACTAGGAACCAGACACTGGCAGGCACAAGGATCGACAGGATGGAGACTCACAGATGGCCATGAGCTCCTCCAGTTTATCCCCAGCTACCAGCCTGGGTGAGGGCACCCCACCGTGGGCAGAGTCTCCTGCAAAATCTCAGCACCCCCAGGCCAATGCACTAAGGCATTTTGCCTGTGGGACATAAAATCTTCTTGTTCATCCATCAGTGCTATTCATTCATTTTTTCCAAGAACTGTCCATGGAGCTTCCTCCATGTGCCAAGCATTGTGCTAGGTCTTGGAGCCTCAGCCCTGAACATAAGAGAAGAACCTCAGCTCAAGGAGCTTGCAATGAACTAACTGTGCACTGTTGTCACAGCCTGAGGCTCTCACCTTGAACCTGGAGCACCTTTCCCTTATAGTCACTGTAGGTGCCATTTACCACTGTTGCCACCACCCTCATCTTTGAGGGAGTCGCTGTCACTACAGCTTCTTGCTCAGGGGTGGGCAGCCTTAATCTTTCTGTGAACCTGGTTCTGTGGCTCCTGGAGCCTGCCAGAGCTGAGCTTTGTACGTAGGATGGTACAAAGCTCAGCCACCTGAGTGCCGCACAGGCCACTGCTGTAAGCCTAGTGCTGCTGAGCCTGCTGGGGGGTGTTTGTGCTTCTTATCTGTCACAAGGGCCAGCCAGGCCCACGTTTCCCTCCATTTCCTCTATCCCACCCAGCTTGACTGCTGCTGGGACTGCCTTTCCCTCCTCTCCCTCCCTGAGCTGAGAAGCCATGGGGTTGGGGGTAATGCACCTGGCCCCTGGCTGGAGGGAGCTGGGTCTCTTTCACCATGGGCAGGCTTTTCCCTGCTGGCTTGGTGGTTTGCATGTCAGAGGAAGACAGCTAGCCAAGGAGCCAGAGAAGGATAGCAGAGAGGTAAGAGGAGAAGCACTTAGTTCTGGGGCAGAGAGAATAGGGTTTTAGGAGGGAGTGCGTGGACCGATACCATTTTTTGTAAGCTGAAAAGAGTGTAGACCAAGGAAAGTGTTGTTTTTCTGGACTGGAAAGTCCTCAGATGCAGAACCAGTGTGTGTTGGGGTGCAGAGGATGAGTGGTTTGTGAACCGCGTTGCCTACCAAGCGCCTGTCTGCAGAATCTGGAAGGACAAGCCCAGCCTCATTTTCAAGTGAATACCTTTCATTGCCTAACCACTCCATTTGCTATTCCTGAAACCTCTACATAAACATTCCTTCTGCACTTCCCAGAACAATAAACAGGCAGGAACGGCTGCATAAATGTCCAGTAAGTGTAAATACATTTATGATCAGCTCTGGGAAGTTTCAACCTGAAAAATAGCACCACCATTTGCTGGTGTACAGAATCCAGGCACCTCTTATTTTTGAACTTGTCTTATGCTGACCTAGTCTGGGTGTTGAAATGAACCATGTTATCCTATCAGAAAATTGACCCAATAATAATCTCAGTATGATGTTAAGGAGTTCGGGCCATAACCTGGAAAGATACAGTCCCAAAGCCCATAGCCCTGAATGTTGAATTCCCAAAAGACCCAAATCCCCAAAGTTTAAATCCCTAAAATCTCAATCCTTAAAGATCAAAATCTCCAAAATATAACTCCAGAAAAAATAATGGAAAATTCTTTACAAGACATTTGTTTACATTTTTAAAAGGGGACTTATTAGAGAAACATCAAAAAAATGACAGACCACTTCATAGGCCACTAAATACAATAAAATAGGCAATAATAACATACATCTTTTTACAAGCATAACCACTCTAGGTATACTAATGATAGTCGCACAGGTATAACAGTTATGAGCAGGTGATCCAGATTGCTAACTGTGGTCTTGTGAACTACCATCATGGACAACCTGCCTTTTGATGAGACTGATCAAAAACTACATGATGCCAGGCGCCGTGGCTCATGCCTGTAATCCCAGGACTTTGGGAGGCCAAGGCGGGCGGATCATGAGGTCAGGAGTTCAAGACAAGCCTGACCAACATGGTGAAACCTGGTCTCTACTAAAAAAAATACAAAAATTAGCCAGGCGTGGTGGCGGACACCTGTAATCCCAGCTACTTGGGAGGCTGAGGCAGGAGAATCACCTGAACCCAGGAGGTGGTAGAGGTTGCAGTGAGCCAGGATTGCACCACTACACTCCAGCCTGGGTGACAGAGTAAGACTCTGTCTCAAAAAAACAAAAAAACAGAAGAAAACAAAACAAAACTACATGATGGTCACTACCACATATGCAGTCACCAAAAGAATCAAGACCTTGAGAAACTTTGTCTTTCACAAACCCGGATATAGAAAAAGGACATGTCTTCACTTAATGAGAATGTACACACATAATGCTTACATACAAAATAACGTTGTGATAATGCACTTTCATGGAGTCAAATTTGCAAAAAAAAAAAAAAATGCGTAAAACAAATTAGAACTCTCTCAAAGTCTTTACACGATTTAAACCTCCAGTATGGCAATGATGCAATAATGAAATACATAGCAGAGAGAATTGTAAAAAATAATGCTGACAGTTTAAAATAGTGGGAAACAAATTTAAAAAGAACCCTCCCCCAAATAAACTAAAAAGAAAATTCAGCATGTGAAAAAGTGTATTACAGGGATGGATTATGGGCGATTGCACAGAGATAGTTCACAAAAGCTGGCTGACTTTCACTATCATTAATTTTATTTTAAAGTCTTACATCACAAATTTTCTTTTAGGACATGGCCCTCCTCAGAGAATACATTCACCTCCATTTTCTATATGATGCTGTTCTTTTCGAAATTCTTCTAGGAGTCCGTGTACACTGACATGAGCATTCCTTGTTAAATTTTCCCATCTTCTGTGCCATGCGTCTAAGTTGCTTTGGGTACAGTGAAATCCATTCTGCACGCACGCCTATACAGACCACAAATTTGGCAGAAACAACACTGTTGATCAAACAGCAACAGCGCTGTGTGTCACTTTGTTTTAAACATTAGGGTTCTAGGATTTAGGAATTTTGATCTTTAGGGATTTCAGCATCTGGGATTACAGCGTTCAGGACTGTAATGCTTTCCAGGACTATGATCAGCACCTCATGTTACGCTATTATATCTTCAGCAAGAAAGTAAGCATGCTTACTGTATGCTGAGGACTGGGCTGGGCTTTTCAAACATCCGCTAAATTCAGGACTTCACTCTGTCTCAAGTCACATGCTAAAAATATACACAAAAAATGGAACACAACAGTATACCAACAGGTCAGTATCACTCTGCACATTCCGGATACTGTGTACCCTTGTTTTGTCTCCCTCAAATTTCTCTCTCAAATTTATGCGTAGAGTCTTCATCCACACCAACTGACATTATCGATGACAGCTGGTGACCCCTTGGCTAAACTTATTTGTACTCTAGCAGCGATCAACACCCTCAATTAGAGGGACGAAACATGAACCGGTGACATGCCAAGCCTCAAATAGGAGCTGAGGGAGAGCATAGAGTGGACCAAATGCCTTGCTAGCCCCTGAGTTTATATAGGAAGCCACTCCCAGATGTGCCCTGTCAATTACTGTAAATAATGGGCTGTAATCTGGTCAACAAGACTCTAATTCTAGAGCCATTTACAACCACCATGTGGCGGATCATTGGAAAAGCTGGGGTGGAAGGGGCCCTGGGCAACTCTGCTGCTCCCCCACACACCCTTGCTGTGTGCCAGGGTGGTTGATGTGAACAAGCATCAAAGGCCTCCTTTGCTGTCTGGCTTCTGGTTGGGTTTAGTCATTGGGTAGAACCAGCCAGAGACCAAACACAGGAGAAGAGTGAGGTCAGGTCCTCAGGTGCCCAGGTCTTCCCTGGATACCAGTTCAGGACAAAACCACAAGGTAAATAGACATTTTTGAAATTAAAAATGTATTATTGTGGTAAACATAAAATTGACCATTTTAACCATTTAAAATATACAGTTCAGTGACATTAAGTATATTCAAATTGCTGTGCAACTGTCACCACCATCTATCTCCAGAACTCTTTTCACTTGCCCCAACTAAAGCTAAAATGCTGTCCCCATTAAACAGCTCTCCACTCCCTGTCCCCCCAAACCCAGCACCTGGTGACCCCCACTCTAATTTCTGTTCCCATAAACTTGATCACTCTAGATATCCCCTCTAAGTGGCATCATACAGAATTTGATCCTTCTGTGACTGGCTTATTTTATTAAGTATACAGCCCTCAAGGTTCATCCATGTTGCAGCATGTGGCAGAATCTCCTTCCTTTTTCAGGATGAATAATACTCCATTATATGGATAGACCACAACATTTTGTTTATTCTTTTACCTGTGGATGGACACCTGCATTGTACAAGGTCAATATTTGCTTTCTTCATTAAATCACCAAATACCCTTCAGAATAACTTCGCACAGACATAACTTAAGCATCAGAAAAATTCAGCCTGTGTGACTCAGTTAGGAGAAATGTCAGAAGAGTGGGTGTTTCATGAAGCAGGTGCGTATCCCAGCCTAGAAATGTAAGTTTGCAGGAAAGGTCACTCTCTTTATTTCCTTAGTTGTCCAACACCATTTTGGGAACATAAGCCAGGCTGTTAAAAGATGCAACGTGGGAGGCACTATGGCTAAGACTCTGCCTGAGTATGCGGCTGGAAGGGGGGTTGAGACAGTTATTTTCTTCAATCCTGTGGACATGCAGTGGTTCCCAGTGGACAGAGGCACACGTCTCACTGTCAGGGAGCCATGGAGTAGCCTCAGCTGCCCACATCATGTGGACTGTGTTGGAGCCTGGAGAAGGAAGGCTGGGACCCTAGCTTGGGCCTTTGCCTTGGGTCCACTTCTCAGCCCTTCTCCTGCCTGCTCTGCTCCAGGTTGCCAGAGCACATTGCCCTGGAGCCTCCTTTCTCAGCTTCTGGGGCTTAGCTGGGTGGTCCCCTCTCTGTGCCTATGTTGGTGTCTCTGGCACAGCTGTGGCCCCTGCCATGGTTTGAGCTTCCTTTGGGTGACCCCGGGCCACTGGCAGTGGCTTTTCCTCACTCTCCCAATTCAGCCTCTCAACACCCCCATCATCCACGCACCCGGTTCCTAGCATAAATTCCCTCTGTTGAAATTGTTTGATGTAGATTCTGTTTCCCTATTTAGACCTTTTTTTTTTTAGATGGCATTTCGCTCTTGTTGCCCAGGCTGGAGTGCAATGGCGCGATCTCTGCCTCCCAGGTTCAGACGATTCTCCTGCCTCAGCCTCCTGAGTAGGTGGGATTACAGGCACCTGCCACCTTTTTTTGTATTTTTTGTAGAGACAGGGTTTCACCATCTTGGCCAGGCTGTTCTTGAACTCCTGACCTGAGGTGATCCACCCGCTTCAGCCGCCCAAAGTGCTGGGATTACAGGTGTGAGCCACTGTGTGCGGCCCTATTGAGACCTTTTAAACCATTTCTGGAGGTTGACAGATTTTATGTAAATTAAAGTGTCATTTTATATGAAGTTCTGAACAAATTAACTAGAAATATAATCCCATCCTCAGAGGCTCTCTATTTTATATTTTCATGTTAAAGTGAGCTCAGTGTCCTCTAAGATCAGTAAAGCGACGCTTTGAGAAGGGGAATTCCTTAACCAGCCTAAATCAGTGAATAGGATTTTGCAGAGGGAATTAGCTAAATACATTCCAAATTAGGGAAGAAGGGATTTTGACAGCTAGAAAATGGGAAAGTCCGGACTGCAAAGGGTACCAGCAAAGCAGACATGGAAAATGGAGCATAAATACACTAGCCTTTCGTTTAATTAATCACTTTGATGAGTATTTAATTAGAAGAAAAATCTATTGTGTTAGAGGAGAAAATGTCTTAAATTTAGTTAGTAGTAATAAAATGGATTAAATCAGTGAGCTCATGGGACTGTGTATCCAACAGCAGGAGAGCCAAGAGATGGGCTGGGCAGCTGAGGGTGTAACAGAGCCCTGCCCAAGTGCCTGTTCACGTAGGGCAAGGTTGGGAGGGGCAGGACTGCAGCACCCAGTCCAGTGCCCAAAGCTTCCTTCCATGCACCCAGGGCCCCAGGCACGTAAGGCAGAGTGAACTCATGAACACCTGTTGATTTACAGCACTATTACCCACTTGAGCCAGAGATACAACAGATGTTGAGCACCCAAGACTTCCTGAGCACAGAGGCTCGGTGCATTATCAGCTACTCTGCCCTTTACAGTATCACAGTGAGGTCATCAACAAGCAAAGGAGGTTGACATTGATGAGGGGTGGAGCAGCACTTGGTATTATGGCTAGTGCTGGCTCGGTAGAAGACCTGTGGAGAAACTTACAAACAAAGGATGGGCTCTTTTGGGCATGTCTCACATTGTAAGTGGAACACATTTCACCAAAGGAGTGAGTTCCACTTAGAGTATAGAAACTCCAAGTGAGCCAAAGAATGGGGAGGTGGGCCATGCACGCACACCATTATAGTGGGAGGAAGTGGGGTATGTTTAGCTTAGAAAAGCTGCTCAGATGGCTCTAATGAATCCCTGCCTCCACCTCCAACCTCTCTGAGAGTTACCCTCAAAGATATTTGCAACAATCCTCTCTTAATGGCATACGAAGAAACTAGAGATCAGAATCATTTGTGTTTGTTCCTTTATCATGGTTTACCATAGATACATTATTTAAGCCTTAGGTGATCCAACAATAATGTATTTTGAGTTTCATTCAGTCATACATTCATTCAACAAACCCCTACAGACTACCACTTAAGTGACAGGTGCTAGTGCACACAACCTTGCGTATTCATTTCACACTACCTTAATGTAATGGCTTCTTATTACCTTAAAAACCCAATGCATCTGCCATATTAAGAAGAGATGTCCAAATAAAATCCATGTTTAATGATTCATTCTTGATCCCCTAATTGAATTTTTTTTTTCTTAGACGGAGTTTTGCTCTTGTTGCCCAGGCTGGAGTGCAGTGGCGCAATCTTACCTCACTGTAACCTCCGCCTCCTGGGTTCAAGTGATTCTCCTGCCTCAGCCTCCCAAGTAGCTGGGATTACAGGCATGCGCCACCATGCCTGGCTAATCCTTTGTATTTAGTAGAGAGGGGTTTTCACCATGTCAGTCAGGCTGGTCTCGAGTTCCTGACCTCAGGTGATCCTCCTGCCTCGGCATCCCAAAGTGCTGGGATTACAGGCGTGAACCACCGCATCTGGCCCCCGAATTTACTTTCAATTAGTCCCTGTTTTGTCTTTAGCCACTCTTCAGCTTTGTGTAATTAGAGTTAAAAGTTTGAGTCTGGTACAGTTTGAAAACTCTTGTCTCCTGTAGAAGAAATTCCTAAGAAACAAAACAAACAAACAAAAATCACTCTGAGCTTTAAAGTCCCACGAGGGGTTAACTTTGCAGACTGCAGTCACTGGCATTAGCTTGCGCTCAGTACGTGGGCACCGTTGAAGACATGTGGACCCAGGTGTCTTGGAAGCACAGCCACACAGCTGCTGCTGTGTTAACTGATGTGTATCTTCTGTGATCATGTCGAAGTTACTCCTGGCACCTAACTGGTAACCCAACCCCTGGCACCGGGCTGGCCCAGTGCTGATGGAGAGCTTCTATAACTACAGTGGGAGGGATGGGTTGGTTTTGATCATCTTGGCACTATAAAGAGAATTTAGGAAAGGGGGTAGAAACTGGCTCTGTAGGCAAAGAGTAGGGTGAGTGTTAACAAGCAGAACACATAGGATTTTTGAACTTGGAAGCTGGATGTCCCCCTAATTGTCAGATGCTGAAACTTACCCAACGGAATATTTTCAGAAGCCTTAGATAAGGGAAGGCATCGATAATAGCAACTATGCAGGAAGACATTGAATTGGACTACCTGAACAGTAAATGGCATAACATAACACATAACACACAAGGGTTAAAAAGCAAACACAAACTGGAGAAAATATTATAATATATATGATGAAGTATTAATATTACTAATACAAAGTTTTTATACATTAATATAACAAAAGTAATCAATCCAATAGAAAATTTGGTCAAGTACATAAAGCTGTTAATTTACCAAGCAACAACAAAAGACGCCATTGACCTTATGAAAAATGTGCCTAACCTCACTAGTTATAAAGAAGTGCAGGCCAAGCACGGTAGCTCACACCTGTAATCCCAGCACTTTGGGATGCCAAGGTGGGCAGATCACTTGAGCTCAGAAGTTTGAGACCAGCCTGGGCAACATGGTGAAATCCCATTTCTACAAAAAATACAAAAATTATCCAGGAGTGGTGGTGGACTCCTGAGGTCCCAGCTACTGGAAAGGCTGAGGTGGGAGGATTGCTGGAGCCCAGGAGGTAAAAGCTGCAGAGAGCCATGATTGTGTCACTGCACTCTAGCCTGGGCCACAGAGGAGAAAGTCTCAAAAAAAAAAAAAAAAAAATGTGCAAAGTGAAAAAACCCCAGCAATATCAAGATACCACTTTTTCCTACCACACTGGTAAAAATTAGAAATTGGCAGAGGCCAATGCAGGTGCCGCTGGAGGCAAACAGCAACTCTGGTGTACTGCTGGTGTGAGTATAAGGTCAGATTTCTGGAGGGCAAGTGTGATAGTTAATTTTGTGTCAACTTAACTAGGGCATAAGGCATCCAGACATTTGGTCAAACAGTACTGTGGGTGCTTCTGTGAGGGAGATTTTGGATGAGATTAGTATTTGAATCAGTGGACAGAGTAAAGAAGAATGCCTTCCATGGGTGGGCCTCGTCCAAATAGTTGAAGGCGTGAAAAGAACAAAAGGCTGGCCTTACCCCAAGTAGGAGAGAATCCTTCTCCCTGGTGGTCTTCATCAGCCATGAATCATTGGGTCTTCTTGGCTGTACAGCAGACTGTTGGTTTTTGAACTAGAACTAGACATCAGCTATGCAGATTTTAAACTTAGCAGCCTTCATAACTGCATGAGTCAATTCCTTATAAGTCTCTCTGTCGTTTTTTGTATACGTAGGTAAATAGATCTATCCTTTTTCCCTTGCTCTCTTTTTCTCCATATACATATTTATATATGTGTGTATATACATATATGTGTGTATATATATATACATATATATGCACACAAATCTAGAGGTCTCTAAGAGCAGTTTAACAATGTTTGTTAAAATTTAAAATAAGCATGCCATTTGATGTAGAAATTCCATATCTAGAACTCTGGTCTAAGAATATGTTTGATAGGATGCAAGAATTTTCATCATGAACATATAGTAGAAAAAATGGAAACAAAGTGCTTTCCTACAGAGTTTTATTAGGTTGGTGCAAAAGTAACTGCAGTTTTTGCCATTTTTATAAGTAATGGTAAGGGGAGGCCAAGGCAGGATGATTGCTTAAGCCCAGGAGTTCAAGACCAGCTTGGGCAACATAGTGAGACCCCTATCTCTACAAAAATATATATAGTTTTAAATTAGCCTGTCATGGTGGTATGTGCCTATGGTCTCAGGTATTCAGGAAGCTGAAGTGGGAGGATCTCTTGAACCCAGGAGGTTGAGGCTGCAGTGAGCCGTGACAGCACCACAGCACTCTAGCCTGGGCAACAGAGTAAGACCCTGACTCCAAAAAAAAAAAAAAAAAGATGAAATAGCGCTGTATTTATTGACTTATTATACAGTGAGTTTAAAAAGCATATTATAGGCTGGGTGTGGTGACTGAAGCCTGTAATCCCAGCATTTTGTGAGGCCGAAGCAGGTGGATCACCTGAGGTCAGGAGTTTGAGACCAGCCTGGCCAACATGGTGAAACCTTGTCTCTACTAATAATACAAAAATTAATCGAGCGTGGTGGCACAGGCCTGTAATCCCAGCTACTTGGGAGGCTGAGGCATGAGAATCACTTGAACTCAGGAGGCAGAGGTTGCAGTGAGCTGAGATTGCTCCATTGCACTCCGTCCCGGGCAACGAGAGCGAAACTTGTTCCCCCCCACCCCCCAAAAAAAAAACATAAGTGTCATGTATAGTATGATTCGACTGCTGTAAATGGCATGTTACTTGTGTGTATATGCATATTATGGAGAAAGCTGTCCAGAAATACATTTAGTACTATGTTGACATTAGATCCAGTGGGTCATGTGTGGGTAGTGGGAAATTGGGTCTTTATTTTATGCTTTATACTTTTCTGGATTACTATGTTTGATAATAAACATATTTCTTTTTTTCTTTTTCTTTTTTTTTTCTTTTTTCTTGGTGGGGAAAGGGTCTTGCTTTGTCATTCAGGCTGGAGTGTAGTGGCATGATCACAGCTCACTGTAGCCTCAAACTCCTGGGCTCAAGCTATCCTTCTGTCTCAGCCTCCTGAGTAACTGGAACCACAGGCATATGCCACCACACCCAACTAATTTTTAATTTTTTCGTAGAGACGGGGTCTTGCTATGTTGCCCAGGTTGGTCTCAAACTCATGGGCTCAAGCAATTATTCCACCTCAGCCTCTCAAAGTGCTGGGATTACAGGCATGAGCCACTTCACCCAGCAAATATGTATCATTTTTAGTCAGAAAAAAGGTAAGTTATGTTCAATCAAATAATAAATTTCCACAAAGATTCGAGGACTCAGCTGGAACTAAAATTTTACCTCCAGGATTCTGTCTAATCTCTTCTCACCCACCTTGTTGTGCAGCCGCTGTACGTTGCACCAGCAATCCCAAACCGTAAATTCTCTCCATGGGTAGCAGTATGGTGGGAGTCAGGGGATGCTCCATTAGAAACTTCTGAGACTTCCCTGGCAAGAAATAGGAAGGTTCTCAGGTTCCTCCCCCATCCATTTGTGAAGAATTTCCACATCCTCTTCTGAACCCCACCATGTCAACAATGACAGCAGTGACAAAAGTGTCTGATGTCCAAGTGGACACATCACTCTCAGTTCAAAATTCTGTTTTAATAGAAGCACCAAGATAATAATTGGAGGTATAACCATCCTTGGCGGCAGCCTCAAACAGTTATAATCCTACAGCAGAGATTCCACTTGCCCCTTTAGAATGCACATTCGGCCAGGCATAGTGGCTCACGCCTGTAATCCCAGCACTTTGGGAGGCTGAGGCGAGTGGATCACCTGAGGTCAGGAGTTCGAGACCATCCTGGCCAACATGGTGAAACCCTGTCTCTACTAAAAATACAAAAAATTAGCCGAGCGTGGTGGCGCATGCCTGTAATCCCAGCTACTCAGGAGGCCAAGGCAGGTGAATTGCTTGAACCCAGGAGGCGAGATTACAGTGAGCACATTCAAGCTAACAGATGCTCACGTTTTAAAAACTGATTATGCATTTTGAACCTGTTTACATCTTCAACAATCTTGGATATTATGCAGTGTTCCTAAGTTTATAACAGGCTGTACAAAGTAGTACTTTCTTGCATTTATCTAAGCACACCTGTTTTATACTTTTGGTAAGAGGTGCTCTTCGGGTTTGAGCTTGAGCCCTGGTTCACCTGGAACATCCTATTCAACCATCGCCTTCTCCAGGCTTTTGTGTCTCTTGACAAAAAATTCTCAACTGTATTCTGACTTTCCGTGGCAACATCTTAGTTACCTAACTTCAGTCCCACTGAGTCTTCTTAAAATTGTGGCAACCAGAACTTCCCAAAGAGAAAACGAGTGATGATTGGTGCAGGGATAACATTCAAAGAATTTTACTGATGGGATGCTGGCCAATCGGAATGGAGGTGGGCACAGAGGCCTCCTGCTGTGCAGGTACCGGGGTAACCATCAGGTTGCTGGAACAGGCAGCAGTCCAGTAGAGTGTGGGGTGACTTAGGCATCTTCATGCCATAGTGGGGCCGCCTGGGGGAGCTTGTGAGGCTGCTATTACCAAGGAATAAGGAAGTATTTCAACATTTTAATAACCAGAGGGCAAGCCTTGGTTTTGTGCTTGGATAATGCTGTCTCTTTCCATCATTGTACTGCCATCAGGCTTGCATTTCAAAGAGGAGAACTGATTTCTAATTCCAGTTTCTCACTGAGTACTCATGAGAACTCTGGCCAAGTAAAACTAGGGTTTGGGGCGCAGCAGAGAGTTGGGTCAAATGGCTCCCAGCAACATGAGTCATTAGTTCCAGACTTTGAACTTCTTCCTCTAACTATAGTCACTGATTTACACACACAACACAGATGCTTCAAGTGCCAACAGCCAATAACCTATAACCCGAATGACATTAGGCTGGGACTGAAAGAAGTCAGGCAGCAGGCAGGCAAGCCTTTTAAAGAAAACTGAATCCAAGATCAACAACCCCGGAACTATGTGCCATTGGATCTCCAGCAACACTGAGGATTAGGGGTTGGACAAAAGAAATTTTTATTAAAAAATGTTTATCTTAATTGGCTATTCCTGTACTTTGTGTCAGAATTTCCTGTTTTGTTGTTTACTTCCTTTTTAAATTGTAAACCTCCACTTGCATTCTCCTACCCTCAGATAGCAATCATCAGGATCAGTCATTCTCTTCCTATATTTTCATTTCTTCCAGTTTCTAGCTAGGGTGTTTGTGTTTAGGGCAGTGCCATGGACACACAACATGAGAGGCAGGAAAGCCAGTAATCAACGCGTTCAGGAAACAAATGCCAATAAAGAAGCATTAACGTGAATGATTTGCCTTTGAGTCAGTGAACAAATACCATCCCCTCCAGCCTTTGCCTCTCCTGTCTTTTCTACTGATTGCATCAGAGAGCAGAGACCTGGCTGTTGGCCATACCACAAAAGACAGCTGGTTACAGGACAAGCATCCTTCTGAGGTTACCAAGTCAAAGCCACCTGGGAATAGTCCTGGGTCCCTAGTCACACACTGAAATTCCTCTTGCTTAAGTCTGGAGTAACTGTGGTAAAAGCTGTGCTTTAAAGTTGGTTTTGGGTCCTGGAGTGGAAAGCTTGTCGGATTCAGGGAATCCGACAAGCTTCACCTCCCCAAAACACACCTCCTAATATCAGCACATTGGGGCTTGGGATTTTACAGTTGGTTTTGGGATGAGAGTGGAAAGCTTGTTGGATTCAGGGATATGTGGGAATAAAGAAAGTCCCGTGTGCCTCTATGTGCATGTCTGTGTGCATGAGTGCATGCGTGTGTGCGTGTGTCTACTTGCAGAGTACCTAGGGATGTGAATTAGGTGTGAACCCTTTCCTAAGTGTGTTGTTGGCACACACAAAAGGGAGCATATTGACCAGGATCAAACCTAGCAGCCAAGTGATCATGGTAGGAAAGTATATTCCTGGAGCATCCCCAGAATCTTCTGACTGGGCTGAACTGAAGACACTCTATCATGTGTAGTGCAGAGATAAATTGTGGGGGAATAAACCAGATGGTGATCTGAATTATTAAGTAATGGAAAAGGTTGGTTTCAGGTTTTTGAGCTCACAGTGACACCCACCCATTTGGAGAAAATGCACATCAAGAGAGCCTCAGACTCAACAGAATCCTTTAGAGATTTTCTCAAGGTCTTCGTCTGTGATAATACATCTTTCCTTTGATAATTATGCTTTTTATGTTCTTCAGTGACACCATGAAAGGTGAAAATAGGGTCAACTATTTTGACAAGATCTTCATATCTATACATGAAGATAGTTAATTTGATGTCTGAGATGCATGGGTCCTGGGCAATTGTAACATGTTTAGCAGGATTTTGAAATCATTAGGAAGACAAAGCATTGAGCTTCTGAGCATTCAAGGTCTAAAGGAGTGTTTCCCATTAAAGCAACACACGTATACCACTTCCATTCTGCTGCAAGCCCAGCCTAGTTGGAGGGAAAGTAATGGTGGTATTTATCAGTTTTAAGAGGACAGTAGTCATATTGCAAATGAGCTTTTGCAACTTCATTAAGAGCTTGGAGACCAATTTAGTTAACATACTGAAGTAATTAGCTATAAAAGTCCAAGGATGGCATTTGGGTGGAGGAGAGGATGGTGGACAGGGAACCTCTGAGTGGGAAGGCAATGGGGTCTAGAGGTGCCATGTGAGAAGGCTTCTGGTGATGCCAGGTTGAGCATGTCCTGATTTAAATATAAAACCTTTTATTGATTGTGCTTGTATGCAGATTGAATGACCACTCACACACCTTTGCATCAGAACTTGAATGGAAGCATTAAGTTGGTGATATAGAGATATATAATGCAATTATAGAATATATTTATCATTTAATATATGTACATATATATATATATATATATATCTAGTGGTTATAAACTTGTTTGGGAGTTTCACATGCACACACTTTTGAACCAAAGGGAACAGAACACATTTTGTCAAATTCAGCAGGCTCTTTAATCATGTTGGGTGCCTGGTGTGGAGGCTACACTTGAATTTTGGAAATGATAAAATTTTATTTACCCTTAGTAAAATATAGTTTCCTGGTTTGGGGCCTGGGCAGAAGAAAGCCTTTTAAAAGAGGCTTATTGAAATCTCTTAAAGTGTTCTTGGACATTAAGAAAACAATAGTCAGTTTTATTAAGTGCAAATGTTGTAGAAACATAGAGGTTATATTTCATCTAAAGTACACATGAAATTCAACAGTCACAGTAAAGTTATAAAAAGTCCAGGAAGGGAGAGATTTGGTTTTGCTGAGCTAAAATAGTTGAAAAATAAATAGTGACATTTGACAAAATCAAGATGTCACCATATTTGTCAATGTCCCCTTGAAATGAACTCTTCCCTGTGTAGAACAAGAGGCCTTGTTCTCCAGTTCACTTCACGGTACCAGACCATTATAATTTATGAAAATATGGAAGGTTTTAAGCCAACATAGATTGACCTGGAAAACTCTCCAGACACATATGAGTGGTCTTGGCACTAATTGATTCTCTGATGTCTTGTTGGTACTACAGTGAAGACATTTGCACAGAGGCACGAAGAATTGCCACTTAACTGGGAGAGGTGAAGGGTGGCCAAGAGAGATTAGTGAACATATGAGGCTGGATTTCCACCCTCAAGCTGAAAACTACGGACTTCAGGTCTAAAAGCAGGGCTGACGGGGTACAAAGAAGGGAATGAGGGGGAGGAAGAATGTGAGAGTGCTGGAGAACAGGACGGGGGAGAGGACAGAGAGAGGGAGCCGGGGGCGGTGACAAACATAAATAGAAGATGCACACCAGGAACAAGCGGGACTGCAGCCATCTTGTTTTGATTTAGAAGACATCCAGAAAATCAAATGTCACATGAAAATGCTACCACACACCCAACAATTTATTTGCCAAGGGGATGGATGGGCTGCTCCTCCAAGAAAAAGTCAAAAGGATAAAGTAGATAACAAACCTTTCTAAGCATATCATGAGGAACTAATTCAAGGAGTTGCCTAATCTTCTCCACGTGTACATTTTTCTTACGTACAGGTTGTCTTAGTCCATTCGGGTTGTTATAACAACTATCATAGACTAGGTGGCTTGCAAACAACAAAAACTTATTTCTTACAGTTCTGGAGGCTGGGAAGTCCAAGATCAAGTGGCAGGCAGATGCGGTGTCTGGTGAGGGCTTGTTTCCTGGTTCATAGATGGTGCCTCCTCACTATAACCTCACATGGTATAAGGTGTGAGGGAAGGGCCGGGCGCGGTGGCTCAAGCCTGTAATCCCAGCACTTTGGGAGGCTGAGGCGGGCAGATCACAAGGTCAGGAGATCGAGACCATCTTGGCCAACATGGTGAAACCCCGTCTCTACTAAAAATACAAAAAAAATTAGCCGGGCTTGGTGGCGGGCACCTGTAGTCCCAACTACTGGGGAGGCTGAGGCAGGAGAATGGCGTGAACCCGGGAGGCAGAGCTTGCAGTGAGCGTAGATTGCGCCACTGCACTCCAGCCTTGGAGACAGAGCAAGACTCCATCTCAAAAAAAAAAAAAAAAAGGTGTGAGGGAGCTCTCTGGGGTCTTTTTAATCTCCTGCATGAGGGCTCAGCCCTCATGACCTAATCACCTCCCCAAAACATACCTCCTAATACCAGCACATTGGGGCTTGGGATTTTAACATACAAATTTTAGGAGAATAGAAACATTCAGACCACAGCAAAGGTTTTGTACTGTCTCAAAAAAAGCAGCTATGTAACTGGTGATAATAACGTACTGTGACATATCCATTCTTCGAATGCATAAAGTTTACTCTGTTTTTTCATAATCATCTATTTCTGTGTAATCCTGGCACTTTGGGAGGCCAAGACGGAAGGATCGCTTAAGTCCAGGATTTTAGGACCAGCCTAGGCAATGTAGTGAGATCCTATCTCTACAAAAAGAAATTTTTTAATTTAAAAAAAAGAAAAACATTAACTGGGCGTGGTAGCTCACACCTGTGATCCTGGCTACCTGGGAGGCTGATGTGAGAGGATTATTTCAGCTTGGGAGTTTGAGGTTGCAATGAACTGAGATTGTACCAGTGCACTCCAGCCTGGGTGACAGAGTGAGACTCTGTCTCAAAAAAAAAAAAAAAAAAAGTATAAGGAAGAAGGCATCCCAAGTTAATATTCAATTTAGGACGGGAATCAAACAGAGAGGACTTTGAGTAAGGAGGCAATACTCATTTTCCCTTGTGAAGCTATTCATTGATTTTAAAACACTTAAGGTGGGAAGGAGGTAGAAGAAGAAGTCCAGATTATAAAATAAAACAACAACAAAACAAAAACATCCTATTTCTTTTTTCTCAAAGCCAACCTCTCCAATAAAGGGTGAGACAGCCAGTGGTGGGAAGTTTGAGTAGCAGAGGTAAAAGGTTACTTCCAAGGGTTTTAGAATTCAGTATGAAAAAAACAATTAATTCAGCAGAAAAGGAAGCCTTTAGGTATTTGGCCTCACATTGATAAGTGTGGTACCCAATTAGCTCTTTATTCTAGAAAGTTTAAGGGTCGCTCTGTTCTCCCACTGTGCTAGCACATCATGAGAGGTGGATGAAGACATTAAGGTAAATGATTTTGTCCTGCTTTAATCTCTTGTTTTGATATACCTGGGCATATCCAGATGAAGACAGTTAAACCCAGAATGTCATTAACTCTGTGTTCTTTATGTGGATAATGAACTTCCTCTTACGCCCATCAGTGGGCTCTGAAGGGTCATTGATTGTAAACTCCTTTGGCTTAAGAAATTCTAGTCTTGACTCCAGAACTAATGTGCAGGTCTGAAAAGAATGTGTGCATTGGCCGATGTCCCTGAGAAAGCCAAACAAGCAAACAGAAACTAATCAGGAATATCTGCAGCTTTCAGTGATCATGTTCTCTTCTTCATAAATTGAGATATTTATGGAAAGTCAGCTTTTCTAAGTAAGCTGTTTTCAGTAACATTCCAGAAGCAAGAAACTCAAGGTCTGTTTTGCTTAATGGAGAAGAAAAATGTAGGAGGGAGAGGGAAAGGGGAAAGAAGTGGGGCAAACAACAGAGCAAAAGGCTGATGCACGTAACTGGGTTTGGAAGAGCTAGAGTTCCACGTCAGATGTCTGGAAACCTTGGCTAGCACTGCTGGGGCCAAGGCCTCTGACCCTGGTATGATTTTCCAGCGGCCTTATCATCTGAATTGGCCAGACTGAACTTAGGTTCTCCTCCAGGGCTGCCCGTCTGCAGCTGGGGGCTTGGATCCCACTGCACCCTTTTTCTGTGGTTCTGTTTGTCCCCTTCAGTGTCTCTCCACTATTTCCTCTTGTCTTA
Organism: Homo sapiens; assembly: GCF_000001405.40. Classification (NCBI taxonomy): domain Eukaryota; kingdom Metazoa; phylum Chordata; class Mammalia; order Primates; family Hominidae; genus Homo; species Homo sapiens. Next base: position 105,460,789 of record NC_000002.12, read on the forward strand.
AGTGGTCCATGTCACACACTCATGCACTCACCTGGCTGTTGGCACATGAGTTTGCAACCTCTGGACCCTCTCTTAAAGGTTGTAGATTCAGTAGTGAAAGTTTCTTACCAGGTTCCAAAGGGATGCAAAAATTGGGACAGGAAGGTACCTGCCCCCAATATGTCCCATCAATACCTACCTGGCAGTTCTTCTTATGCACATAGCCGTGACTTTGTAAGTTTTGACAACGCTAAGTTGACCTAACCACACAGACCTACCCACTGGTGACTCCTAACCCACTTCAATCTCATGGTGTGAGCATGTGTTGAGTCTCCTAAGAAGCTCCTTGGAAAAAAGAAGACAGTCCTTGTGGCTCATGCCAAAACCAACCTCTCCTGCCCCATCCACCACAGCTACACTTACACACAGACATCAATCCCAGGATCAATCTGTACATGTTGATTTCTATGTGAGGCCTATGAAGACTTCCATGATCTCCATCCTTCCAGCCTGGGGCTATTTTGGACTTTTACAGAGATTTGGAAACCAGAGTGGGAACCATACTGCCAAATAATTTGGCAGAAAAGCAGTTTATAGAAGAGCAGCAATTCAGAGTGTGGTCTTATCTCTGTGACTGGGGGTTGGCTATCAAGCACAAGCTGGCTCTGCAGCTTGAAAAAAGATGCAGAGTTTGGGCATGGTGGCTCACACCTGAAATCCCAGAACTTTGGGAGGCCAAGGCGGGAGAATCGCTTGAGCCCAGGAGTTTGAGACCAGCCTGGGCAACATAACAAGACCCTGCCCCTACAAAAAATACAGAAATTAGTTGGGCATGCTGGTGTTTAACTGTAGTTCCAGCTATTCAGGAGCTGAGGCAGGAGGATTGCTTGAGTCTTGGAGGTCAAGGCTTCAGTGAATAAGCTGTGATGGCACCACTGCACTCCAGCCTGGACGAGAGAGCAAGACTCTGCCTCAAAAAAAAAAAAAAAAAAAAAAAAGTGCAGAGCAGGTTCCTTTGCAGTGCCTGAGTGTTGGTAGACATACGTGCCTGTGGCTATTACCTATCCCTTAAGGGCTAAGAAAGTGTTTTCAAAAATCTCATATACTGGAAATTTAGTTCTTTCCCTAATAAAAATTCTGGTATCAGCTCTTAGGATAATTTTTTATCCAATTATAAGTGTTTTACCTACTAATTTCAGAAATGAAAAACACTGTTATTCTCACCATCTAGAGTTAGCCATTGCTAATAGTATGGTTTATTTATTTCTGTTAAATAAAAGGCATGGGAGGTTATTGTTTTCGACTGAGCCCTGCACTGGGCCCCAACAGACCAGACAAATCAGAGTGGTGTCATTTATGTAGGTGCCAGCTGATCAAACTGAACTTTAACAGTTTTCCAAAAAATGAGATTCACACAACCAACCAGAAGGGTTCCAGTTTACCTGAGCTGGCATGATAAGGGAATCCCCTCTGTTTTAATCCTATAAGGAAAATGACTTTGAAACAACCAATCTGCTTTTTGTTCCTTGCTTCTGCTTTCTTCAGCCTTTTTCTGCCCATAAAGCTCATCTCTTCTGCTCAGCTCATCAGAGCATCTTTCTAAATCTTTACAAGGAATGCTGCCTGATTCATGAATCATTGATGAAAGCCAATTCGAGCTTTAAACTAAGTTGTTGAAATTTTCAGTTCCACTCTTTTTACCCTAATATATATTAAAACTAGATATAAAAACAATCTTAGGCTCATACTGTATATTCTGTTATGGATACTGTTTTTTCCATTTAGCATTGGGTGAACATTTTCTCCTTAGAAACTTTTTTTTTTTTTTTTTTTTTTTTTTTTTGAGACGGAGTCTCGCTCTGTCGCCCAGGCTGGAGTGCAGTGGCGGGATCTCGGCTCACTGCAAGCTCCGCCTCCCGGGTTCACGCCATTCTCCTGCCTCAGCCTCCCGAGTAGCTGGGACTACAGGCGCCCGCCACTACGCCCGGCTAATTTTTTGTATTTTTAGTAGAGACGGGGTTTCACCGTTTTAGCCGGGATGGTCTCGATCTCCTGACCTCGTGATCCGCCCGCCTCGGCCTCCCAAAGTGCTGGGATTACAGGCGTGAGCCACCGCGCCCGGCCATAAACTTTGATTATGAAAACTATCAAGTCAAATAATCAAAAACAATTCAAATAAAGCAGAATGCTATCAAATGGAAACTAAAGGCATCTTGCTTCCAATTGAAACCCCTCCTACATACCCCAGGAATTATACCCCAGGAGTAGCCACCTGTATCCGTTTTACTTGTTCTTCTAAAACAATTTAATAGCACATATTCATCCCTCTGGTAATTGATCAGATTTAGATGGAATCTATTATCTTTCCATCACGTATGTGAAGAATTTGGCTCACAGAAATTTCCCCCATCTTCTCCACCCCTCTTCATTTTTTAATATTTATTTTCATTCTTCTATTCTACTTTTATAGAATATAAAACCCCCACACCACCTTGCACCCCTCTCTGCCCTTCACCTCACAACTCTTAAGCAATTCCATTCATTTTCTTTGATAGAATTCATAACAATTTACATTCTCTTCTTCCACTATTTTGAATGGTATATCTATACTTTGCCTACAACATTGATACCAAATACTGAAAACCACGAATTTTTATAATACTATGCAGATGCAAAGATTATTAGTCAAATGAACCCAATAGTAAGGATGGATACATAAGAAAAAAATATTAACCCATATCATTAAACCTATGGCTCTTGAAGGAGAAAGACATAACTTTTTATTTTTTTTATCTGATGCCATGGTTCCCAAACTGCAGTGCCCTGGATATACTACAGCAAATTCACAAAGTCCCTGGGGTATTTCAAATTCTAGTGGGGAAGATTGTGATGCTTGACTCTGGCCCACACCATGTGGACTCCAAGCTTGAGGTAGTTTGTAGTTTCAGCCCTAAATGATATGCTGTTTGATGTCAAAGGTAAGTCACTATAATAAAATAAAATGTAAAGAAAGGAAATGTGGGCCGGGTGCAGTGGCTCACACCTGTAATCCCAGCACTTTGGGAGACCGAGGTGGGTGGATCACCAGAGGTCAAGAGTTCGAGATCAGCCTGGCTAACAAGGTGAAACCCCGTCTCTACTAAATTTACAAAATTAGCCAGGTGTAGTGGTGCATACCTGTAATCCCAGCTACTTGGGAAGCTGAGGCAGGAGAATCGCTTGAATCTGGGAGGCGAAGGTTGCAGTGAGCCGGGATCATGCCACTGCACTCCAGCATGGGTGACAAAGTGAGACTCGGTCTCCAAAAAAAAAGAGAAAGGAAATGTGGATGATGGCGTCTTGGTTTGCTAGGGCTGCCGTAACAAAGTACCACAGACTGGATGGCTTAAATGGCAGAAATTCATTTCCTCACAGTTTTGGAGGCTTGAAAGTCAAGATCAAACTATCAGTGGGTTTAGCTGCTCCTGAGGCCTCTCTCCTTGCCTGACAGATACCATTGAAGGGAATCAAAATATGCCACCTCAAAATATTTTTCGGCTTAAGGACCATCTTGAGTTGAAGGCAGTTAAGAACCAACAAATATAGGAAGATCTGTCTGCTCTTTCTGTCTGTCTAAAAGCAGGGCATAAATTTCCTTATGTGAAGTTTTCCTCCTTTCCCTTGGAAGAGAAGAGCACTCTTATCAATGAGATGAGGAGTCAGCACTGAGATGAGTTTGCATAAACAGACCTTACTAAACCTTATCTGCCATGCGTTCTCCTATATATTACCCGGTCACCAACTCAAGATTCACCATCCTTTGAAGCCCAAATCCCCTTTCTTTGTTAAAATGATGTATAAGCTCCTGAGTCTAACAGCTGCTTTGAATTCTACTTCTTTTCTGTGAATTCCTATACATGTAGATATTGAGAAAAATGATGTATCTTTTCTCCTGTTAATGTATCTTTTGTTAGTTTAATTCACAGGCCCGAAGTATTAAACCTAAAAAAAATTTTCTTCCCCTACACCTTTTCTCTTTGTCCTTGTGTGGCCTTTCCTCTGTGCTTGTACATTTCTGGTGCATCCCTTCCTTTTCTTTCTTTCTTTCTTTTTTTTAATTTGAGGTGGAGTCTCACTCTGTTGCCCAGGCTGGAGTGCAGTGATGCGATCTCAGCATCCTGCCAACTCCGCCTCCCAGGTTCAAGCGATTCTCCTGCTTCAGCCTTCTGAGTAGCTGGGATCACAGGCGTGCACCACCACGTCCAGCTAATTTTTGTATTTTTAGTAGAGATGGGGTTTCACCATGTTGGCCAGGCTGGTCTCGAACTCCCAATATCAGGTGATCCACACGCCTTGGCCTCCCAAAATGCTGGCATTACAGGCGTGAGCCGCCGCGCCTGGCCCCTTCCTTTTCTTATAAGGATACCAGTCCTATTGGATGAAGGCCCCGTCATTATGGCCTCATTTAACCTTAGTTATCTCTCTAAAGGTCCTGTCTCCAAATACAGTCATACTGGGGGTTAGGGCTTCAACATATGAATTTTGAGGGGCCACCATTCAGTCCATAACAGGTGGTGTTAAATCTGATTGTGATGTTCAAAAAGTGCTTCAGTGCCCTATAGGCATGAATCTGAATAATAAAAAATTGTGGTTATTAAAGAATAAAATAAAAATTTTATTTTTTTCATTTTAGATGTATTTTTTTTTTCAGATGGCTACTATGTTGTTAGGGCATAAATACTTATTAAGTTGTTTGAATGTAATTTCTTAACATAAAGAACTGGTGGGGGCCGGGTGCGGTGGCTCATGCCTGTAATCCCAGCACTTTGGGAGGCCGAGGCGGGCAGATCACAAGGTCAGGAGTTCGAGACCATCCTGCCAAACACGGTGAAACCCCGTCTCTACTAAAAATTCAAAAAGTTAGCTGGGCGTGGTGGCGGGCGCCTGTAGTCCCAGTTACTCTGGAGGCTGAGGCAGGAGAATGGCGTGAACCCAGGACGCAGAGCTTGCAGTGAGCTGAGATCACGCCACTGCACTCCAGCCTGGGTGACAGAGCGAGACTCCATCTCAAAAAAAAAAAGAACTGGTGGGTATTTCTTTGGCCTAGAGGCAGCGTGAAGTGATTTCTCAGACACTAAGGGTGCTATGAGCAGAGCCTCTGGCAGGATGGGCAGTCTTTCCTTGCACTGTGGATGGTATGATGTAACTATGTGGTCCTGGCAGCAGGGACTCTCCATCCTTGCTCTAACGAACATCCTCACTTGTGTCCTGAGTAATAGGAGTTATTGTCTCAGAGAAAATGGCCACAGTGGAAACTGAGATCGAAGGACAATTCTTGGCTTTTTAAGTTAAAACATGAAAACTAAATCAAAACAAAAACACCTTTGTCTAAGTTTTTAAAAGGGAAAATCTGTGTATAACACCATCCGGCAGAACTGGCCTGTTTTCTATTCATGACCTTCATCTCCTACCGCCCCAAGCCTAAATAAAGTGAGGGAAGGAGCAGAGAGGGGCGAGGTAAGAGATGATGTAGGGAAGTGGACACTGGCATGGGTCTGTGCCGAGTCTGTGGTAGGCACAGAGCTGCCAGCAAGTCTGGGGGTCCATGGTCAGAGGGTCTGTGCACTCAGTCCTAAGGGATGTCCTGGTAATATAAACAGGACCCCAGAGACCCTGCTCACGGTGCCAGCTGGGCTGTGGCTGGAAGCAGAAATGGGGGAGATGGTGGTTGAAGTGGAAAGTAGGATTCAATGTATTTCAATCTGAAAGGACTGAAAAAAGACTGAAATTATCTGGAAATGACTAGCTGGATTTTCTCCATTAGGTGGAATGGGAGCGCAAGGTAAATGTTAAAAAATCACTGATAAGAGAATAAAAGTAGATGCATTTGTACATATTCGAATTTATAGGTCAGGAATGCCACACCACTGTCTGCTCCATTAATTTGTAAACATTTTCTTGAATGTTCAAGAATATGATTTGAAGAACTAAAATATCTTTGAGACTCAGTAGAATGAATCTCTAGTGACTGTTTTGGGTATTTAGAAAATCTAAATATCAAGGGGAGGTCTAAACTTATTGTATATAGTAGGTTGAATAGGGATCTCCCAAAATCATGTCCACTGGGAATCTCAGAATGTGATCTGTTTGGAAATAGGGTCTTCACACCTATAATTAGTTACTTTTTTACATTTTTTAAGATGCTGGATTTTGGATGGGCTCTAAATCCAGTGACTGGTGTCTTTAAAAGAGGAAGGAGAGGGAGGCGTAGACCCAGAAAGACACAGGGAGAAGGCGATAGAGTAGAGATTAAAGTCATTCCTTCACAAGCCAATGAATGCCAAGAGACACCAGATATTGAAATAGACAAGGATGCATTCTCTCTAATGCCTAAGAAGGGAGTGTGGTCCTGTGGGCATGCAGACTTTGGACTTCTCTCAAAAAAAAAGTGTGAGAAAATACATTTCTGTTGTTTGAAGCAAGTCTGTGGTCATTTGTAAGGGTGGACTGCCCTTCTTAAGCATCACATGTACCTCTGCGCTCCTCTGGGCATTGTACAAACGATGGCCCATTTACTGCCCCTTTTTTCAGCTTACCTTTCTTGAGTGCCAGGGTAGTCTGGATACTCAGGGTAGAGAAGAAACAGAGCTTGGAGCTCAACTAGAGAGACCAAAAGTCTAAGTAACCAAGTCCTATATTGGAAATAGTGGTGTGAGCATGGGGACAATCACAGGGTAGGAAAGCGGGGAGCCAGGGAAGCATGGTGCCCCAAAAGCCAAGCCAAGAAAGTATTTCCAGAGGGAGGGACTGGATGGGGGTGGCCAGTGCCCCAGAGGCATAAAATAGGACAGAGAAGGGACCCTCAGCTATGCAGAGTGGAGGCACCCATGCCCTTGATAAAGAAGTCCTGTGGAAATGTACTTATGACAGCCCCATTGGACTTGCTGGTGAGGAAGTGAAAGAACTGGAGGAGTCAACCCTCCTGAGGGGTTCTGCTTGCAAAGGGGCCAGAAAATAGAGAGGCAATTAAAGGGGGCCTTATTTGGTTAGTTTGTTTTTATATTTAAGACTGAAGATAGTGTCAGAGGCATTTGAACCAGAGTGACTCCACCTTGAATAGAAGCTGGGTAAAATGAGGCTGAGACCTACTGGGCTGCATTCCCAGAAGGTTAGGCGTTCTTAGTCACAGTATGAGACAGGAGGTCGGCACAAGATACAGATCACAAAGACCTCGCTGATTGATAAAACAGGTTGTGGTAAAGAAGCCACTAAACCCCACCAAAACCAGGATGGTGATGAAAGTGACCTCTGGTCGTCCTCACTGCTCATTATACTCTAATTATAATGCATTAGCATGCTAAAAGACACTCCCACCAATGCCATGACAGTTTACAAATGCCATGGCAATATCAGGAAGTTACCCTATATGGTCTAAAAAGGGGAGGAACCCTCAGTTCTGGGAATTGCCAACCTCTTTCCCAGAAAACTCATGAATAATCCACCCCTTGTTTGGTATATCATCAAGAAATAAGTATAAGTGTACTTAGGCGAGCAGCCCATGCTGCTGCTCTGCCTATGGAGTAGCCATTCTTTTATTCCTTTACTTTCTTAATAAACTTTCTTTCACTTTACTGTATGGACTTGGCTCGAATTCTTTCTCGTGCAAGGTCCAAGAACCATTCTTGGCGTCTGGATCAGACTCCTTTCCGGTAACAGTAGTATAGTGTGTTTGCTGATGAGAAGAATCAGCAGAAAGGAAAGGCAAGAGGGTGAGAGAGAGGAGGAGGAAAATGCAGAGGAAGTCCTCGGGTAGGAGGAGGGGGTGAGACCCAGTGAACAAAAGACGGAGCGGCCTTACTGGGAGCAGGGTGGAGCCTCAGTAACAGTTGGGTGGGGAGAGTTGGTGGTGGGGAGGTAAGGTGGTTCTCTTCCTGGTTTTTTTTCTTTTCTCAGTGAAATAAAAATCAAGATGATCAGGTGAGAATGAGGAAGGGGAGAGGGTGCTGGGGACCCTTGGAGAGAAGATGTTTTTGCATCTTCTCTGCAGGTGTTCACATCCTCTACTGGGCCCCCAGATGCCACATGCAAGCCAGCTGTGAGAGGGTCAAAGTCAGATCACTGAAATGCCTGCGAGTCACCCCCAGCGGTTCCCACAGCACTGCCTGCTGGACTGTCACTCCTCTGTTTAAAACCCTCAAAGAGCACCCACAAAGACAAGGTCTAAATTCCTTGGCTCGGACTTGGAGCCCCATAATGGGCCCCCGGCGGACCCTCCGGTCTCCTCTTGTCCTGCCAAACAGGCAACTGCAGGAGAGTGGAGAGGCCTGGGGCCTCCCTGACTTGTCAGAAGCGCTCCCCCCATCACTGAGATGCAGGACCCAAGACAGCGCTGCTCCGGAGTGAAGGGGAGGTGCCAGCAGAGGAGCAGCCTCTACTCACCTCGGGGTGCTCCGCGAGGGCAAACAGGCCCAGTGTTGCCAGTGCTTCCCATGTTGCCAGAGAATCTGGAAATGCAGAGTGTTAGATGTTGCCGGAGCAGTTTTCTGTACTCTGCAGATGAGCTAGTATTATTTTTTCAGCGCATTCTCTTAAAGTCCCCCACTAGTATTGTAGAGCAGGTTCTCTTCCTATGAGTGGGTTAGACTTGCAAGACTTCCCCAAGTGAACTCTTAACAAAATTTCTTCTTTAATGTTTCTGCAACTCTGTTGGGAGCAGATGGGTTCCAGATAAGCCTATGCCAGAGAACAGGCAAAAGGAAACCATTTTTGCACTAACTGTTCTATTTTGGTTTTGAGTCCTCTAACCTTCTCCTCCTTCTGCAAACTCATTTCATCTAAGCCTTTGCCAGGAGGACAACCCTTGCTGCTCAGAGTAGAGAGAGTGAGGAGCAGGGGCTGGGTGCGGGTGTCCACAGGGTTGGGGAAGGAAGAAGATTCCAGTCACTTAAAAGGCGCTCCACACGTTGGGGCTGGGGAGGTGTAGATGGTAATCCCGTGTGGACATTGGTCCTGTTCAGCAGCAGCCCTAAGTTGAAAGCAATGGTGATGTATGAACACCAACACAGAATGGAAACCTAGAGCTTGATGCATCCAAAGTCTTCCAGGCCCAACCACCTGCCTATGTGTGCTCCATCCCGGGCCCTATCCAGTGGGATCACTTGTTCCTGCAGGGCGGTGCAGAGCCAAGGACACACAAGCCACGCTGCCCCACAGGGTCTGAAGGAGTCGCCTGCTTTCCAGTGTTGTCTCTCCTCCTGCTGAATGTCAGGAGCCCACTGACAACAGAGACTCGAGGTGAGTTTGGTAGGACACGCATATGATCTGTACATGGCGAGAGCGAGGCCTAATCCATGCACAAGTGGCTCATGTTTGTATACTTTGCCTACCTTGAAGATGTGTTTAAAACTCTACTGCTTTTCTGTACTTCAGAGAGCTTAGGCAACAAGGACAAGACATCAGATACACCTTTTTCCAAAAGTGTGCATACTCTCATTGTGGTCTAATTATAATAACAAAAAAACAGGAAGCAGCTTGAATGTCCAATGCTAGGAGATGTCTGATAAATTATGATGTCCCAGTAAGACGGGTCCCATGTAGCCAGCCACACAAGAACATGCTCACCTGTGACCTTAACTGAAGAAAGTTGGATATAAAAACATAAAAAATGAATAAGGAGCACAATCCTACTCTGTCATACAAAAACTTTTGTTACATAAAAACACCCACATATGTGCACAGAAGATATTCCCTAAAATAAAATAAAATATTACCTAAAATAAAATAAAAATAGGTAACTTTTATTTTTTTCTTAAAAATTTTCTCTAGTTTACTTTTTTAACAATAAATATTTATTATTTACATAATAAAATGTGTATGCATTTTAATTATATATATTCTATTATATATAGTATGTGTATATATATATACATATATTTGTTTTTTTTTTGAGACTGTCTCCTTTCTGTCACCCAGGCCGGAGCACAGTGGTGCAATCTCAGATCTCAGCTCCCTGCAACGTCTGCCTCCTGAGTTCAAGCGACTCTCCTGCCTCAGCCTCCTAAGTAGCTAGGACTACAGACACACACACCACCACACCCGGCTAAATTTTGTAGTTTTGGTAGAGACGGGGTTTTGCCATGTTGGCCAGGCTGGTCTCGACCTCCTGACCGCAAGTGATCCACCCTCCTTGGTCTCCCAAAGTGCTGGGATTACAGGCGTGAGCCACCATGCCTGGCCTCCTTCTGTTTTTCATTGTGAAAAGCAACAGTTCTGCCAGGGAGCCCTCTTTACAGCTATTGCCTCTCTCTCAGGCTGGTGGTTATCACATTTTCGCCGTCCCTCCAAGTCCCGGGTGGTATATGCTTTTGCTTGTTGCCTGCCCTAAGGAGCACCACTATCCCTTGTTAAAACAGTCCTCTTATTAAACTCGCTGCAGACCTCCCTCCTGCAGAGTGCCATCTGTTTCCTGCCTGGACCCTGCCTGGCTCAGTGACTTTTGTGCTCAGCCCCCAAGCTTTCTCTGGTTCTCTAGAGTCTGAATCAAGCAAACCAAGTCGCATGTTCTGTAGGCTGGAAAAGCCATTCTGCCATGTGTAAAACTGGATATTGTAAAAGAAAAAGAATCTCACAGGAAAAGAGGCATAAGAAGTAAGTAGTAGTCACCTTTTTGGGGTGACTGAATTCATAGACAAGCTGAGCAAGCAAAACACAAGGAAGAAGATCACCTTTTTTGAGCATCATTTCTTTGTCAACAAATTAAAGGGTTGAAAAAGGACCAGTCCCTCAACTTCCTTCCTTCCTGTGTTCATACCCCTGAGGGTGACCCAACATCAAGCCAGGAACACATTTTTCTCAGGCCCTCACAGTTGTCACCTCCTAATCTGGGGTCCTCATCCTAAAGATGGTTCTATGTGTCCTGACGTCAGGGCTGCTCTGAAATGTTGACCTGAGGGATGTGGGCATGAGGTCAAGTGGGAACAGCCTTGGGTACATGAGTGTAGCTAGAATGCTGGCCCAGAACCTCTGCCCAAACTCTACCTGCTATTTGGGGGCAGCCTGAAGTCTATTGCTTATTTGAAGACCTAGCTCTTCTCTGAACTCTGAAACAATTCGCCATGAATTTAGTGTACCCTTCTTTCTTTCCTGAATTAGCCTGTAAACTCCCAGATCACCTACCTTATAGGGATGTACCTCTCAGCACTTCCCAGGGTGTTGGATGCAAACAGTGCTGTGTAGACCTCAGTTGATGAACAGACATGTGAACTGTCTGGTCCATGACAATTATAATAGAGGTAATTACCTAGACTTAATAGCTAGCACATGCTTTACCCTCTATTGGCCACTATATTGTGTTTGCCCAGACAACCTCATTTAATCCCTACAAACATCCCATGAGTTAGGTAATATCCCTATTCCTATTGTATAGATGATGGAACTTAGGCTTAAAAAAGCTCAGTAACTTGCTAACAGTCACACAATTATAAATAGCAGAGACCGAAGCCCAGGTTCTTAGCCGCTCGGCCATTCTGCCTTTTTCTTTGGTGACCATCCCCACTCCTCCATAATAATGTGATGACAATTTCAGTGAACCATTCAATCACATGGGACAGGGTGCTCATGCCTTAACTGGGCACTTTGATGAGATCAAGAGACTCTGAGTTCACAAATTTCTACACCTGTGAGGGGAATAATAGGTCTCCTTCAACAGTCTTGCCCTATGCTAGGCTTCCTTCGAGTAGGTTCATACCCAACACAGACCCTTCTCTATGCTCAGAACAGCCAACATGAACCTAGAGAGACAAGCACACCTTTTCTTTTTTTTTTCTTTCTTCTTTTTTTTTTTTTTTAGACGGAGCCTCACTCTGTTGTCCAGGCTGGAGTGCAGTGGCACGATCTCGGCTCACTGCAGGCTCTGCCTCTGGGGTTCACACCATTCTCCTGCCTCAGCCTCCTGAGTAGCTGGGACTACAGGCACCCACCACCACGCCCGGCTAATTTTTTTTTCGTATTTTTATTAGAGACGGGGTTTCACCGTGTTAGCCAGGCTGGTCTCAATCTCCTGACCTCATGATCCTCCTCCCTTGGCCTCCCAAAGTGTTGGGATTACAGGCATGAGCCACTGCGCCCAGCCACACCTTTTCAAGGGGCCTCTGCCTGAACTTTTCCACAACTGTGAGCCAATCTTTTTTTTTTTTTTTCTGACTTGGTCTTCTGTTTTAACTCAGGGTAGAAGCTCTTTTGAACTCCCAATTTTAAAATGGAACAGAAAAGAGAACGGCTAAAAAATTCTGTTAAAGGTGCATTTTGGCCAAGCGGCCCAAGGGTATTTCCGTGGTTCAGAAGATTTTTTTTAGCATCCACTTTGAGAAACCCTGCAGCAGCTCCCAGTCTGTGCCAACTTAGGTTTTGGCTTAATGAGATGCAATGTTCACGCTCAAGTCAATAAAATGAGATGAAAATCATTCTTAGGCTGTGACAGTAAGATTAGGACCACAAAACCACATAAAATATTTGGTCACTAAATACTTTCTCTGATGCCCTGGGATGGAAAGTCTGACTTAAAATTTAATGAGGTGATCCTGAGATTTCAATTTTTGTAATAACATCCCTTAGGTTGATTTGTTCTCAACGTTCTCTGTCAATTGAAGAGTGTGAGCTTAGAAATCATGACCTGGGGTGGTGTGTGGGGAGCACTGCAAAGCTAAACATCAGCTGCCGAGTTAAATTTAGTTAAATTAGGGTATTGGAGAATCTGAGGAAAAGGACATTGGGTTGTGGGGTGTGGCGTTGAAAAACATACCTTTTCTAAGAACTTGGCAATTTAAATTCTGGCCACGATCAATCACATTCCTCAGGCTCAGAAAACATGGAAATGCACGCAAAAATGTTTCTTAGTTTTCCCCAGAACAGGCAGGAATTCTTTGAGATGGAAAGTAAACAGAGCTATCAGCATATCGGCCTGGGTTCAATTCACTATTTTTAACTGACTGGAAAAAGGAAAATATATGGCCCTGTTTTCTTTGCTTGAGTGATGTAAAGAGCATTTTTACAGAAATACGCATTTTCCACTAGATTTATCTGCGATAGCATCTCTCTACTGCTCCCATGAGCTGCCTGTGAGATCCATACATATCTCCTGGGCTATGAGTCTGATCAACCAAACAGGCACCAGGGAGTGGGAAACGTCCAGGCTGTTCCCCACTTGTGTCTTTTTGTTGTGGTGATGGTAAAATATACATAATATAAAATTTACCCTTTCACCATTTTTAAGTGTACAATTCATTGCCATTAAGCTCATTTATAATATACAGCAACCAGCACCTCCATCCATCTCTAGAATTATTTTCATCTTCTCAAACTGAAACTCTGTCCCCATTTTAATGGGGACCGACTCACTCCCCATTCCCCCTCCTCCCAGGCCCTGGTAACCTCTATTCGACATTCTGTAAGAATTTCCCCACTCTAGGTACCTCATATAAGTAGAGTCATACGATACTTGTCCTTTTGTATTTGGCTTCTTTCATGCAGCATATTTTCAAGGTTCATCCATATTGCAACATGTGTCAGAGTTTTCTTCCCTTTTAAGGCTGAGTAATATTCCATCATACATACATACCACATTTTGCTTATCTGCTCTTCCATTGAGGGACATTTGGATTGCTTCCACCTTTTGACTATTGATGTCTGAGTCTCTGCTGTAAATCCTTTTGGGTATGTCCCCAGAAATGAAGTTGCTGGGTCATATGGTAATTCTGTGTTTAACTTTTTGAGGAGCCACCATATAGTTTTCCAGCATTTTATGCCAGCACACTGTGCTAATTTCTCCACATCCATGCCAACACTTGTTATTTTCTGCTTGTTTTGTAACAGCCGTCATAATACATGTGAAGTGGTACCTTCCCACTGAATGTCTTTTAAAAGAAGCACAGTTCAGGATGTGTTTCAAATAGGGTGGCAGTTATATCTGCATTTTGAAGGAGTTTTTAAACTCACATCCCAGAATCTTTTCAGTATGTTTTGTAAACAACAACAACAAAGGAAGTGGAACTTAAATGAGTAAATGAAAACAGAATGAAGAGAGAAAAACAATTAGAAAGAGGAAAAGTTTAAATATCTAAATGGACCCCGCAGTGGCTTAGCTAGTGATGTATACATCTGTCCCTGCGTTGGCCTATGGGAAAGTTCACAGGTGACCCCAACACCAGCACATTTTGGTGGAGTCTGGCTTATTAGTCGAGCACTTCCTGAGAAGATTCACCAGGTACTCTCTCTAAGCAGAGGCCTTGGAAATGGAATCCCCACTCCTCCTCTTTAGGGCACGTCTCCAGGGAGAACCATTAACAACATCATACCCAGCCTGCCAGTTTGAGGGTAGACAGCTCCTCCACTGAACCAGGAGGAAGAGCAGGGTACACGACACAAGGGCAGGGCTTACATCCACGTAGTCACAGAGGCAACTGCCTTTCTGCCTTGCTCTCATTTCTCCCAATTCCTTAAAAACAAAGAGCACTCCCTACCTGTGATCTTCATCCCAGCACGATCATGTACACTGGGGAAGTTGTCTCAGCTTATAGACAAGGAACCTGAGGTCTGAGAGGCGAAGTGACTGCCGAGGTGACCCAGGACAGCACAATGAGCTGAGTTTTGTTCTGCTGGCTTGGTCTTGAATGACAGGTGGAGCTAGGGGAGTACACTGTCCATCCCGGAACCAAGCCAACTCCACCCCCAACCGGAGAGATCCTCCTTCATTTTTCCCCCACACATGAGTGCAATAGTCCTAAATCAGAGGACAACACCGGACATCTGTCTCACCAAGCTCATGCAACTATATCAAGAACATCCTGTGTGATGCCCCTGGGGTTTAAAAGCTAGCACTGTTCATGTAGTTTCAAAGTGGTCTACAATGCCAGGTCCCATGGAATTGAAATCTATCCCATAGCCCGTTGAGAAAAACAGTAACTGGAATCACTGTGCTTCAGTCTCTGGGGATTCATCGTGGCCTCCTAGTCTTTGTTGCCATTAATTGTTTTATGACATTGTTTAAATTAAGTCACTTAACTTTCAGCTTCTTCAGCTATTGCAAGCTTTCCGGGATAACAGAGCACGTGTTCTTCTTCTCAGAGCATCTCCCATGCTTAGCACAGGTGACTCACTAGTGAAGGCCAGTTGTAACTTCTGTGTTATCCTTGGGCCCCAACTCCCCCCCAATCACTTTCTGCCTTCCCACACTTATATAAGTTCAGACCTGCTGTTTCATCTTAAATCTGGATGGCACACAGCACAGCTAAGACGCTCAAGCAAGTAAAAATGCATGCTGTTTGGCGAGTCATGTAATCATACAGGTACTTTTTGATCTTCAAGTATAAGATTTGAGTGGATTAATTTTTAAATGAACCATGTGTCTGTATCTGAATATAGAATTACAGTAAGGATGACATAGTAGAACTTCACTTAAAGTTGGTGACTAATGGAGCACTAGACCTAACTCACTTGTGCAAATTAGAATAGATTGGTAGGCTTGGGCCATGGGGTAAGTATATCAATTTGTATCAGTTTGCTAGGGCTGCCATTATTAAGTACCACAGACTGAGTGGTTAAACAACAGAAATGTATTTCCTCACAGTTCAGGAGGCTGTAAGTCTGGCTGGTTTCTTCTGAGGCCCCTCTCCTTGGCTCATAGATGCTGTTTCCTCCATGTGTCTTCACATGACCTTCTCTCTGTGTGTGTCTGTGTCCCAGTCTCCTCTTTTTACAAGGAGACCAGTCAGACTGGATGAGGGCCCATTCTAAAAACCTCATTTCAACTTAATTACCTCTTTAAAGACCGTGTGTCTAAATATGGTCACATTCTGAGATAGGTGTTGAAGTTAGGACATGAACACATGGATTTTGGGGAGACACAATTCAGGTCATAACACAATTAAAATGTAGATGCAAGGAAATTATTAAAGATTTGAAAAAACAGAATGATAATGGATTATTATTTGAAAAAAACGGAATGATAATGGATTATTATGTGGTACTTCAGCCAGATACTGAGAGTAGAAGGAGCCCGTAGGCAGTGTGATGCCACATTTCCTATGTGCGGCAGCTCAGATGTTAGGGAGACTTGGGTCTAGGATCTGTCTCCAATACTGCCAGCCACATGGAGATGAAAAGTTTGACAAGGAGAGAAACATGAGAGGCAGTTTTCACATCTATTAAAGAGAGATGATAACAGTATCTCCCCTGTAAGCTTGTTATGAGGATTAAAATAAGGAGCCTAGACCACTGTTTAAGTGAGGGGTCATGAAACAATGAACCCAGACCAACATTCACACTTTAGTTTGAATCACCTAGTGATCTGGCTAGAAAGCAGATGCTGACTCAGTAGGTCTGGGCCTGAGACTCAGCACTTCTTTTTTTTTTTTTTTATGAAGTCTCACTCTGTTGACTAGGCTGGAGTGCAGTGATGCAATCTCTGCTCACTGCAACCTCCGCCTCCCAGGTTCAAGCAATTCTCCTGCCTCAGCCTCCTGAGGAGCTGGGATTACCGACGCATGCCACCACGCCCAGCTAATTTTTGTATTTTCAGTAGAGGCAGGATTTCACCATGTTGGCCAGGCTGGTCTGGAACTCCTGACCTCAAGTGATCCACCTGCCTTGGCCTCCCAAAGTGCTGCGATTAGAGGCGTGAGCCACCGCGCCTGGCCAGACTCTGCACTTCTAACCAGCTCACTGGTGGCGTAGATAAGGCTGAACTGGGGCCTTCTGGAGCCTTGGGGTCTAAGATACTTCACCCTGTGCCTGATAGACAGGTAATGTACACGCAGTAGAGAGAGCTGCTATAAATACTACTCCTACCTCCATGTTGAGCTTAATAGAAACCTAGTCCTCAGACTTTTCATTCCTCTTTGATTGGGCTACTCTTAATGGGTGAAGCACAGGCAGGCCACCCTCTTCTACCCACAAATATTTTCCAAGTTAATTAAGAACACACGGAGAATAAATCTATGAATCCCTTGGGCTCTGGATTTCTGATGACAGTGTTTAAGGCATGAGCTTGGGTCCAGGGTCTGGTCATTAAAATTTTGTTTATTTATTCCAATGATGATCATTAATGACCAATTGCTGAGCCTTCTCTGTTCCCCTTTGGAGTCAGCATAGACTTCAAAGGCAAACTGGCACAAAATGTTAGCCTGCACCCTCTGATTGCTCTTCCCTCTAATCCCTCTATACGGCCCCGCCTCCCCAAATCTTGATCCTCTGAGTCTGCATTGCCTTGGCAGCTCTCTGATAACTTCAGATAGATTTTCTATTATCTTGTCCAGTTTTGTTTTTTTTTTTTTTGAAATGGAGTCTTCCTCTGTCACCCAGGCTGGAGTGCAGTGGCACGATCTCGGCTCACTGCAACATCTACCTCCTGGGTTCAAGTGATTCTTCTGCCTCAGCTTCCAGAGTAGCTGGGATTACAGACACATGCCACCACATCTGGCTAATTTTTGTATTTTTAGTAGAGATGGGGTTTCGCCATGTTAACCAGGCATGTCTTGAACTTTTTGTCTCAAGTGATCCACCCATCTGGGCTTCCCAAAGTGCTGGGATTACAGGTGTAAGCCACCATGCCCGGCCTGCTTTTCTGGTGTCCTTGGAAAGGTGGGTCTGGAACATTCTGGTCAGCCATGGCTGGAGAATATAGTATTACACACTGAACATAGAGATATTAGTGATTCTTGGGATGTGAATTGTGGCTATGTTATTTTTGAGAGTTTCCTTAAATTAAATAGTTTTTTTAAAAAACATCAGAAATCATTTGTAAGAAAAGAATCCCATCTTTGCTCTCTGTGTGAAGATGCAGTTAAAGTGCCCCAGAAGAAGGCAAATTATGACTCTAACTGATGATAAACGTCTATAAAGACAGAAATGTTAGGGAGGTTTGGGGAAGGAGGAGAGAATACCATTTCTAACCATGATAGAGTCAGTAGTATTAGACTATCCCTCCTGCTGAAAACAATAAAAGCTGGAAAACATACAGAATAAACTGTTTGAAGGTATTGAAATGCAATGAACAGCAGCAGGACCAAACATGAGGCAATCCTCGAGAGGAGGAACCCTCTGTGGGGAACTGGCCTCTTTCCTTAACCTTATTTGCCAGTTCTCTGCCTGGGTGAGCAGGATGTTCAGAGTCCCACTGGGCTGAAGAAAGAGAGGTTGAAGTTCAGGGCTAGAAAAAGGTCTAAAGCGCATCAACAAAGGAACTGCAGAGAAATGAACCTTCTATACACACTTTCCCTTGAAACATTTGCCAGCTCTTAAGGTGTAACAGGCAAGACTAAGAAACCAACAGAAATTTGCAACTTGGAGGTTAAAGAGATAATCAGGGATTCCAGCAGCCACAAGGTGCTGGGGAGACAGAGATGGAGTTTAAGACTTAGGAAGGAGGACAGGCATTGGTATTACTGAATCTCAGTTGAGCCCCCAGAAGGGCCCTATCTTAGGAATAAGGGCTACACTACAGAGGCAAGGGCAACACTGAAACAGACCAATGCTGTCTGCATAAAATTAACTGTGACAGGGTCATGGCGGTCAGCAGGCATGCTCTCTGCCTGCAGGTGGAAAATTAATCCAACCACAGAAAGGCATCTTTCAGACCCCCTGTGATTTTCAATATGCAATATCTGTAATTCAGAATAAATCACAAATCATACTACAATTAAGACCAAATGACAGAAAACCAAGAGACGAGAAAAAAGTGAAAATATAAAGTCTTGCAGGTAATTTATTGAGTTATCAGATTTTAAAATAACTATGATCAATATGCTATAGTTAAATGAACAGTTTTCTCATAAGATTAGACTCAGTATAAGAAAGGACTAGTGAACTAAAGACAGGATAAGCAAAAGTATTCAGATTGAAGCATGGAGAGGAAAAAAGATGGAAAACACAAAATGGGACAAGAAAGACAGGGGACATGATGGAAAGGGCTAATGTATGGATAATTGGATTACCAGGAGAAGAAGAGGAAAGACAGAGAATGGGACAGAAATGATATAATTTTTAAAAATATTGCTTAAAAATACTGTCTGCAAAATTAATAAAAGACCAAAAGCCATAAATTCAAGAATCTTGGAGAATGCAGGCAGATAAATATAAAGCCAACAAAATCTAGTCACATCATAGTCAAATGGTTGAAAATGAAAGATAAAGGAAAGTTTTAAGAGAATACATAATAAAAATATGCATTATCTTTAAAACAGTAAAAGTAAGACTGATGACTGATTTTTTAATAAAAGTCTGGCCAGTTATCTGGCCAGAAGACAATGACATCTTTATTGTGTTGAAAAAAATGCCAGCAAGACTTTTTTTTAACATAACACCCTCATTAAAAAAAGTATTAGATGGAATTTTTTAGGCAGAAAGAAAATGATTTTAAAAGAAATTATAAAAATACAAAAAGAAGTAGTGAGCACCCTTACCCTGTAAGAGCAAATATGAAGGCAAATAAAATTAATAATAATAATAACTATGAGTTTGAAATATAGGTACAGTATATGACAACAATAGCACACACACAAAAAAACAGGAGGGGTGTAAATGAAGTTAAACTGTTTTAAATTTCTTGCGTTATTCAGAAACAGGTAAAAGTACTAATTTAAGATAGGCTATACTAAGTCAAGGATGCATTCTTAATCTCATGGTTAATCAAGAAAATAATACAAGAATGTATAAGTAACAGGCTAATAGATTAAAAATATGGAATAAAAATGCTTATTGATAAATAAGGTAATAAGGAAAAAATAAAAGAACAAAGAAGAGAGAAGACAAATGGAAAAAATTAGCAAGATGATAGACAAATCTAAACATTTCTGCAGTTGCATTAACTGTGACTAGATTAACATTGAGATTAAAAGATAAAAATGCCAAATTGGATTTTAAAAACATCATTATTTACTGATTATAGAAGACACATCTTAAATATAAAGACACAGATAGGATAAAAGTAAATGGATAGAAGAGATACCAAGCAAATGCTGACCAAAGTAAAGTTAGTGCAGATAAATTATCAACATGTAAAGTAAATTTTAAGAAAAAAAGAGTTACTAGTGGTAGAGACATTTCATAATGATTAAAATACCAAATCAACAGGAAGATATAACAGTCCTAAACTGCTATGCAAAGGATAACATAGCTTTAAAATATATGAGGAAAAGGTAACAGAACTAAAAAGAAACAGACACACAAAATTATAGTTGGAGATTTTAACATACCTCTCTCTGGGACTGTGACAAGTGGACAAAAAAACCACGAAGAATGTAAAAGATTGAGCAACACAAAAAACCATCTAGACTTATTTGATATATGTAGAATAATTCAAACAACAACGATAGAATACAAATTTTTCATGACCACAAAGAACACATATCAACATAGACCATATTCTGGGCCATAAAGCAAGCCTCAACAAATTTCAAAAGGCTGAAATCACATACAGTATATTGTTTGATCACAATGGAATTGAACTTGAGATCAAAAGGAAAAAGAAAACTGTTAGATCAATACATATTTGGAAAATAAGAAATACATTTCTAAATAGCCTATAGGTAAAACAAAAAATGGAAAAGAAATTAGAAATATTTTGAACTGGCTCATAATGAAAATATATCACATCAAAACCTGTGAGTTGAAGTTAAAGCAATGTTTAGAGGACAATATATAGCACTAACTGCATATATTATAAAAGAATAAATGTTGATAATTAGCAATTTAAGTTTCTGTCTCAAGAAGCTGGTAAATGAACATAAAAAATAAACCAAAAATGCCTGGGACTAAATGCACATCTTAAAAAGAGGAGAAATGTTGAAAAATCAATTCTCCTAATAGAAGAAACAATATTATAAAATAAATCAGTTAAATGAAAAACAAGCACACAACAAAAAAAATCGACAAAACTAAAATTTGATATTTTGAAGACTTACAAAATTAGTAACGCCCTGTCCATACTACTCAAGGAAAAAAAATGGGTAAAAACACAAATTGCCAATACAAGAAAATGAGAATGGAATATACAGATGTTAAAAAGATAAAAAAGAATGTGATAAACAACTTCATATCACTACATTTGACAATTAAATAAAATGCTCAAATTTCTTAAAGACAATTTATCAAAATTGACTGAAGAAATTTGAAAAAAGTACAATCCTTGTAAACCAGTTAAATCTGCAATTAAAATCTTGTCCCCATAAGAAAACAATAGGCTCTAATAATTCACTGCTGAATTCATCAAACATATAAGGAAGAAATCATATTAATCTTACAAAAGCTTTTCAGAAATTATAAGATAAAAGAAGTTTTATTAACTCATGTCATGAAGCTAGCATAACCTCTATACCAAAATGTGCCATGGACATTACAAAAAAAAATTATAGACCAACATGTCTCACAAACTCAGATACAAAAATTCTGAACAAAATATTAGCAAATTTAATACAGTGATATTTTTAAAAGATGATGAAGCAGACCAATAGTGTTTATTCCACAAATTAAAAAATTCAATAATTTATTCAAAATAAATAATATAATTCACTATATTAATTGAATAAAAGATAAAATTCATATGATCATCTCAAATGATGCCCAACAAACCATTTGTAAAATTCATCACCTAATCAGGTTTTAAAAATTGGCAAAAGAGGGGAATTTCCTTATTGTAAAATAGAAAGTCTACAAAATACCTATAGTAAATATTATAATTGTAAAATATTGAATACTTTCACTCTGAATTTGACTAAAACAAGAATGTTCACTAACATTACTTCAATTTACATAGTGCTAGAGGCCCTAGTGAGAGTGATAAGCAAGACAGAAATAAAAATTTAAATACTGGAAAGAAGAACTACAACTGTCATTACTCTCAGATGATATGATTGTGAATGTAGAAAATAAAAAACTCCATAGATAAATATTAGAATGTGTTTATAAGGTCATTAAATATAAAATCGACATAGAAAAATGCATTGTATTTCTATACTAGCAATAGACAATTAGAAAATGAAATTTAAAAGAATACTGCCACTTATAAATATCAATAATTTTTTTTTTTTTTTTTAAGATGGAGGAGTCTCCCTCTGTTGCTCAGGCTGGAGTGCAGCTGTGTGATCTTGGCTCACTGCAACCGCCGCCTCCCGGGTTCAAGTAATTCTCATGCCTCAGCCTCCCAAGTAGCTGGGATTACAGGCATGTGCCACTATTCCTGGCTAATTTTTGTATTTTTAGTAGAGATGGGGTTTCACCATGTTGGCCAGTCTGGTCTCAAACTCTGACCTCAAGTGATCTGCGTGCCTTGGCCTCCAAAAGTGCTGGGATTACAGGTGTGAGACACTGCACCTGGCCCTCAACATTTTTAACAAGCCTGTTAATAACTGCAACTCAAAATGTGTAATTCTTCACCAACTTTTACAGAATATTGATGAGAAACATTAAAACTTACATAAGTGTTCTTGAATTGGAAGACACAATATTATTATGATGACAGTTCTCTCAAAATTCATCTATAAATGTATTTTGTAATCTCATATAAAATACTAACAGATTCTTTGTTGAAACCTGACAAGGTGATTTTAAGTTCTATGTGGAATTGCAAAGGGCCAAGAAGAGCTGAGACAATTTTGAAACGCACACACACAATGCAGAAAATAGTCAGAGGTCTTCCTGATATTAAGATTTCTTATAAAGCTATAGTAATTAAAATAGCATGCTATTGGTACAAGGCTAGAGAAATAAATCAATAGAGTAGAAAAAGTTCAGAAACATACCCACACAAAAGGGCCACCTGATGTACCATAAAGGTGCAACTTTAATGTTGTAAGGGAAATGAGAGCCTTTTCAATAAATGGGGCTGGGTCAACTGGCTACTTATGAAAAAACATGAGTCTTGACCTCTATCTCACACCACAGACAAAAAAATAAAAATCAGTTGCAGATGGATTGTGAGCCGGAATGAAAAGGGTGAAACAGTAGTTTCTTTAAAAATGTAGAGTATCTTTATGACCCTTGAGTTAGGCAAAGAGTTCTCAAACTGTACATGCAAACCACTAACCACAAATAAAAGTTTGAAAAACTGTTTTTCACTAAAATGAACAATTAAGGGCACCATTTAGAGACTGAAACATCAAGCCACAGACTAGAATAGATATTTGCAGCCATATACTAAAGACAAAGATGAATATTAAGCAGATATTTTTAAAAACTTCTTTAAGTAAATAAGAAAAAGGCAGACAAATCAGTTTTTAAGCCTGGGAAGGAGTTGAACGGGCACTTTACAAAAAGAGGATAACCAAAATGCCAAAATCCTTATGAAAAAACAGTTCAATGTCATTAGGCCATTAAGAAACACTAGAACCGCAAGAAGACATCTGTTAGGCATTAGAAAGATTGGCAGTACCCAGTGTTGGAGAGAATATGGAACAATTAGAAGTCTTATACAATGCTGGTGGGTGTGTAAACTCGTACAAGTGCTTATGTATTAAAACTAAATATATGTCTACCTTATGGCCTAGGAATTCCAATCATAGGCAAATATCCAAGTGTGCATGTTTTTACCAGAAGACATGTTTGAGTATGTTCATAGCAGCTTTATGTATACTACCTCAAAACTATCAAGGACTCAGATGTCCATCCATAAATGGTGGTATAAAATGCAATAAAAGGAACAACTTACAGCTACATGTAACAGGAAAAGAAAAGCCCTTTCAATAAATGGTGCTGGGTCAACTAGCTGCTGTCTATGCATGAATCACAAGACATGTTGAGTGAAAGAATACATACAGTATGAGACTGTAGGGTCAACACACCTGACAGCAAGAATTTAAGCATACCCTTAGAATGACCCTGCATGGAAGACACACTTGAATGTGTGCTCCAAGCTAGGCAATCCAGGAGTGACCGACCCTGAGATTTGTTCCTTACCCAGACAAAAATCTCAGGCCCTGTCCTGTCTTGGCCTACAGGGGACTGAGGCCCTGAGTTTTGGGTTAAATGAAGGTGGTTGACAGGTGGAGGTCATTGGGAGGAGGGTGCTAAGTGAAAATGCGGTATAAACTACATGTTTGCAGATGCTTGCAGTTTTCCTGCCTTGGCCCCCCGCCACTGGACTCTCCCCTGTGTTTAAGCCCCTGATAAAACCCCATGTCTCATTTCCTGGCTCTGGGTCTCTTCGTCACCCTCTTGAACCTGTAGCCTTCCCTACTGAGGTTCATAGGGGTTTGGCATGAAAGATACCCTCTACATAAATTTTGAGAACAGGCAAAATTACTTTATGGTGATGGAAGTCAGCATTGTGCCTATGTTGAGGGGGGATTTGATTGTGTAGGGGCCAAAGACCTGCATCTTGATCTGGAGTTTTTTCTCTTATTTTTGAGACAGGGTCTCACTGTGTTGCCCAGGCTGGAGTGCAGTGCTGAGTTTCTGCTCACTGCAGCCTCAAGTGATCCCCCCACCTCAGCCTCCCAAGTAGCTGCGACTACAGGTACACAAAATCATGCTTGGTGAATTTTAAAAATTCTTTTTATAGAGACAGGGTGTTACTATATTGCTCAGGCTGGTCTCAAACTCCTAGGCTAAAGTGACCCTCCGACCTCAGCCTCCCAAAATGCTTTACAGGCATGAGGCCATCACATCTGGCCTTGATGTGGAAATTTATCAAATGTCCACGTAAGGCTGGTGCCCTTTTTTACTGAGTTTATGTTGTGTCTTAATGATTAAATATTGTTAATAAAGAAGTCTTCCTCCCTGAAATCCCCTCCCCCCATCCTTTATCCAAACTCTCTTTTTGGATCTCAGTTTTCAAGGTCTTACTTGTGCTTTTCTGCTCAATTTCATTCCAGTTAAATGTTAGATCCGTGGTATTCATTCTACCCTAATCAACCCACACCTGGTTTGTTGAAATCCTTATAGGTCCAAGGCCACTGTCAGGCATGAGTGTGCAGCATGGCAGTCGTACAGCACCCTGTGCCTAGAAGGGTTTAATGCTCTGCCGTCACCAACTTGAAGTTCTTAATTTTGGAACAGAAGCCTCCAATTTCATTTTGCACAGAACCCTGAAAATTATGTAGTTGGCCCTGCATGCAGGCATTTTCATCCTCAGAAGGCACAGAGGTCGGTTCATGTTTTCAACCGTGGCTGCTCATTAGAATAACCAAAGTTCCAGAGATTCTGAGTTAATTGGATGAGGGTGAAGCCGAGGCATGAGGAGTTTTAAAACTCCCAGCTGATTCTAATGCTCAGCCAAGGCTAAGAATGGCAGATCCAGTTGGAGAGGTCATGCCAACGCAATGGTTTACCAAATATCTGGAGGGCTTAGAGGATGGAGGGATCACTTTGGGCTTCGGGTTGGAGGTGAAAGCCTGATGTGAGTTTATGGGGTGAGTTTATGGCGAGAAGTCAAATGCTTAATGTGATGGCGTTCCAGGCAGTGGCACCTGTGGGCCCAAGAGCTGCAGGCAGAGATCCCTCTGGATAGGAACAGCGCTCAGAGCCTCCTTCCTCAGCCACCATTCATGTTCTCTCATCAGCCAGTGAAAACCTGCCGATTCTCTTTTGTAATGAAGCTGTAAAGGTATGAACGAGAAAACGATGGACTTAGTCTCCAGTTGATTTTGAGAAGAGAAGGGCTCTGAGGTTTCAGATGTGGGTGCCCAGCTTGGTGGCTGCCGTGGAGGAAGGAGTGCCAGACTGCACATCAGAAGGCAGAGTTTCTAGTTCTCATCCTACCCCTGGCCACCCAAGACGCTTGCCCAATTCTTTGGGCCTCAGTTTCTCATAAAAACTGGACTGATTTGATCTGGAAGTAATTTTCCATTCCCACACGGCCATAAATGTATGGTTTGTATCTTATTTCTTGGATATCTTTATTGTCTTATAAAGTTATCGATTATAGACTATTTATATGGGTCAGCGATTATAAAGCAATTGAAGTCTCATAAAATAGGAAGTCCATGGACAGAATCCAGCCAGTAGAGGTTTTTTTTTAGCCTGAACAATATTATTTTTTTCAAAAATGTGTTGTCCACATTATGAGATTTCATATTAAAATGCACATTTACAGTTTCTCTTGAAACAACAGGAGATCTGGCAACTCTGGGCCTGCTTTGGGCAATTCTTGCAGACACTGGTGCTCAGGAGGGGCTGCCCTTTTGGACAGAGCATGCACTTGCCAGCTCACCCCAGTCCTCACCACTCCCTATTCTATCCCAGTGGCCTCGTTGACTTACACTAGCAGTCATATCCCTAGCGGTGCATTCAAGTTCCTTCATGCACTGAGGATTTCTTGAGGACTCCTTCAACTGAATATTCATTGCCTGCTTCTTGCTGGCTTAAAATTAGAATTAGGTTTCGTTAGAAATGACAGTCTAATGGTATTAGACATTATTCCATTCCCTCGTTTGTCTCGTCTGACTGTGACCACAGAGCACGTCTCTGCTCTCCAGCCTCAAAGATGATATGACCTCTCTTCGGACATACTGGCTCTAAGAAAACAAACAAAAACTTGGTAATTGGGGCTTCTGCAGGAATGTATGTTCATTTCCATCTTCCTGTAATCCACTGCATTCTTTAGGCCCTCTGAGTCTTCTAAACATTCAGGCCAAGTGATCTTCAAGTTATTTTTCTAACCACAATTATCCAAATCCTGTTTTGTTTTCTCTCTTCTTTCCAAGTGTTCAGTTGGCGTCACTTAGGCTTTGTTGGAGGCAGCTGAGTCTTTCAGGGTCGGGGTGTTTTCCTTGGTTGTGGTCTGAAGGCGATTGGTGGGATAAGAGGTCAGCCCACGGCTTCCATCCTCACCACTACAAGGCCACCTGCCAGAGGCGCCTCACCCCTGACCTTCTCCCAAGGATGGCCAGGGCATGAGGAGGACTGGAGAAAGGAACCCAGGCTGCCCCACCCACCACAGCGGGGCCCTCGGTGAGACTGGTCCGTGGTTGTTTTCTGTGTTGGTCACGGATCCCTCCCCATGCCTTCACCCTTTCCTGCACGTCAGGCGGGAGCCAGTCACTGCCGTCTGAGAGGCACAGCTTGGGCAGAATGCTTCAGGCAGCCCCTGTCGTGAGGACAGCGAAGGGCACCCTTGGGCTCCATTTGTGCTTTGATGAGAACTGCAACTTTGTATCCAGTGTCCAAGTCTGAAGTGATCCGTGATCCTGGCAGACTCGGGTTTGTGATTAGAAGTGCACAGAACATGAGAAATCATTAAGGAGTGGAGGAACATTTTGGAGTGTGGCCTGTCACAGGGAAAGAGTCCTGTGTCCCCTTCGTCAAGCTGACCAGGCCACCTCCAAACCACCCAGTCTCCACTCTCACCAGCCACCACCCCTCCTGTCATCCTTCTTGGAGGGTGGGGAGGGACGGCAAGGTTCTTTCTTCCACCTTTATATTTTCTTGTAAATATAAAACCTTTGCCCCTAAAGGAGGCCACTTGTAAAGAAAGGCTTAAGAAGTGACCTGAAAATAAAACCACAGCTGCCCAATCCACACTGAGGAAGGGGTGGAGAGGTGTCAAATGTTGTGCAGGGCACAGCAAGCCCACTCCCCAGGGCTGCTGTCTTTCCACGACCCTCTCACTGGCTCCTCTTGAAGTCTATGCACTTGGAGTGAGGCCACGTTTCTGCTTTTTCGATGATGAAAGCTGCTGCAGATCCCCTATCTGTGAAGTCATTTGGCAGAATCTGCGTGTTGTTGATATCAGCCATTGAAGTGAAGTCTCTTAAAATAGGCTTCTGGGACTCCGGGCACCGATGTCCTCAAAGCTCAGTGACACCAGCAGCTAAGAGACCTTGCGTAAAAATAGCCAGGGGTGAGCAGGTGGCACTTGCCCCTGACGCATGCTCACCACCTCCTCTCAGCTGTCAGCACCTCTGTCCTCTGATGTCCCACCTTCTCCCTATTATCCACCCCTTCTTCTCCCACTTGGTCCCCTCCTTATAGCAGAGCCACTGAATGATTCCTGGCCAAGGACCAATAAAACCTGGCCGTCAGATTTCCCTGTGCCTAGCATTTGGGAGACTATGGCACATCAAGTTAGATGTTTTTTATTTAGAAAAATGATATAGGTGGACCAGGCGTGGTGGCTCATGCCTGTAATCCCAGCATTTTGGGAGGCCAAGGTGGGTGGATCGCTTGAAGTCAGGAGTTTGAGATCAGCCTGGTCAATATGGTGAAACCTTGTCTCTACTAAAAATACAAAAATTAGCTGGACGTGGTGGTGTGTACCTGTAGTCCAAGCCACTAGGGAGGCTGAGGGAAGAGAATTGCTTGAGCCCGGGAGGTGGAGGCTGCAGTGAGCCGAGATTGCACCACTGTACTCCATTCAGGGCAACAGAGGGAGACTCCTCTGGAATGAATGAATGAAGGAAGGAAGGAAAGAAGGAAGGAAGGAAGGAAGGAGAATGCAAGGGAAGGGAAGGGAAGTGAAGGGGGAGGGACGGAGGATAGACAGAAGGAAGGGAGGCAGGGAGGAAGGAAGGAAGGAAGGAAGGAAGGAAGGAAGGAAAGGAAGGAAGGAAGGAAGGAAGGAAGGAAGGAAGGAAGGAAGGAAGGAAGGAAGGAAAGGAAGGGAGAGAGAGAGAGAAAAAAAGAGAAAGAGAAAGAAAGAGTGAAAGAGAAAAAAGGAGAAAGAAAAAGCAAAGAAAGAAAGAAAGACAGACAGAAAGAAAAGGAAGAAAGAGTATTTAGGCTGTGTCTACAGGTATCATAACCTCCAAGATTAGGACAGAAAATATAACTGAGAATAGCCTACCAAGTAGGACACCTTAAACTTGATTAAGTTTTGAGGCAGCTGGTTGTTGCTACTGCTGTTGTTTTTCCAGGACTTTAGTAATAATCTCTCCCTCCTCATTTCTGAGCAAGTATTAAACAAACCCTTATCAAGCTGGCATTCCTATCTCACCAGGGCTACCATGTCCTGCTGTGCAGAGTGTGCACTGCTCAAGGCCAGACAGCACCGTTCCCATCAACGAGGAGATTAATAGGGTCCCCTGGCCTTGTGTAGTGTGGCAGCCCTACCACCCATAATTTCCTTGTTGTCTTCTCCCCAGTTCTTTCTGTTCTACAGATCCTGATAGAGTGATCTGGTAGGTAGGAACAGAGGCCTTCAAGATATGGGGAATTTGAATTAAAAGGAACTCCCTTATTCCTTCCCTCTGCCCTATTTCAAGTGTTTTTGTCACCCAGACCATCTCTTTGCTTTCCCTTTAAATATTTCCTTTTAAATCTTTTAAAATCCCTAATATCACTTTGATCTAAGATGTTATTGATCTTGTTGTAGGAAGTCTGAGAACACTCTAAGGGCTATTGACAAAAGTGAGTTCTCACCTTGGCCACACTTATTCCCCTAATCTCATCCTCTTCTCTCTCTCTACCTGAGAAAGATAAAAAATGTGGAAGCGATTCACTGTCAAGAGAGACTGCCTGGGATTCTAACAGCAGAGTGGCATCAATATTAATTGAAAGCTCCTTCAGCTGGAAGGGATCTGAGAGGTCATCTATGACCCTTTACCCAGTGAGAGGAATCCAATTCTTCTTGATTATGTTTGTGACTAAACACTCATCATCTCACCGGATAGTTCAGTCCATTGTTGACTTTGTCTTATCGTTTGATACTCTTTGAGCCAAAATTATACTGAACCAGAATCAACTGGCTTTCTGGCTGGAAGTCCCTACCATGTGTCGAGCAAAGCACTGGCAGCTGGGGACACAGAGGTAAATTAAAGATACATGCTGCCTCCCACGAGGTCACAGCCAGTGACTGTTCCACAAAGGGACAACCACAATGAAATAGGCAGAACATGAGGAGAGTACCCAGCAAAGCCTCAAATTCAGCTGAAAGTTCTGCAGGTGACTGAACTGGGTTTTGAATGTTTTGTTTTCCAGAAACACTCATTACAAGTTACACTTCATCTACATAACAGCTCTGTAATTTTTATAATAATAATTGTATCCCACCTTTATCTTCTTGTATTATAGTTTAACATCCTCATTGACTTCAGCCATGTCCTGTAGCACATGAATTTTTTTTTATTACGAGGGTTTTCCCTATCTAACATTCTCTTGGAAATGTTAAACCCCAACTGAGCCCAGTATTCCCAACGGGGCAGTGTGCAGAGAACCATTATTTCCCATTGCCTTGGTGTTCTAGTCATGTGGCCAATGAGTAGATTCCTGTATTTTGGAGGTCATTGTTTGATGGTTAAAACTTAACCCCCTCCTGCCCAAATGTTTTCTGGATAAACAGCTACAAAGCCAGGGACTCTACTTATTTTTTTCAATTAAAGCAGCTTAGAATGACCCACTTATGTGCCTTCTGCTTGGCACTTGTGCTGCATTACTGTGGCCTGCAGTTCACCTTGCCAATGTCAATACTTCTCTGAATGAAATCAAATTGCCTTGCAACTTGGAACTTGGACCCACCTGTTCTCCTTACTTTCACCGTCATCATGGAGACCTTTGCATCTGAGTCATAGGTCTCATGTCTTCCTGGAAGACATCAGAATAATTTTACACAACATATAATGGAAAGGGACAATTCCATGCTTTACTTCTCAACTCCTATTCCCAGAGACAATAACTTCAAATTCTTTTATCTGCTTCTTCTAAACCAGGTAGTACAAACAAGTTATTTGATAAAATGGAACACTTAGCTCCATTTATCAAGTAAGTTGTTTATACTACTATTTCTTGCTTTTAACATTTTTCATATGTTTCTTGATTTTAAAATGTTATTTAGCTCTTACCGTCTTGTTCTTGTGGGAAATAAGGTATTGATTAATTTAAACCTCACTATCTTCCTCACGCTCTCCTCTTTCTTTTGCCTTCCCATGCTTTCAATATGGCGTTAGCAAACATTTTTGTGAAATCAGTGTATGGTGATTATCATTATGACTCTGTGAATATTATACACACTGAGCCTTGGTTCTGTTTTTGTTTTGCCATGACTCTATTTCCTTTCTTGTTGTGTTTTATAGATTTAACAATTAACTCATTTTTTCCTTATTTGCTTGCTTATTATCTGTCATTAATTCATTTTCAAATTCTGCACTGGGAATGTACATCTCCTAACAAACTGAGAGTCTATCAGTTTAATCCAACCCACCCTTTTTCACATCCTTTCTAGAGTCCCCCTGTCATCCTGTTCCAAACTGCACTGATTGCGTTCTAGCTGCAGAATTTCTTTTCATCTCCCTTGTGAGAATTCCTTTTCCTTTCTCCTGGGTTGTATCTCTTGATTCCTGGATCTTAAACCTTCTTTTTTAATTTTTTTGAACATTTACTCATTTTGGTAGAATACTTTCTTACATAGCTTCTTCTTTTTTTGTTTAATGTTTTATTTTTGTTTTAAGTTCTGGGGTACGTGTACAGGATGTCCAGGTTTGTTATATAGGTAAATGTGTGCCACAGTGATTTACTGCACCTATCAACCCAGCATGCATTAGGTATTAAGCCCAGCATGCATTAGCTATTTTTCCTAATGCTCTCCCTCCCCCGACCCCACCCCTGACAGGCCCC
Organism: Homo sapiens; assembly: GCF_000001405.40. NCBI lineage: Eukaryota > Metazoa > Chordata > Mammalia > Primates > Hominidae > Homo > Homo sapiens. The sequence goes on from NC_000002.12 coordinate 105,492,280, forward strand.
AGTGTGTGTTGTTGCCCTCCCTGTGCCCATGTTTTCTCATTGTTCAACTCCCACTTATAAGTGAGAACATGCAGTATTTGGTTTTCTTTTCCCACCTTAGTTTGCTGAGGATAACGGCTTCCAGCTCCATCAATGTCCCTGCAAAGAACATGATCTTATTCCTTTTTATGGCTGCATAGGATTGCATGGTGTATATCTTACATAGCTTCTTGAGAAAGACTGCATGGGCAATAAAATCTCTGATATTGTGAATGCTCAAGTACTTTAGTCTGTGCACACATATAACTGTCATTTGGCTAGGTATGGAATTCTAAGATGGAAATTATTTTCCTTCAGGATTTTGAAGGTATTTCTCCATTGTCCTCTAAGTTCCAGTTCATTGTTGAGAAATTGAATGCCATTTTCATTTGCATCTGTTGAATTTTGCCTGGTTAATTTTACTTCTTTCTTTCTGGAGAAATGTAGAAGTCCTCTTTGTCCCTGGGGTTCTGGGGCTCAAAGTTTACCATGATGAGTCTTGGTTTGAATCACTTGGGATTCTTTCAGTCTTGAAACATGTCACATTCAGTTCTGGAAAATTTTCTTGTGTTTTATCTTTGATTATTTTCCCACCTCCATTTTCTCTATCTGCCCTTTTTAGAAGTTCTAATATCTTCAATGGATCTACCAATGTTCCTATTTTTTCTTTTCTATTTTCTCTATTTTTTGCCTTTTTATTCTGTCCTTTAGGACATTTCTTCAATTTTTAACTTTCAATCCTTCTAACTGAATTTTATTTCTGCTATCACAATTTTATTTTTTTTAAAGCTCCATTTTGGTCTTTGAATGTTTCTTTTTATTGAATCTTCTGCCTGTCCCATGAATACAAAGTCTTCCTTTACCTCCCAGCATATTAACTTCATTTTTTAATGTCCTTCTACTTCTATATTTTCTGTTTTTTATGAACTTGTCTTGGGTTGTGTGTGTGTGTGTTGCTGCCTTTCATGTTAGAGATTTTGCTTAAATCTTTTATCTTTGGCTATACACTCATAAGCCTTATGGCTGCAGAAACCTCAGGTAAGTCCCCTTTATTTCTCACAGCAGCAGCTATTACTCATTTTATATAAGTTTATAAAGTTGCCTTTGGAAAGAAAATCAAGCTCCATCTTTGATTTATTTTTAATTCATTTTAATTGAGTATTAAATGTTCAATGCTACATTTGAAAAGTAAGAATCAAAACTTTGATTTTCTAAAGCCTGAAGTACAAATATGTAGGACTAGATTCTAAAATGTTCTTTAAAATAAACATTCCTGGTTGAACATTGTACAACACCATCTCTATTGCCAGAGATTATCTTGCAAAAAAGCATGACATTTGTTGTTGTGGAAAATAGAGTAGGAAATGGAAGAGAAGAGGATGAGGCTGAGAGAGGAGGAGCCTTAGAAATGAGCTCCAGAAATGAGGAGGGGGAAGTGGCTTCCCCAGATCCGAGGACTATCCCCATGTGGGACTGGTGGTAATTGGTGCCACGAAGCACTCACTATATGCACCTACTGTGAGTGATATGCTCTTTATGTAGATTATCTTGTTTAGTCTTTACAATTTTATGATACAGTTTTCTTGTTTTGGAGGTGAGGAAACAGAGGCTCAGGGAGGTGAAGCAAAATGCTAAATTCTACGTAAGCAGTACTAAGTGACAGAAGTGGAATTCAAGCTTAGTTTTGCCTAACTCCAAAACCCATGTTCTTGAACTACTTAGCCTCCAAACTGGATTCTAAAGCTACGCCCAAGGATGAGAAAATGGACTTCTATAGTGGTGGCTTGAGAAAGAAGACCTACAAATAGAGCTATGGTTTAAAGGATGATTCTGAAACAGGAAAGGTTCCCTTGTCCCTCTCTCAGGGTGTGCGATGGGGGAGTGGCTCACTTCTTCAGTGCCCCACTGCTCAAACTTCTAGGGGAGCATACAGACAGGCAGGCTGTGGGGCTCCAACCACATGGCGGTGTCTAGGGGTGAATGTTTACAGCTGAAGCCCCAGTGGGGGTGTGTTACAGGGTGGTCTTTTAGTTTAGCTGTCTATAGGCAGCTTGTATTAACCAGCTCAATTAGACCCTCTACCTTGTCACAAGAACAGAGGCTTTCTGTATCCTGGGTTCTTGCCTTGGTGTACTAGAAGAATCGGATCACAGGTGGGCTTGGAGAATGAGTGCAAGGTTTTATTGGGTGTAGGTACCTCTCAGCAGATGGGGGAGCCAGAAGGGTGATGGTTTTCCCCTGGAGTGGGGACACTCAGTGGCCTGGGCTCTCCTCCCACCACCCTGGCCAAACTCTACATTTTTCTGCCAGTCGACTGCCTGCGGGCACGCCAGTGCCTGTCAGTGTGCTACCAACCTCCTCTCGACAGCCAGCCGCTTGCGTGTTCCTCCGCCAGTGTGTTTCTCTTGACATCCAGCTGCTTGTGTCTTCTTTCCACCGATCCGCTCCTCTCAACGTCCAGCCACTTGTGTGTGTGCCCCCTTGGGTCTCAGGGTTTTAATAGGCACAGGATGGGGGTGTTGCGGGCCAGGGTGGTCTTGGGAAAGCAACATTTGAGCGAGAAGGCAGGAGTGCCTGTCCTCACCCAGGTCCGTGGGCACAGGCCCCGGGTGGAGCCCTCACCAGGGACCCGCCTTTCTCTACCCAGCACTTCCCTGCCTCCTCCTGTATCAATTCCTTACTCAGAAAAGTGTGCTTTCAGACTTTTTACTTTTGGATTTCTGGCCCCAATCAGCCAATATCAGTTCATTATAGAATCTACAGAGACACCATAATCTTCCTATTTTAAGACACAATTTTAATTGTAATTTTGCTAAACTCTCTCCTAAGACAAGCAGCAGCTTTTTATCGCCTGTTATCTAGGGTGTTGCTTTCACAAATCCACACCCTCTGGGCCCGTCACAGGCAGCCAGATCCTGGGACTTCTCAGTCAGTTGCTTTGCTGACGGTTCTTCAGAGGTGATGAGCTGTGTGTGAAGGCCCCCTTCAGACCATGGTCCCACGAGGGCATTACACATCAGGCATATGTGCAGAGATTAGAAACTTCTCAAGGATTTCATGTTCTATTCCAAGAAGTAAGGTCTAAAAATGAAAACCCATTTTAAGCTCTTTTGTGGTTATACTTTTGGCAACATGGAAGGAGGACAAACCTACACAGTTTTGTGTTGCTTTGTGTTTTTTGTTTGTTTTGTTTTGTTTTGTTTTTTGAGACGAAGTCTCACTCTGTCGCAATGGTGCAATCTCGGCTCACTGCAACCTCCGCCTCCTGGGTTCAAGCAATTCTCTTGTCTCAGCCTCCCAAGTAGCTGGGATTACAGGTGCATGCCACCACACCTAGCTAATTTTTGCATTTTTAGTAGAGATGGGGTTTCACCATATTGGTCAGGCTGGTCTCAAACTCCTGACCTCTGGTGATCCACCTGTCTTGGCCTCACCAAGTGCTGGGATTACAGGTGTGAGCCACCATGCCCAGCCTGCTTTGTGTTTTTGATTTATCAGGCTTTCTCTGGTACTATTTCACAAATTCAGGCTTGATAATTAATTGCACACTGAACTGAGGTCAGAATGTCTAAGTCAAATGTCAGGTGATCTGCTGGAAATGGAGCGAGCAATATCCTTCTTATCCCTTTTGCTTCAGTGAGTGTAAGATCTAATTTCTTGTGCTAAAAAAAAAATCTAAATACACGATGGAAGCCTTATCTTGAGATTTTAAAACTTCAATACAGAAGCATCTTTGTTTTTCTCTTGCGTTCTGCCAGCCTCTTGCAGTAGAAATAAGCCAAGCTTTCTCCTACTCTCTCTAGGGGTAGAAAGACCTTGAAAGCATCGGGGATTTGCATGGCTGAGTTCCCTGGGAGGGTAGAGATACAACAGTTGCCTCTCTGGGACTCATTAGACTGTTTTCCTAATCTGAGCATCCAAGCCCACACTTGCAAGGAAGGGTTTGTAGTTAGGATCTGCAGTCTTCTCATTCTGCTGCTTGTGCAGCAAAGAAGCCTCACCCTGGCATGTAGGGACAAATGAATGTGTCCTAACCTTTTGGGCAGGCAGGCCCCAGAGGGAAGGCGATGGCCCCAGCCGTTATTATTATAAATAGTTAGCCTCTGTTCTCCAAACAGAGGCATGTGTGGCTATCTCAAGTTGCATGTTAACAGAGTTCTAGAGAAAGCAAAGTTTCCAGTCGCCTTTTTGATAAACACATTCTTGGAAAGGACAGCCTGCTACCTAATGAGAGACCCTAGGGAAGATATTTTGAGCAAGTCTAAGGCCATCTGTCTGTACTCTTTGTGCTCACAGTGTGAAGTACTCTCTCTCTAGTTTAATTCTCAGGGGTGGTGAATCAGGATCCAACTGGCAGTTGGGATCAATGTCTGTCAACCGTCTAACTTTGAGCCAGGTGGGCAGCTGGATCCCAGGATGTGGGACTTTCCATGGCCTTTTCTCAGATGTGACATTCCCTGCACCCATCGTGGCTACAGGGATGTGAGGAGAAGGGGTGAGGAAATCCCTCTCAAAGCCCCCAGCCCTGGATTGATGCTCTGCCGCCTTTCACTTGCCCTTTTGTCCAGACCATCCTGTCCTTTGACACCCAGCACACACATGGTCAGGCCTTTTACTGGAATGAGGGAATCTTGAGATACAGGCGATGTAATGAGCAAACTACATGGCCTGGGTTGCATGTTATATACACATGTGTGCACGTGTATGTGTGCTTGTATTTGGTCTCAAAGGCACTGTTTATCCTCATTGTCTGCTCAGTCCTCCTGGGGACAGTGTTCTTTCTTTGCCACACTTCCATCCTTGAAGCCACAAAGATCTCTGGATACAAAGCGACTTTTCCTACTAGGCTTCAGATCCACCCTTCAATTTCAGGGATAAATGAATCTCCTGGAACTAGTTTGCTTCTTTGTTCCTCTGGTATTTCCTGGAATAGGTCCCTAAATAATTTCTGAATTGTCCTTACCATTACTATGAGTAACTCATTCCTTGCCTAGCCCAAGAGCTGTCTGATGGGAGTGGCCTTACAACTCTTACAACTCGGCAGTCCCTGTCCTCCTGGCCTCCGTTGCCTTCTTTCTCCCTCTACTCCCTTCCCTCCTATTTCCCTTTTCATGCCATTCAGTTAAACGCTATACAATTGCCATGTCTTAAGGTCAACATGGGAACTTCATGTGGTTCAACTGAATCACTTTGTCAACTGGTTGCACTATCTCTGGAATCTCCTTCCAATCTCCCATTTTAGATATCACAAACATGAGCCTCCTCACTCCCACCCAAGTTCCCTTCCCGAGGAACAATGTTTCTAAGAATTTTTTTTTTTTTTGAGATGGAGTTTCTTTCTTGTTGCCCAGGCTGGATTGCAATGGCGTGGTCTCAGCTCTCTGCAACCTCCGCCTCCCAGGTTCAAGAGATTCTCCTGCCTCAGCCTCCCAAGTAGCTTGGATTACAGGCGCCCACCACCACGCCTGGCTAAATTTTTTGTATTTTTGGTAGAGGCAGGGTTTCACCATTTTGGCCAGGCTGGTCTTGAACGCCTCACCTCAGGTGATCCTCCCGCCTCGGCCCCCTAAAGTGCTGGGATTACAGACGTGAACCACCGTGCCCAGCCTGTTCCTAAGAATTTATCTCAAATAAACATCAGAACAATTCTTTGAATCTCAGTAACCTAATTCTGGTTCACACCTGCATACCCCCTTCCCAGTCAAATGATGAACCTTCTCAAATTCAAATAGGGTATTTTCATGCCCCACTGTGAGCTCAAAATCACAACACAAATGATCCTATTTCTAAATTTAGAGGTTTAGATACATATAGAAAGGGAAAAAAAAACAGACATGTTATTAAAGCAAAATCAGCAATAAGTGTCAAATATCAATGTCATTTCATGTTATGAGCATGTTTTAGTATAAAATAGTTTTGCATAGAAAAAAATGGGGGTTTTTGCATAGAAAATAGGTGAAATAAGTATCACATGAAGCACACATCAAAAATAACTGGCTTAAGCAGGTTTATTGAGGATCTTAAAAGAGCATCCCAAAGGCAGTGTCCTTCACTCTTGACCCAGCACAGGAAGGCAGGGGTGAAGGGACAGTCTTGCCAAGTCAATCTGGCCAACAGGACAGTGCTGAGAATAGCTACTGGCTCCCATCCTGAGGAGCCACTTCTCTTGTCAAGTCTGTACTCTTGAGAGTTCTGAAATGGAAACAGAAGGGAACACAGGCAAAGCCTTCTCTGAATTGTCCAAAGGAGATTGTTTGGAGGGTAGGAAGCGGTCTGGACTTGTGAGGTGTCCAGCTTTGCAACACACTGACCGAGTGGCCTGGAACATGTCCATTCACCTCTCAAGTTCTTTATCTGAAATTCAGGTGGCTAATAAGGTCGTCACGGGGCTGTTATATTGAGATGAGACCATCTGGGAAGTATTCGGCCCAGTGGCTAACACATAGGTCCTTAAAGATTTGTTGAATCAAAATTCAGTCAGAATAACACATGTCCCCACTCCTTGAAACAGTTGAAACACTGGGAATTTCTGAATCTACTTTGCTTGGAAATAAGAGACATTTTAATAGTATAAGACATCCTGCGATGCAAAATGTCATCTCTATACTCCTACAGTTGTAGAGAATTAGGAATATCTGTGAAGAGTCTGAGAGCTCAGAATGAAAAAAAGAAGAAAAGGAAAAGACAAGAGTGGAAACTACCCATGAGAAAGCCAAATGAAATTAAAATCCCCAAACTATTTTATCGTAGAGACTACAAAAGACAGAAGTCACATCACCTCCTAGCTTCCCACATTCACCAATCACCTAGGTAAGTATAATTCTAGATTATACTACCTAGATTAAAAAACACCTAGAAAGTCTAATTTTGACCTGGGATATGTCAAAAAAAATGTAATGTCTTTAATTGGCCTACATCACATCTGGCTTTCTTCTGTACTCCCACTCACAGTGAAACCCAATTATTTCAGCATCAAAGTGGGTTAAAAACTCAGTTTGATCCAATATCTGAATTAGTTTATTTAGGAAGTGTTTAATCTCTCCTTCTAAAGGTCATATTCTTTCAGGTAGCTTCTCTCTTCCTCTTCTGCTTCTCTATAGGGATGAGTGGTTGCTTATGTGGCAACCTCATGGCGTTGGGGAAACCAAGTTGTTGGAATCCCTGGGTGCGCTTGTTCTGCCCTCTGGTTGCTGGGGACATATCTTTTCCATTTGACTGCTGCATGTCCTGTAGGTTTTCACAGTTGTTTTGTCCACAGTCGTGTACCTTGTGATCTGCTTCTTAAGTAGGGCCTTGGATGACAGCCTTACTTCAGCTCTGCCTGGGGACCTTTGGATTTGAGGTACAACGTAGTAGTGAGTTCCTGAGTTTTTGTCTCACAGATACCAAAGTAGATTTTGGAGAAGCTGGCAACCCAGAAACACTAATGGGAGAAGAAAAAATGCCCCAAGAAAGGCCTGCTCTCTTGAGCCAAAGAACCAAGAAGTGGGCATGGGCAACCTAGCAAAGTAGAAGGATAAGAAAAGATGTTCAATGCAAACATCAGCTTAAATGAAGCAGGAGTGGCTGTGTTAAGTTTAGATAATGTTTATTTATTTATTTACTTATTTATTTTTTATTTTTTTTGAGATGGAGTTTCACTTTTGTTGCCCAGGCTGGAGTGCAATGGTGCAATCTTGGTTCACCACAACCTCCGTCTCCCGGGTTCAAGTGATTCTCCTGCCTCAGCCTCATGAGTTAGCTGGGATTACAGGCATGCGCCACCACGCCCAGCTAATTTTGTATTTTTAATAGAGACGAGGTTTCTCCATGTTGGTCAGGCTAGTCTCAAACTCCCGACTTCAGGTGATCCACTCACCCAGGCCTCCCAAAATGCTGGGATTGCAGGCATGAGCCACCGCACCTGGCCAGATAATGTATATTTCAGAGCAAAAAAATTTATGAGGGATGGGAGGTAAAAGTTTTTCTACTACTAGGAAAACTTAGTAGTCCTAACTGTATATGCACCCAATAATAGTACTGTAAAATATGTGAAGCAAAAATGATAGAACTCAAGGGAGAAACAGACAAATCCATAACTATACTTGGAGACTTCAACACTCCTCTCTCCAAAACTGAAAGAAAAACTAGACAGAAAGCCAGTACAGACGTAGAAAAACAAAATACTACCCTCAAATAGGATCTATTCAGCACTTATAAAACACTCCACTCCAAAACAGCACTACCTATCTTTTAAAGCACCTACAGAAGATATACCAAGATAGACCACATCCTGGACCTAAAAATGAACCATAATACATTTAAAATAATTGAAACCAGGCTGGGTGTGGTGGCCTATGCCTGTAATCCCAGCACTTTGGGTGACTGAGGTGGGTGGATCACTTGAGGCCAGGAGTTCAAGACCAGCCTGGCCAACATAGGGAAACCCTATCTTTACTAAAAATACAAAAAATTAGCTGGGTGTGGTAGCACATGCCTGTAATCCCAGCTACCAAGGAGGCTGACTATCACCTGAACCTAGGAGGCAGAGGCTGTGGTGAGCTGAGATTGTGCCACTGTACTCCAGCCTGGGTGACAGAGTGAGACTCTGTCTCAAAAAATAAAATAAAATAAAATAAAATAATTGAAATCATACAGAGTATGTTCTCTGACCACAATGGAATCAAACTAGAAACCACTTATATAAAGTTAAGAGGAAAATCTTCAAAAACTTGGAAAAGAAACATCACACTCCTAAATAATTTATAGGTCAAAGAGTAAGTCTTGAAGGAAATAAAAAATGCATTGAACTGAATAAAAAAATACAACATACCAAAATTTGTGGGACACAGCTAAATCCATGCTAAGAGGAAATTTTATAGCACTAAATGCATACATTAGAAAAGAGGAAAAGTATCAAATCAGTCATCTAAGTTCTCATTTCAACAAAGTAAAAAAAGAAGAGCCAAATAAACCCAAAGCAATAGAAGGAAGGAAATTTAAGAAGATAAGGGCAGAAATAAATGAAGTTGCAAACAGAAACCACAGAGAAAATCAATGAAACAAATATCTGGTTCTTTGAAAAGATCGGTAAAATGGATGAACCTCTAGCAAGACTGACAAAGAAAAGGAGAGGGAAGACATTAAATATCAAGATCAGAGATAAAACAGGGGCTATTGCTACAGACCCTACAGACACCATAAGGATAAGGGAATACTATAGACAACTCTAAATACAAATTTAACAATTTAGAGGGAATTGATCAATTCCTCAAGACACACAAACTAACTCACCCAGTATGAAATAGATAATCTGAATAGCTCTACAACTACTAAGAAAATAGACTTTTGGCTGGGCACTGTGGCTCACTCCTGTAATCCCAGCACTTTGGGAGGCTGTGGCAGGTGGATCACTTGAGGTCAGGAGTTTGAGACCAGCCTGGCCAACATGGTGAAACCTCGTCTCTACCAAAAATACAAAAATTAGCTGGTTGTGGTGACAGGCACCTGTAATCCCAGCTACTTGGGAGGTTGAGGCAGGAGAATCACTTGAACCTGGGAGGTGGAGGTTGCAGTGAGCCGAGATCCCACTACTGCACTCTAGCCTGGGCAATAGAGTGAGACTCTGTCTCAAAAAAAAAAGAAAAAAAGAAAAAAATTTTAAAAAAAGAAAATAATATTTCAAATTTAACACCCACACCCCTCACTACCCAAAATCTCCAGGCCCAAATCATTTCACTGGGGAATTACACCAAATTTATTTTAAAGAATTCTGTACTATCTCTTCTAGAAAATAAAAGAGGTAGAAACACGTTTCTATTTATTTGATGAAGCTAGTCCTACCCTGATATCAAAACCAAATGTAGACATTGTTCTTACTGGAGAAAGACATTGTTTTCTCTCTAAGATCAGGAACAAGGCAAGAATGTCCTCTTTCACTGCTGCTATTCAACATAGTGCTGGAAGTTTTTACCAGTGCAATACGGCAAGAAAAGGAAATTAAAAACCTGTACATCAAAAAAGAAGAAATAAAATTATCCTCATTTATGGATGATAAGATCATCTTTGTAGGAAATCCTAAGGAACCTACAAAAAAATAAAAAACTGTCTAGGACCGATACATGAGTTTTTAACAAGGTTTCAGTTTACAATACCAACATACAAAAATCAATTGTATTTTAATATACTAGCATTGAACATGTGGAAATCAAAATAAAAAAATAATGGCAATACCAAATGCTGGTAACGTAACAGAGAAACTGGATCTCTTGAACATTTGTGGTCTAATATAAAATGGTAGAGTCACTCTGGAAGCTCCTTCGGGCCAGACCCTGGGCATTGTATTTAATTTGAACTACAAGTATGGCAAGTTCTTTGTGACTATTTTGTATGCTTTAAGAATAGTTAAGCAAAAGTTTAGTGCCTAGATGCCTAGATATGGAAGAAAAATTGATTAGATAGTTTCATCACTTTCTGTTGGTGGGAACTTAAAACAAATCATGCAGTAGTTTATCAAATATGTTTTGAACTTGTATGTTTCAAGCACTGTTCTAGGTGCTGAAATTAAGTGGTGAACAAACATATCCTAAGGCTTTTCACAAAGGTGAAAGGTTAATACTTTCAAAAAAACAAATAAACATTTGGGTCAGTTGATCTCAGTCTTGGAATGAGCATTAATCTACAATTATAAGTACCCTACCCCATTTGTATTTTCATCACACCTCCAAGCATCCCCGAGGCCATAGGAGAGGGGCTGTGCTTGCAGGAGAGAGGTTTGTTAGCAATCTGCTGCTACTCTGACTGTTCTTTATTATTCATCTCTTCCTCTGTGGTTATGGTTATTTGAGCTGGAGATGAGCTCTCTCCCCAAAAACCCTTGTTCTCATTAGTCGGTTGGCATTACAAAGGCAAAAAGGCATGACTCTTCAAACCACTAGAGAGTCACAGTCCTTAGTTATTTGCTGGTGAGATGAAGAAGCCAACTTCTTAGGCTGAGGGCAGAAAACCTGAGCTCTCACCCTGGGAAGGGAGCCTTTGGGAATGTGGTAGTGTATGACTATCAGGACCCAGAGATGTATGAAGTTTTTGTTTTTTAAAATATGTTTTACCGTGATGCTATTCTTCCACTAGTGAACAGTCCTGGCATCTTGGAATATACGTATCCATCTTCCATGTGTTTTCAGGGATTGATGATATTTTCTTTTATTTCCTTGTGAAACTGCTTTCTTCAGTTTGCTCTGGGCATTTTGGCATTACAAAGCACTTTTTGGATGTATTTGCCTCTCAAATCATAAGGACCAGGGAAGAGGAAGGAAGGAAGTAATAGTATCAAGTGGACCTGAAAGGAAACGTCAAAGTTTTCTAGTCAAAAGCCTTGTTTCTTCACCTGTGAAAGTTGGTGTTATCTTCCTCATTGTTTAGGCTCAGAGAAGTTAGGCAACTTGTACAAGGTTTCATAGTAGACAGCAGAAGCAGGATTCAAATCTGCCTTGAAGAGAGGGAGCTATGGTTCCATACTACAGGGGTACGTCACATGCCATCCTAAATGAGTCTGTGTGAGATCTTTGCTCCCTGAAGTCTTCCGTCTCTAGAAGCCTCTGGTACCATGGTGGCACCAACAAGGCTGGTCAGCATCAGCCCCAGAGGATGGCAGCTCTAGACAATGCCCCTCCCATGGTGGTCGTCCATTGACATCATCATCATACATACAACAGAGCAAATTTGGGTGCACCACCAGCATGAGCCACCGTTTTCCAGAGAAGAGAAAACCAGGGCCTTGGAGGGCTTTGCCCATAGAAAATCATTAGAGAATTCAGTCCAGTCAAGAAGTAAAGCATAGCTACTAGGCCAAGAGTTTTCAAACCTTTTGGTTTTAAGACCCCTTGATGGTTTTAAAAATTATTGAGCATGCAAACAGCTTACAGTACTGATATTTAATATATTTGAAATTTAAACTGAGATATTAAAAATAGTCCATTTAACATAACAATAAACCCATTATATGTTTGCATTACAGGGTATATATTTTATGAAAATTAAATATTTTTCAAAACAAAAATATTTAGTAAAAAAATTGGCAAATTGTGAGGCATGGACTATGAAGGCCAGAGTGGTTCCTGCATGGACTGTGAAGACCAGAGTGGTTCCTGCCTTCTCCTTTGAAATTCTCTTTTTGCTTATGCTTAGCATCACACAACATACAAACTTACTTCATTGCCCTGAGTTTTTTGCTGATGTTACACATGTCAGCATTGCCCTTAATGAGGTCCTTTCTGATCTTGGCTCATATTTTTTGGCCTGTTCAGAATCTCTGTCAAGAAGCAAAGCATAGCTTTGCTATGTTGCAGTGCCACAGTTGGAATCCATTAGTACCTATTGACCTTAGCAACAGAATCAACAAGCTCAAGTTCTGGCAGTGAAAATCTCTGTCTGGGATCTGCAGGAAAATCTACCATGTCCCCATGAGCATTAGAGCCTGAAATAAGACACTAGAACTCTTAGACATCAGTCTTATTTTTGTTGATATGAAAAAACAAAGTGATCTTTCTAAGGCTGATTTTTTTTTAATTTAAGACCAAGGATTATACCAATTTGCATGGTTTTACCACATTAAAATTGATATACTGTAAACTAGTCAAAACATGGTGTATTATCCAATGGGCCTGAGATCTGATTTCAGCTTCATTTCACTCCAGCTGTGAGCATTTGGACAAATTACCTCACCTGTGTGAGCCTCAATTTTGTTAATGGTAAATGGAGATAGTTATAGATGACCTTTAAGTTTGTTAGATGATTAAATGATGTAATTCATGTAAAACACTACCACCATCCTCATGATAAAGATTTTTCTAGTCCAGGTAGGAATTATTTTTAATAAATTATTTTGATGGCCATATGCCTCTACTCAGCCTTCTCAGATCTTGGTCTTACACAAGGACTTCAGTAATTAATAAACTCTCTGATAACTATTTGATGAATATCTGCCTTGTATCCAGCTCTGTGCTGAGCATTTTTGAGGAAATAAAACAAACAATACAAATCCTTTGCACTTAAGGAGTAAGTAATCTAGCATGAGAGATAGAATTTACAGATAGATGCTGTGTAACAATTTATAGAATCTTAAAAATTGGAGAAGAACTTTAGGATTTATCTATGACAACCTTCTAGCCAATGAATAAAGTAATTTATTATGGAAGATCAATGAATAGTAGACCAGCAACAAGCTGAATGACCATTACTAACAGTGTGCCAATCATAGCTAGGGAAAACACTGTTTGAATATTTATCATGTGTCAGGCATTTTTTTCTTGGTATTTCACATATATTATTTATTTAATCCTTCTGTCATTCTTCTGAAAGAGGTATTGTTTATATCACTATTTTTCAGAAGGGGAAACTGAGGCACAGAGAAGTTAAATATGAAATCAGAGAACATATCTTAGAACAACATTAAACAATATTTTATGCCACTCAATATTTTTTTCAAGATCATTTCATACTGGACTTCAGCCTATCTACTGTTACCGGTACATGCTAATTTTTTATTTGTCCTTGTTTACTTTATTTATATTTTAAACATAATCTAATCAGAGATTTTCTTGTGAGGTTACATTGGCTTCCTTCAATGCCTCCATCTTCCTCTTAATTAACCTTACAAGTTTAGATGTTGTGATGGTGTCTTTGACACTGCATTTATTTCAAGCAAAAAAGTTTAAGTCTCCATGTATTAATCCCATTGTGAGTATTGGTGCATGCACACACCAAGTCCTAAGAATTATGCCTACTTCTCCAAACTTTGCTACTGAGAATTACCTCACCTTTCTTTTATGCAACACATACCTCCTCTACTCTCCATAGAATAACATTTTAGGATTTCCTTTAAGCATTTTCCTCTTCCTGTTCAAATTTCAATTTCAATTTTGCATGAGCAGGTGGGTGCGTCTCCTGACAAAAAGCACGGGTACTCATGGGTGTAGAGATGGGCAATGAGGAGAAAGCAGCCACATAGATACTTTGACTAAAAGATGTTCCAATCAGATTCCAAGTAATTTTCATTGGGTGATGACTGAAGCCACCCTAGAGCAGAGCCACTGAGCAAGTTTAAAGTTTAGATAAGGGCAACCTTGCACCTCTACTAACAACAACAACAACAAACAATCCAAACCAATCTCTGACCAGTGCATTGCAATGAGATTTCTGAGAGAGGCTGTTTTGTTGCTGAGTTCTTTTTGCCATTTAGTCTTTAAGGGATGCCTTTGAAACAATTCTGATATTAAATAAAAACCAACAAACTTCTGTCAACTTAAATATAGAAAATGTGTTACATATACACCATGGAATACTATGCAGCCATAAAAAAGAATGAGATCATGGCTGGGCATGGTGGCTCACACGTGCAATCCCAGCACTTTGGGAGGACAAAGTGGGCAGATCACTTGAGGTCAGGAGTTCGAGACCAGCCTGGCCAACATGGCAAAACCCTGTCTCTAACAAAAATACAAAAACTAACTGGGCATGGTGGCGTGCACCTGTAATCCCTGCTACCCAGCTACTCGGGAGGCTGAAGCATGGGAATAGCTTGAACCCTGGAGGTGGAGACTGCAGTGAGCTGAGATTGTGCCACTGCACTCCAGCCTGGCTGACAGAGTGAAACCCTGTCTTAAAAAAAAAAAAAAAAAAGAATGAGATCATGTCCTTTGCAGGAACATGGATGGATCTGGAGGTCATTATCCTTAGCAAACTAACGCCACAACAGAAAACCAAATACCACATGTTCTCACTTATTAGTGGGAGCTAAATGATAACACATGGACACATGGGGGGAACAATACACATTGGAGCCTACCAGAGGGTGGGGGATGGTAGGAGGGAGAGGATCAGGAAAAATCACTAATGGGTACTAGGCTTAATACCTGGGTGACTAAATAATATGTATAACAAACCCCTGTGACATGAGTTTACCTATATAACAAACCTGCACACATAGCCCTGAACCTAAAATAAAAGTTTTTTAAAAATCACAATTTTTTTAATTTTGAAAGGAGACTTTATTTTTTGTAAAGGGTTATAGCCTGCAAGGTGGCCATCCTGACAGGCTGAAAAGTGTAGCCTCTGGTTGAAACCCAGAAACAGTACTTCCCAGGATGAAGGGCTGAAGTAGGAACTTTATTCTGAAAGGATTGGCTAAACATACATATTCAGCAGATTGTAGGAAGAGCTATGAATATTAATTAATGGGTCCTGACACATGCATATTGAACAAAGATGCAGGTTACAAACAACCTATGTTCACCTTGGGGTGGAGACTTAACATTTAAGTGTGTTATAATTAGGCCCTATAGGTCAGAGGTTGAAGCAGAGACACAAAATCACTGAGGTGAGCAGCGTCTGTAAACTGGCCAGAACCAGTCCATGGTGGGTGACCGTCTCTTAACAGGAGAAAGTTACTGAACTCAGTCTCTTATGGAATCAGAGCTGTAGTTAAGGCTGGTGGAACAGGGAGTAAGTTACTCAGTGTCTGTGAACTGGGTGAGTTGTAGTTGTTGTAATCTTTTTTTTTTTTTTTTTTTTTTTTTTGAGACAGAGTCTTGGGCTGTCGTCCAGGCCGGAGGGCAGTGGTGCGATCTCGGCTCACTGCAAGCTCTGCCTCCCGGGTTCATGCCATTCTCCTGCCTCAGCCTCCCGAGTAGCTGGGACTACAGGCGCCCGCCACCACGCCCAGATAATTTTTGTATTTTTAGTAGAGACGGGGTTTCACTGTGTTAGCCAGGATGGTCTCGATCTCCTGACCTCATAATCCGCCCGCCTCAGCCTCCCAAAGTGCTGGGATTACAGACGTGAGCCACTGCGCCCGGCCATTTGTTGTAGTCTTGCTTACCTAGAGGCCAGTGCTTGTTTGGCTGCTAGAGAAAAAGAAACCTTGGGGCAGATTGAACCTAGTTTATTCTTTAAGTGCAGTATGCATGACTTAACCCTTGCCTGGCATGGCCCTAGGTCCTGCTTATAATTCAGTGTCTTATTGCCACAAAGAGTATGTTTTGTCAGTCTTATGATCTCTATTTTAACATGAATCCTGGTCAGTTGTGTTTAAACCAAAAAAGGGAAAGGGTATAACAAAGTATATCCTACCCTCCACCCCATCATGACTGGAAACTCAGTTTTTAAGGTTTCTCTGGGGTCCCTTTGGCCAAGAGGGGGTCCAATCAGTGGTTGAAAGGTGTATAATTTTATTTTTACTTTTTTTTTTTTCAGATGGAATTTTGCTCTGTTGCCCAGGCTGGAGTGCGTAGCGTAATCTCGGCTCACTGCAACCTCTGCCTCCCAGGTTCAAGCAATTCTCCTGCCTCGGTCTCCCGAGTAGCTGGGATTGCAGGCACGAGCCACTGCCCCCAGCTAATTTTTATATTTTTAGTAGAGACGGGGTTTCACCATTTTGGCTAGGCTGGTCTCGAACTCGGGATTTTATTTTTAGTTTATACTTCACTCCTCGTCTTCTAAAAGAAATAGGACTTTCATGATGTTTTCACTTTCTCATAAACTTGCAAAAGGAAAGATTTTGAAGAACCCAATAAAAAAATGAGTGCTTTATTTCTTTTATAAGTTATACGTGCACATTTTTATAATCATCTCAGTACCTAGGCTAGCAGCTAAAACTGTCACGCCAGTTCAGCAATGACCCTAATCTAGTAGGAATGGTGTGGAGTGTGACCCTGGGGAGGGAAAACCAGAGTGAGGCATGAGTAGAAGAAAAGCAAACCCAGATCATTTGTGCTTTCCCACGTGACAGTGGGTGGCAATGATGTTGAGATGGTTTGAAACATGAAAGAAATTTCTTAATATTAATGCTGTAGATACTGGAGAGCATAGTGAGAAAAAAAATCCTAAAACTTTGGTTTAGTTTCACAGAAGTAACATTGATTTTATTTATATAAACCTTTAGCTCCAATGTTGTTATTTCATGTAGCAGAGTAACAATTCTACAGCACTATATGTATGTTAGATTCATACTTTTGTAATTTTATTTGACTGTTAGCAAACTCCACATAGGATGACCACATGTTCTGGATTTTCCAAGAATAATCTAACTTCAATATTTTGGTCCAGCTGTGTCAGTAAATTATTACAACTTCCCCTAAGAAATTCTATACCCAGAGAAGTTATTAGAGTCCACAAAATCCTACGCTGACCTCAACATTGCTGAATGACAGGGCTACTTGGCATACAGGATCTTGGCAAAAGAAGGGTGGAGACAGGAGTGAGGGAAAGTAATTTTTGTTTCTCTCCTTTTGTGTGAGACTGACTCTCAATGACTTTTGGAAGCAGGGTCTGTTGGGGTACATACTTGGCAGCTGAAGTAGGGTCTATGGAACGCCCTGACCAGATCCCTCTTACTGGCGGGGGATACCACCCCCAGCTGCTATCAGCACTTCTTCACAAGGCTCACACCTGCCCCTCCTCCCGATAATTGCCCTGGGGTTGGTAGGGGGAGCTCCTAACCATGAAACACTTGGGAGATTTTGCCTTCCCCTGGGGGAGCCCCTCAGCCAGTGACTGGCTGGTACTGAGTGGAGAAGTCTGGGCTCCTCGACAGAAGGGATGACAACTCTGTGATGCCATCCACACTCCCAGCCTCCCCATGGGATCAGGCTAAGGGTAGATGTCAGCCAAACCCAAGCCCTTGCCAAGCACCTTCTCCTGTCCTTTCGTGCTTCTCACAACTCCTTACAGATTTTATTGGAGAGCTTAGCATCCCCAGCTCAGACACTGCTTCTACAGAACATGCACATCTTATCCAACCTATGTCTTTCACCTAGTTCTCTCTTCTGCCTCATGCTTACATCCAGCTGGACCACAGAAAAAAGTAAACTCAGTCACTTAATTCATTTTGCCACAAATGGTGATAGCCTTGACCTTCTTGAAAGTACTTACATAAGAAGATCTTAACCAGGGCCGGGCACGTTGGCTCACGCCTGTAATCCCAGCACTTTGGGAGGCCGAGGTGGGCGGATCACCTGAGGTTGGGAGTTCGAGACCAGCCTGACCAACATGGAGAAACCGCACCTCTACTAAAAATACAAAAAAATTAGCCAGGCGTGGTGGTGCATGCCTGTAATCCTAGCTACTCAGGAGGCTGAAGCAGGAGAATCGCTTGAACCCGGGAGGCAGAGATTGCGGTGGGCTGAGATCGCGCCGCTACACTCCAGCCTGGGCAACAGGAGCGAAACTCCACCAAAAAAAAAAAAAAAAGAAGAAGATTTTTAACCAAGTTAACTGAATTGGAGTTTAATGCAGTGTTTGGGTGGATATACCTAGACATATAAATCCTGGTCATGACATGGCAGACCAGTAATTCCCTCTGTTAAATGAAACTTGCAGGAGTTCGTTGATTTGGACTGGGCTCCCATAGTGGGCCCAACAGACCAAACTAATATATAATCATTCATGCTCAATGAAACTAATTAACTCAGGTAGCAAATAGCTGAGTTTTGGTTGGTTACAGCAGCTGCACTTTAGTCAATGGTAGACAGCCAGCTGATTCAAATAAAGCACCCAGCTGTAACCAGTTAAGTTATTCTTGCCCCACTTCTGTTTCCTGTCCATTAATGCTGCCTGACCCTGTAGCAGGCAGGAGTTCTTTGAACCTGCTCTGTTTCTTAGGGCTGCCCTGTTCATGAATCTTTTAAAATTCTCAAATAAACTCTGTTAAATTTAAACTTGCTTAAGGTTCTTCCTTTTTAACACTTTGAACCAATATTCTTTAAATATTAGTTGAACATCTGTCTAACAGAGAGGATAAGTTTTCTTTACAATGGAATCAGGGGAGGGAAGGGAAAGGTCCCTGGCCTCTTCTATGTTGCTCTGGATGAGTCAGCTCTGTTTCCAAACAAAACAAAACCTGGAGATTACTTGGCCCAACCCACTTGAGATAGTGGTAAAGGCCATTTGCTGTTTCTTGAGCATGCCCTTTTGGGATGAATTTTCTAGCCTCTTAACTCGTCACTTTTAATGGTTTTTCAAAATATTCCTTCCAGCCTCCCAGAATAGAAAATATAGTAATACCCATGAGAGGGGTTAATTTTCTCCACCGTGTGCTATTCCCATTGGTATGTCATTGCTCCGTCATAGCTCATTGCCCCAGGGAAACGGGGAGACTGACCTTTCCCTTAATCCAAATCTGTTTGTGCATCAAAGGAAGGAGTTGAAGCATAAAGAGGAGATTGACAGGGGTTCTGTTGCAGGCAGATTTGCCTTTGAAAGTCTGTCCTCAAGGTGAACTGAAGGCATCTCACACCATGTTTCTGACTGTCATGTGTGAACCTACAAATACTAGAGTCCTAAAATTGTATTCCCTTCCTCCACCACACAAAGGTTCATGGCAATGGGATGGGGATGGGACACGGGGTGGACAGGCATGATGGGTCAGTTGTAAATGTGCTACTAGAATTCAGAGACCACCTGTACAGTCAATTTTCATAGATTGAAGTTTAGAAAGCATACACATCTACTTAAAATTTATTTTTAAAAAAGAAATTATGGGAATCTTTGGAAAGTCAGACAATTCATCATAAAATCATCCTTAGGAACTGTGCAGAGAAGGACAATTGTAAATGAAGCCATTTGGCTGAAGTGTTCCACGTTACTACAGAAGCTCTATCTGGAGGCAAAACATGGACAGGACTTCTCTCAAGGACAGTAGATAATGGAAGAGTTTTGTTTAATCTACGTCTTCTGAAAAGCTTTCTGTTTGCATGTCTTTTATGTGCTCCCTTTTCTTTCTTGTCTTCTTTTGGATTGGTTATTCTTTATTATTCTTTTCTCACCTTCTATGTGTTTGAATACTGTAGTACTTCTTTTTAAAACATTTTGTGGTGTGTATTTAAGGTTTACAATGTGATGTTAAGGGATACTAATAGATAGTAAAGTAGATTAACATATCTGTCATCTCACATAGTTACTTATTTTGTGACAAGAGTTGCTAAAATCTACTTATTTAACAAAACTCCCTAACACAATTTTGTTAACTCTAGTCCTCACGTTGTACATTAGACCTCTAGACTTGTTTATCCTATATTACTTTGTGCTTAATTTGGTGGTTACTCCAGAGATTATAACATGCATCCTTGACTTATCAATTCTAATATTAACACTCTCACTGTCCAGACAGTACAATGATTTTAGAGCACTTTATTCCCTTATAATTTATATGCCATTGTTGTCATATGTTTTATGTCTCCCTGTTATTTTATCATCAAAGATACTTTTTGCAGTCAATGTTTATTAAATTACCAACATTTTGTTGTCCTTTATTCCTTCTTGCATTTTCAAGCCTCCATTGGGACACTTTTATTTCTACCTGTAAAAGACATTTAATATTTTCTTTAGTGCAGGACCATTGCACAAATGATTCCAGTTAGTTTGTCTAAAAAGAAAGGATATTTAATATTTAAATATTAAACCAACTCAGTTAACACTTGCAGACTTATTTTGAAACATTCCTGATCTGTGTCTCCCTGTTTCTTCATTACATCTTTTCTGCATTCTTTTCCTTTTCTTTCCAAGTTTTATTTTAGGTTCAGGGGGTACACGTGCAGTTTTGCTATATGAGTAAACCGTGTGTCTCAGGGGTTTGTTGCACCATTTAGTCACTCAAGTAATAAGCATAGTACCTGATAGGTAATTTTTTTATCCTCACCCTCTTCCTACCCTCCACCCTCAAGTAGTTCCTCATGTCTATGTTCCCTTCTTTGTGTCTATGTTACTCGGTATTTAGCTCCCACCTACAAGAGAGAACAGGCAGTATTTGGTTTTCTGTTCCTGTATTAATTTGCTTAGGATAATAGCCTCCAGCTCCACCCATGTTGCTGCAAAGGACATGGTCTCATTGTATTTTTTTTGTTATGGCCGTATAGCATTCCATGGTGTATATGTTCCACAATTTCTTTATCCAAATCTGCATTATTTTAGTTTCAAATTCACTGTTGGTATTTTAATTCACCATACCATTATTTTTAAAGCATCTTTTTACTCAATCATCTTTCATCCCCAAAGTTTGAAATGGTAAAAATGGAAACGGACAGTTAGTCTCCTTCATGTCACTATACACTCCCTGTTTTCCTGTTAGAAGCACCACCTCCCCTTTTTAGTGCCCTGGGTTCCAATGTTTCTCCTTGACCAAAAGAGTCATCATTGTCCATCCCCAGCCAACCCAGCCCTCCTGGAGTGAAGCCCCGTGAGCCCCCGTGAGCTACAGTCAGAGCCTCAAGATTAACCACAGTGCTGGGGGAGGCTGTGGAGCTCATGTGTGGGACTATCTTATTCAACGATTAAGGCAATGTGCCTGGAAAGGTTAAGGATACAATGTTGTTTCTCACATATTTGCATTTAAGAGATTTTCCATATATTGTAGTACTTGGTAGACATTCCAGGAGTCCTTAGGTGATTTTTGAGGTAAGAAGGAAAATTTCCCAGGTTTATAGTGTAGGTATGAAAAGTAAAACATAATTACTTGTTTATTATATTTTAGTGATATTGCCATAAGGTATTTTATATCAGGATAGTAGCACTATAAACAATTTCCTTATACAATTAGAACATATTTGATATAAGAAAAAAACAAAATACTGAGAAGGAGAGCAATAGAACAAGAAGGTGAAGGGGAAGGGGGAAAGGAAATGAAAGGGAAGAAACCAATGGTCATGGAGACCAACCTCATCAACTCCCTTCTTGCCATGCCAGCCTGGCTAAGTTATCTGCTATTTTCTGCTGTCTTTAAATTCTTGCTTCACTCCGTTATCTTGATTCTGTGGCACACACTCATCTCCCTCCTTTTCATACAACCCTGATCCTGGAGCACTTTATAAGAAGTACTTTCTAGGATGCGCATACAGGTGGTCCCTGACTTACAAGCGTTTGACTGACAGTATTTTGACTCAATTAACGTAGCCATACAACTATTTTGTTTTTCACTTTTAGTACAGTATTCAATAAATTGCATGAAATTTTCAACACTTTATTATAAAGGGAGATTTTCGTTAGATGATTTTGCCCAACTATAGGCTAACAGCTTCTTTCGTCTATTCCTTTCTAAAGGAATAAGCTAATGTATCTGAGCACGATTAAGGTAGGCTACACTAAGCTGTGATGTTTGGTAGGTTAGGTGTATTACATGCATGTTCAAATGATAATATTTTCAATTGATGATTGACTTATCAGAATTATCTCCCTTGTAATTCAGGGAGCACCTGTACTTTCAATACCTTACCCAAGAAACTTTCCCCTGTGGGGAAAACAAGACTGTGTTCCCTTGACATATTCCAGAAAACCACTGTGGTCATCTTTTCTCCTCTGAAGTTTGAAATGTGCGTAAAATGTCCATAAAATCCAGCTGACTTTTATTTGTTTTTAACAAAGTTGGCTTCCAGCCTAAGTCTGGCCTCAGAATGAAGCTGCTTTGGGACCCCTCCCACTAGTAGATTCAGAATCAAACTGTTTCCTATCCGCGTTCATTGCACCTGCTCCGGGGACTCTGCCTGTTGTCAGATATGAAATATACAAACAAATCTCACTTCAAGGTGTCTTGTTTCCGTGGATTATTTTTAGTTGGAATAAGCACCTGCTTCTGCTTTTTGCATTTCTTCAGCACTAGTGTATCTCCCGTCACTCCTTTCTTTCTCCCTGTCTCCATTTTCCTTTTTCTGGATTTACTGATGAAGGAGTTGAAGGTCCTCCCAATGAGTGTTGAAGGTCGCTCATTTTTTTAAGTGCATGAAGAGTAAATACTGAGTTTCATCTGGTTCTAAAAGAGGCATTCATGGGTGAGTTCATAGCAACACTTTCTGTCTATTGAAATGACATCCCAGTGGCAGAAGGTGCATTTGTCGGTTTCATCACCATATCATCTCTTGGGCACCATGGCTATGGTGCTTTCTTTTGGTGCCCTTTGCCTTGGCATGTTGTCTGTGAAGGAGCCTGGCATTGCAGTTCCCCCCTTGATCTCCAACAGGCATTTAGGGGCAGTACACTCCACCCACATCCCTGCTGGCTCCAGAGTCCACTGAAGATATAGTGCTTGGTTCATTGGATGGATAGCTATTCCCTTCACTTCGGCTACCTTAAACATAAATATAAGTAGCTTGTATTTATATAATGATTTAAAGATTTTTACATATATTACTTCATATACTTTTTATAAACTCTGTGAAGTATGGGAGTTTAATGGAAGCATTTTTTAGCTGTGGAAACTGAGCCTTGGGTTATGCAATATACTAGCAATTAGTGGCGACTGATTCACACCTAAGTGTTTCAGCTTCTTTCCTCTATTCCTTTCTAAATGACCATTTATTTTTGTGACAGAACTCCTACGCTTAAAGACTTTTTCCTTGAGGTCAGCCAAATGCTTTCAGGCATTCAATTGTACTTTGCAGGCCCGGGCACTCAAAGCTAATTGTATGTGTTGACACATGCGTACCCAGGATGGCATGGGCAATGAGCCCAGACCTGTCCCCAAACTCTTCTCCGTCCCTGGCAGCCGGCGTCAGTTTCCATTCAGCCACTGCATGCTCCTGTGTGCCCCAGAGCAGGAACAGCAGCAGGGTGGGAGGAGGGAGCTGCAGGCCGAGCGAGTCCTTATCCTGAATGTCATTCCACTGCCTACAGGATGAGAGCCACGCTCCTTGGCAAGGAAGCCCAGCCCTCCACTAGCCAGTCCTAACTTCTTTCTCCAAACTCACCATCTGCCAGCCTTGCTCCCTATCTCCCTGCTGCCAAACATGCCTCTGACACCAGCCGAGCTTCTTTATACCTCTGTGTCATTGCACGTGCTGCCCTGTGGCAGGGCATGGTGTTGTTCGCCCACAGGCCTTCCTCTCCTTCCTTGCCATGGTCACTGTGGAGGAAGTAGCCCACCCTCCTGGCCCACTGATGTTGGAACTGGCCATACCACTTGTGCTGGCCAAGGAGATGGTGACAGGAGGGACAGTGCTGGTTCAGGGCCAAGCCCTTAAGAGGGATGCAGGTTTCTGCTCACTTCTCTTGCGCTTCTCCATCTATCATGAGGAGAACATGCTCTGAGTAACCGCTGACCTCCAAACCTGGAGCCAGGAGGAGCACAGCTGAAGACAGTCCGCAGCCTGAAGCCAAGTCCAGTTGAGCCCAATAATGCCCAGCTAGCCCGTGGACCAGAAGCTAGAAACAAATGCTTGCTGTTAAAACCACGGATTTTTGGGGGTCATTTATGACAAACCTTATTGCATAGTAAATGTTAACTACTTATTTATTGCATTCCCCAGGTGCATGCAAATGTGCGGACACACCCTTATAAAATTGTTTCCCACCTGAAAAAGCTTCTACTGATTTTCCAAGACTGAATTCAAGGAAAGAATACCCTGAGGTAAAGTTTAAACCTTGTTTAAATGAAATGTTAGCAGCTGATTAGTTTAAGCTAAACAGCAGGGCCGGGCTTAGGAAGGGGCAGAGAGAGCAGTTCTCAAAGACACGTGAAGTCAGGAGCCATCCACCCCAACTTCGCTGAGGAGCCAGGTCAGGACGCTGGCATTGACAAACGTGCTCCTACTGAAAGGACTGTAATGACCCATTTGCTTCTACATCAAGATGCCCTGCAGCCCAGACTTCCACAGCCAGCCTCCTGGCTTAAGCCTTTCAAGGTTACCATCATGAACATTTAGTAGAGAAAGTATGATACGTTGCAGTGTCTCAGAGAGATTCATTAAGCCACAACTAGTGAGCAGCTACTTTCGTATGAATTGATTTGTGAACTAGCATAACACAGGGCCCTGATAGAAAGGGAAGAGGTGGATACATTTGGATGGGGCAAGACAGGGAGCAAAGAGTTCCTGCTGGGGGTCGTGCCCACCTGAGACTGCAAAGGGTTGAGCAGTGCTTATGGGGAATCCAGGGCAAATGGGGGCCTGGATCAAAGGCCCTGCAGGTGGGATACCAAATAGAAATCGGGGAGAACGAAACTGTGAAGAAACTTACTTTTTAAATGAGGAATATCCCCTGGGCTATCAGTGAAAAAAAGGGACTGTATAACCAGTCCCTGGGCTTGGTGGATCCTGCCCTGGCCATGGGCCATAAACTTGCTTCTGTTTCTCCAGGAAACATACACACAGCTAATCTTTTCTGCCAGGTTCAACTTCCTCTTGGTTTGTTAACTTTGACTTCTAGATAGTAATGTAGCTGGGCAATTTTTTTCTTTTTTTTTTTTTTTTTTTTGAGACAGAGTCTCGCTCTGTCCCCCAGGCTGGAGTGCAGTGGCGCAATCTCGGCTCGCTGCAAGCTCCGCCTCCCATGTTCACGCCATTCTCCTGCCTCAGCCTCCCTAGTGAGTAGCTGGGACTACAGGCACCCGCCACCACAGCCAGCTAATTTTTTTGTGTGTTTTTAGTAGAGATGGGGTTTCAGCTGGGCAATTTCAAATAGAGGCCTTGTCTGTTTTGAGGGCTAAGATCCAACTTTGCATTATTAACATATATTTATGTGTGTGTGTATATGTGTACATATATGTACGTGTATATATGTGTATTATGTATGTATGTATATTTTTCTCTGATAACTTAATGCTGCCTTTGAGGGCACAGGCCCCAGCTCCCTGGTATTTGTGCTACAGAACTCTGGCAGGCACCCAGGGACTTGGCTGGCCAGAGGACCAGGAGCATGTGGGACCAGTGCCTGGGGCTCCCAGCCAGGTTTTCAGCCCTTGCCATGCTGCCTTCTATACTGACCCCTTGCCCTTTGCAGAATGCCTGTGGGTTTGAGAACGTCCCAGGGGACTTGCTGTTAGCCGCTTCCAGCTGGTGACATCTAAAGGCTTGGAGGCCATGGCTCCATAGGCAGCATGCCCAGAACACTTACCAACAAGAGTGCACCCAGAGGCTGCAGTTTCGGCTCTAGATGGGGTCCTCTTGTCCTGCCATGCCCATGTGTCCCAAGCAGGCATGTGAGGGAAAAGAGAGTCAGAATCCCTTCTGCACTGATGGGCTCTCAAGAGGTATTATATGTACTTGCATAGAGAGGGCCAGTGGGGATTTAGAATCAGCCAAACAGAACTGGGTTTGAACCCCAGCCCCCTGATGACACATGTGTGACCTGGTGAGGTGGCCTGGCCTCTCTGGACCATAGTCCTCACAGGAAACATGTTTGCACCTGCATTGGACCTGCTTCCCGGGGTGCTGGCCGGCCAGGGGCTCAGCCTAGGTGTTCAGTGATGTCTGTCTCGGTATCATCACTGCCTGACTGCCATGGTCTGCAGGCGGGGTGGGGCAGGGCTAGGAAGGGTCCATGGCTGGGACCAGCTCCAATGTTGATGAGCGTTTCCTTTATAAGAGGTGCTGAGCAAGCACTGTCCTCATCCAATCCTCCCAACAAACTTGGGAGTTTGGTTTGTTAATCCCCAGGTCACAACCAAGGAAGTCACCTCTCACGAAGGCCACTCAGCTGATGGACAGAGTCAGGCCTACATCTGGCCTCCCTGATCTGCTTCCCCAGGAGTCCAAAGACCCAGATGTCCTCCACATTAGCTCATTTCCCACCGCACTGCACTTTGTCATCCACACCAAAGTCAGGTGGAGTTAATTCCCTGCTAAACTCATCCTTGGCTCTGCAAGATGAATGCCGAACCCTTAGCCTAGGCCAGGAGGGGAACCCTTCACACACCGGGGGCCGCAGCTCCAGCTCAGCCCCCAACACCCATCAATGCACACAGGCTATTTGACCCCCTTGACAGCTCCCAGGCAGCCCACACTTGTGTCTGTGCACGTGTGCTGCTGCATCTTCCAGGGACCATGCTTCTCCTCTAACGCCTTGTGTAAGTGTGACCTCTCTGGGGAAGGTCTGCCTCATCCCCTGGGGAGACACACTTGCTCCCTCATCTGGGCCCTCTTGGCATGGTGTTCATTCTCCACTGCATAGCGCTATCATTGATCAGTTTGCATGTATGCTAGGAGCTCCTAACCAGTATTTATTGGACCTCTGCAAGCCTGGGAATCTGTAAGTGCTGAACTCCATGCAGGCAGGGCTGTCTCAGCCACCTGCTGCCTGGGTGGCTCTGGGCAGGCCCTTCAACTCTGTGCTCAGGATCCTCATTTGCACAATCAGCTAAAAGTAGCATTTTGTTCCTAAGGTTTTTATAAAAATTAAATTAGTTAATATAGATGAGGTGCTTAGAATAATGTTTGGCTCACAGTAAGTAAAAGCTAATAAAGATTGACTACTATTATTATAC
The DNA here is from genome assembly GCF_000001405.40 of Homo sapiens. NCBI lineage: Eukaryota > Metazoa > Chordata > Mammalia > Primates > Hominidae > Homo > Homo sapiens. The sequence continues at coordinate 105,519,518 of NC_000002.12, forward strand.
TCAGTAAATATTAAATTAATACATGAAAATAGCACAAATGGAAGCCCAATTTAGCCTTTTGCCCTTCACAGACCGCAGGTTCCCTTTCTTCCGTATCTATAAAAAACTTTCTGGACAAAGTAGTTACTCAACATTTATTAAATACAAAGAATAAATTAGTTTAAATATCACAGAAAAGAAGGATGCTAAACCCCACACCGCCACTTACTGGAAGATATCATGCACTCAAACCATAGGCTATTACTAAACTTCAGTTTGTCTTTAAATAAAAATTCTTGGGGGGACAGAGTCTTGCTCTACTAGAGCTAGAGTACAGTGGCATGATCATAGCTCACTGTAGCCTCAAATTTCTGGGCTGAAGTGACCCTCTGCCTTGACCTCTGAGGAGCTGGCATGCACCATCACACCTGGCTGACTTAAAAATAAATTTTTTTTAAGAGATGGGGTCTTGCTATGTTGCCCAGGCTGACCTCAAGCAATCCTCCAACCTCAGCCTCCCAAAGCACTGGGATTACAGGTATGAGCACCATACCCAGCTTAAAATTTTTTATTTCTAACTGACAATCAAGAACTTGCACTGGAACAACTAGCAGGGAGCGCTGCCCCTTCAAGATATTTCTTACTTGTTTTAGCCAAATTGGTTTCAGTTTGGGTGAGATTAGATTTTCAGTTGTTTTTTAGTAATGTAGACACACATTACTATATGCTTATTTATATCCTCTGACTTTGAGTGTTCTCAAGGGTTCTAGTCACAGAGTCATCTAGTCTTTAGGAAAAAAAGAGACCAGAAGGGCATTAACATATATTTAGTTCTGACCATGTGCCAGGCATGGACCTCTGGGTTCAAATGGCCTCATCTAGGATATGGGATAAGTAAGAACAGAACGGTTAAGTATGTGTGATGAAATTTAAGTATTTCTGGAATCTATAATGCAACAAACCGATATCCCCTATTCTCTTACCCTATCCATTTGTGCACTCATTCTTGCCACAGCTGTGTCAGGTATCTATGCCATAATACAGCTGGGCACCTCAGGGGGACCAGGAGAGCAACATTAACCTCTAAGTTCCAAGCAGTTTATATTTGAGATTAATGCTAAGGCAAGTTCACAAATAGTATAATGGGCAATGTAGGACATATGAACTAAGACATTCCACGGTTCCAAAATGTAGCCATACTTACACTTTTAAAATTTAGGGATAAATTCTGCAATTTGCGTGGAAGTATAAGGTACATGGACATTTGCATCTTCTGTACAGTTATTTGTTGTGAGAACGAGAGAGGTCTATCTTATGATAATTAGCATATTGAATGTTTATTACACTAGTTATTGAAAAAGAATCTCTTAGTATTTTTGCTTTGCTCCTCAAGTTTAGTAGGGAAAAAAGTAAAATGAAAACAAGATAACACACACAATAAGAAGAATACAAATTCATTTCTTATGATTGTTAGTAGTAGACATAAATTTCAAAAAATGCATTTGCAAGCAGTATAGTTGATGTTTCAGAAACTATTGGAATGATAAGCCAATAGGTTTTATAATTGTATATAAAAATTATGAAAACTTGTGTTAGTTTGAAGGCAACCACAGGTATTATTTAAATGCATAATTCCTTTGGCAAAGTAGGTATAATCTAGCTGAATCATACTCTCTAGACCATCTGCTATTCTGTTTCCCCCTAAAAGGCTTAGGGTAAAGTAAGCCTTTCATTGTGCTATGTCCTTATGTGAAAAGGTATTAAACAAATTATATTGACCTGATGGGAACCAACAAGTAAAAGCTGGTTATATAAAATAGGCAGCTATTTTGGAGTCTTTAAAAAAACAAACAAACAAAAAAAAAAAAAACCAAAGGAAAACCAACTCTGCCATCTGGTGTAAAAACAGATTATTACAACTTCTTTCTTCAAACAAAGCATAGTGGCTATTCCAGTTATTCCTTATTTATCATTGATTATCATGATGTGGTGAGAATTTTGAGCGAGTGTTCCCCCTCTCCCTCCTTGGGTAACTAAAGCTTGATGTACATATATTTTAAATTGTTTATGGGAATATTTCTAAAATAATTACTAATTTACTGCCTTATTAAGTGAGAGATAATGAACCCAATTACATCTTTCCTTGATGATGCAGCGTGCTGACTGTATTGGTCCATTCTCTGTTGCTATACCAGAATACCACAGGCTGGGTAGCTTATAAGGAAAAGAAGTTTCTTTAGCTCATGGTTCTGGAGGTTGGAAGGTCCGAGAGCATGGCACCAGCATCTGGCGAGGGCCTTTCTGCTGTCTCATGACATGCGGGAGGCATCCCATGGCAAGACAGGGCAAGCGTGCATGTCAGCACAAGACTCTCTTTCTCTTCCTATAAAGCCACAAGTCCCTTCATGGGGATGCACCCTGATGACCTTATCTACTAATATTTCCCTTTAATGCTAAAAGATACCATCTTCAAATTCCATCAACATATGAATTCGGAGATTAAGTTTCCAACACATAAAATTTAGGGGACACAGCCAAGCGCGGTGACTCACGCCTGTAATCCCAGCATTTTGGGAGTCCGAGGCAGACAGATCACTTGAGGTCAGGAGTTTGAGACCATCCTGGCCAACGTGGTGAAACCCTGTCTCTATTAAAAAAAAAAAATTAGCTGGGCATGGTGCTGGGTGCCTGTAGTCCCAGCTACTCAGGAGGCTGAGGCAGGAGAATTGCTTGAACCCATGAGACAGAGGCTGCAGTGAGCCAAGACTGTGCCACTGCTCTCCAGTCTCCAGAGAACAAGACTCTGCCTCAAAAAAAAAAAAAAAAAAAAAAAAAGAAGAAGAAGAAGACTTACGCCTTCTCTTACGCCTGTAATCCCAGCACTTTGGGAGGCCGAGGCGGGTGGATCACCTGAGGTCAGGAGTTCAAGATCAGCCTGACCAATATGGAGGAACCCCATCTCTACTAAAAATACAAAATTAGCCGGGTGTGGTGACGCATGCCTGTAATCCCAGCTACTCGGGAGGCTGAGGCAGGAGAATTTCGTGAACCTGGGAGGTGGAGGTTACAGTGAGCCGAGATTGCACCATTGCACTCCAGCCTGGGCAACAAGAGCAAAACTCTGTCTCAAAACAAAACAAAACGAAAAACCAAGAAAACATTTAGGGACACATTCAAACAATACCACTCATTATGAGCATTAATTAGCTTACTTTCTCTGTAATAGATAACAGCGATAACCTCAGGGTTAAACAATACTTTCGTCAAGCCTAACTGACCTCATGGATTGTACTTTTTTAGCTTGCAACACACAGTGTTTAAATTTCTGCTCAGTATGGCATTACTGCCTGCTGTGGAAGCTGGCCAGGAATCTGGGTCAAGGTGACCAGAAACCCGGTTGCAGAAACCTGAAGCTACAAGGCAGAGATGGGTTTCACTGCAAACAGGTGGCCTCCAGATGCAGCAGCAGACCGTAAAAGTAGAGCAGAAAGTCAACAGGTCAAATTGGCAGGGAACTCTCATGGGACAAACTCAAGGAAGAGGCCAAAAGAATAAAAACTAAGGGGAGGCCGGGCACAGTGGCTCATGCCTATCATTCCAGCACTTTGGGAGGCCGAGGCGGGTGGATCGTTTGAGATCAGGAGTTCAAGACCAGCCTGGCCAACATGGCAAAACCCCGTCTCTACCAAAAATACAAAAAAATCAGCCAGGCGTGGTGGTGTGCACCTGTAATCCCAGCTACTAGGGAGGCTGAGGCAGGAGACTCAGTTGAGCCTGGGAGGCGGAGGTTGTAGTGAGCCAAGATCGCACCACTGCACTCCAATCTGGGCAGAGAAAATGAGACCCTGTCTAAAAAAAAAAAAAAGAGGAGAGTTGAAGGGAGACAAGAGAACTATGTGATGGTCTAAGCACTGTTGCCCAGACAAGATTCTACATCTTTCTTCACTGTGGCTCCAGCTCACCCCTACTGAGTTCATTCCAAATCTTGGTGCTTCATTCATCACTAGTATCACAGCAGAGCCCAAACTTCAGTAGGAATAATAATCAGCTGGAGGGCAGATCACAGAAGGATCCAAGATGCGCCTGCATGTCTTCATTTTTAAAATAAAACCCACAGATGACCTTGATCCAGGTGGTACGAAGGCCCCAATTTGAGAAACAAAATCAACTCCTAAAATTCTATAATCAAAGTTGTTTGCCACATGCCAGAGTTGAACAAATAACAGATCTGGAACATATAAGTTGTGTGTTGTTTACTTTACTACTGACCTTTCTTTACCTAGAACCCTTTCCCATAAACCTTATTAATATAGAGAGTTTCATTAACATTGTTGAGGACATATTTATTTGAAACATTTTTTAAAATAAAGTAGATGGCCGGATGCGGTGGCTCATGCCTGTAATCCCAGCATTTTGGGACGCTGAGGCAGGTGGATCAAGAGGTCAGGAGTTCAAGATCAGCCTGGCCAATATGGTGAAACCCTGTCTCTACTAAAATGACAAAAATTAGTCAGGCGTGGTGGCACATGCCTGTAGTTCCAGCTACTCGGGAGGCCGAGGCAGGAGAATCGCTGGAACCTGGGAGGCGGAGGTTGCAGTAAGCTGAGATGGCGCCACTGCACTCCGGCCTGGGAGACAGAGCAAGACTCCGTCTCAAAAAAAAAAAATTAAAAAATTTTAAAAAATAAAGTAGATAAACAGTGTAATATTTTTCTCCCAACAAAACAACAATGTGAAATTTTATTACTAAATACTCTGACACTAGGGGTAAATTTGTAATTCCAGAGTACTGGAATCAATTCAAGCATTAAGAGCTTACTGCCTGATAAATATTCAGTTTTGGAATCTTTGCAGTGCCTGCTTATAATTTTCCCTTAGCCTATGAAACATGTTTTTGCTCATTTCACCTATCTAGACTCTAAATTTTATTTTACGAACTTTTCAAATTTCTTTTAAAATTGTTTATTTTATCATTGTATAAAATCTTCAAATGACAATGTAGAGTGATTTTTTCCAAATATTTTTCTTTCTTTTTTGGAGACAGAGTCTCGATCTGTCGCCCAGGCTGGAGTGCAGTGGCACAATCTCCGCTCACTGCAAGCTCCGCCTCCCGGGTTCACGCCATTCTCCTGCCTCAGACTCCCTGAGTAGCTGGGACTACAAGCGCCCGCCACCACGCCCGGCTAATTTTTTGTATTTTTTGCGGAGACGGGGTTTCACCGTGTTAGCCAGGATGGTCTCGATCTCCTGACCTCGTGATCCACCTGCCTCGGCCTCCCAAAGTGCTGGGATTACAGGCGTGAGCCACCACGCCCAGCCCAAATATTTTTCTATACATACTCCATGTAAAGAGAAAGAGAAATCATTAGTTTTTTTCCTCAATAATTATTTGTAAGTAATTAACAGAAGTAGGCCTTAAAGTGAATTTAATTTACTGTTTTTATTTCTTAAAGTGAAATTTTGCTATAATTCCTAAAATTTGTAACTACAGGTAGGGTGATCATGCATTCCAGTTTTTCCAGGATAATCATAGTGATGGCAGTGGCAGCCCATCTGGAGTGGCTGCTGCGGGCAGGCCAGCTGCAGCAGGAGAGGTGTGACTGGGGCTGCATGCTCTGGGGAGTTGGTGGGGGCTGGGAACAGGTGATCCCAGAGGGAGCCCCGCATCCTACCAAGTTGGCTGGTCAGGAGCCCATGCTCCCAGGCAGAACTGCAGCCACCCAGCTGCAGCTCTGGACCTGGGCATCTCTGTGCTCTCAGGAGCCTGGAAAGATCCCTGCCCCTACAGGCTCAGAGGTGCCTGCTCCCACTCCCCAGCCTCTCCCCACTCCTGGTGCCCACTCCAGTGTGGAGCAAAGTTATAGCTGAGCCCAGGGGCTGTCGCAACCCAAGCTGCATGTGTGCGTGCTTAGGGTGGCACTGACATGCCAGCTCTTCCACCACTTTGGCCCCCTCTAAACTTTGGGGGCCAACGAGCTCAGGGAGGTGGGGAGGGCTGAGGGTGGCTTGTCGCAGGCCTGTGGGTACCCCTCAGCACGGACAGCATGGGTACCGCTAACAGCATGTTGATGGTGGTGGGAGGCAGACAGGTTCCTGGGCAAGGAGTGGGACCTCGCCCCACCTTCAAGTCAGGAACAGCCTGAAGCCTGGGGGCCTTATTGCCAGTTCTGGGTGGAGCCCACAACCTGGAGTGAGAACTTCATTGATGCCTTTCGGACAATCCAATGGTGCTTTTTCCATGTCCACCCATGTCTGCACATGGACCAATCAGCATGCACTTCCTCATTACAAGCCCATAAAAAAACCCAGATTCAGTCAGACTCAGACGCTCACTGGGACGACCTGCTTGTGGAAAGGAGCTACCTACTTTGGGTCTCTTGAGAGCTGTTCTGTCACTTAGTAAAGCTCCTCCCTGCCTTGCTCACCGTCCAGTTGTCCATATAGCCTCATTCTTCCTGGATGTGGGACAAGAACTTAGGACTCACTGAACAGCAGGAGCAAAGGGAGCTGTAACACGTTCCTGGCCAGCTTGCTGAGCTGTGGGTGGTGACATACCCCTGGACTACAAGAGTGAAGACTGGAAACCCTTCTGGGGGCCTAGACCTTGGGGTTCCCTGAGCCAGAGCTGCTGTAACACTTTAGCCCTTCCACCCTCCACGGGCGCCAGGTAGCCGCCCCACATGGCAGGAAGCAGTGGTGGGGCTGAGCCAGCCCAGAAGCTGCAAGCCAGAACAGGGCGGGCGGTGGGACTGAAAGTGCTATAACACAAATGGGCTGAAACCCTCTAAACATGCCGGCTCGCCCCCCGCCCTCCACAACGTGCTTACCACATTGCAGGCAGGCAGCCAGGAGAAAAGAGTTGAGGCCCGTCCTTCTGGGGGCCCAGACCTCGGGGCTCCCTGAGCCTGGGCTCTGACACAATGTAACAACATCTTCGGGGCTCTGCAGTTCCTGGCGTCTCCAAGTTTTAGGCGCCACCACGTTCCCCGGTGCCCACAGCAGAAGCCACTTGCGGTACACCTGGTCCAGACACAGCCTCACACAGAGCCAGTGGCTGTGCTGCTGCCTGGAGCTGCCCACCCCACTGCAGCCAATGTGCCTGGCTGTGCACAGTGACCGGACCCTGAGTTCACTCATGCACATACCCTTTGCCACCCTGCTCCCGGCTTGCCCTTGACAAGCGTGGGATCTGGATCGGTAGCGTGAGCCAATCACAGCCTGCTGGGTTGAGTGGGTGGAACGAACCCAGCAGGTGCGAGCAAAACTCAAGCAGAGGCGCCGCCGGCCACAGAGGTTTCGACTGTCCAAGCGACACCCTAAGGATCCTGTGACATTCATTTATACCTATTTTTTTCTGGTGTATCCTATTTACTTAATGGCCCTTTTACTCTCAAAAGTATATTGCTTTGGATGATAAATAATATGTTTATCCTAATATTAGGCAAATAATATCAACTCACAAATAAATAGTATTATGTCTTCAGATTCAACAAAACTTCACTTTTCTTGTCAGAAAAAATGTTATTTTTTTTAAATGCAACAGCTTAAGTTAAGCACATCTTTTAAAAAAACAGATGCTTCTTTCTATATAATTTTGAAAATAGTATTCTAAAGTGCAATTTTTGTAAAAATTTCACTTTTGGCAGTTTTCACACACAACCCCCTTACTAGAACCCTCTAGCTCTGGAAAACCAGGAAAATTGGAGTTAACAAAAATAAGTTTGAAAACAATACTGAACTACCAGGCAGCAAGAACTTAAGAAGCCACTTTTCCAGGCAAAAATGTCCAGAAAGGTAAGTGATCTTTGCCTCTACTTTTGCACCACAAGATATCTGGATTTTCCAAAGTGGAAGCTGATAAGGTGTGCACAGCTGGGGGAGTCTCAGATGGCTGGAGAGACAAAAGTCAGAGCTCAGGAATCACCAAAAAGGAAGGCCAGGTAAGCATTCCGGGTTTTCAGTTGGGATCTCTGAAAGGCTGCACCCTGGGAAAAATCATGAATCTAAACCAGATATGAGCTTCTAAAAAGCCCAGATTTGAATCAAACTAAATTTAAGAGATATAGTAAGATTCTCCCACCCCAGCTGCCTGTCAGAAGCAAACGTAAATTCTCTTGTGGAAGATAATATCATCCAGAGTCTCAAATTATCTCCATGAATTTTCTTACCCAATGTCTCACATTCAATTAAAGATAACCAGGCATAGAAAACAAGACACAATGAACATAAAATCAAGAAAATGTATAGACAATATATCCAGATATTGGATTTATCAGATATAAACTTCAAAATGACTGTGATAAGTTCAATACGTTTAACAAAAAGTTGAAGAAATTCATCAAGAAACTGAAAAATTCAAAAATTCAAATAGATATTCTAGAACTGAAAACAGTAAACAAAATTAAGACCTAAACAAAAGGGTTTAAGAGCAGAAATGAGTTAGGAAATTGAAGTATAGATAATTGAAAAATAACTAGATTGAAGCATCTCCATGCTTATCTTTCAAGCTAAAAAAAAAATACAGAAAATAGCTTAAGGCATATGTAGGGCATAGTGAAAAGTTCTAACCATACGACGTATTTGAGTCCCAAAAGGAAAAGAGAGGGAAAATGAGGTTGAAGCAATCTAAAAAGATTAATGGTGGGGAACTTTTTAAAAGGACAAAACACTACACCAAAGATTTAAGAAGTGCTACAAACGCTAAATAAGATAATTTCTTTTCTTAAAAAAAAATACACACTTATACTGTCACAGAATTGTTAAAAGGTTTTAAAAATTGAAAGCAGCCAGATGAAGAATAGACATATTTTCTTCAAAGGAGCAACAACAAGGCTGGGAGATGACTTTTTAACAGAAATAATGGAAGCCAGAGGATAATGGTTTCAAAAAGATGAAAGAAAATAACCCCCAATATAGAGTTCTATATCTAGCGGAATTAACCTTCAAAATAATGACAAATAAAATACACTTTCAAATAAAAACTCAAAATTTCAACAGCAAACTGCTCTAAGGTATTAAGTTTGATTGTGTTGTCATATATATATAACACTGAAATCAGAAATGGAAGATTATGCTTTCTTTTTTCAAGGGCACATGAAACATTTACCAAAATTGACTGTAAGCTGGGACACAAAACATGTTTCAACAAAGTTCAGAAGATTAAAAACATACAAATACATTATCTGAAAACAGTACCACTAAGCTCAAAAGCAACAATACAGCAGTAATTATTTTTTCTTGTTTAGAAATTAAGTGATGCATTGCTATATAAGCCATTGATCAAACGCAAATCACAATGGAAATTACAAAGTATTTTTAACCGAATAAAAATATTTATATTGATACTTGTGGGATTTGGCTAATGCCAAAATTAAAGGGACATATACAGCTTTAAATGAATACCCCAGAAAAGAAGCAAGGCTAACAACCAATGACCTAAGCACTAATCTCAGGAGTTTTACTTGGGTTTATTTTTAAAATGCATGGTTTGTTTAGTGGTTAAAAAAAAATCATAATAAACTAGGACTTGAAGCAGTTTTTCTTAACTCAATAAAATATATAACCCATATACGTTTATTTTATTTTATTTTACTTATTTATTTATTTATTTTATTATACTTTAAGTTCTAGGGTACATGTGCACAACACGCAGGTTTGTTACATATGCATACATGTGCCATGTTAGTGTGCTGCACCCGTTAACTCGTTATTTAGCATTAGGTATATCTCCTAACGCTATCCCTCCCCCCTACCCCCATCCCCCAGCAGGCCCTGGTGTGTGATGTTCCCCACCCTGTGTCCATGTGTTCTCATTGTTCAGTTCCCACCTATAAGTGAAAACATGCAGTGTTTGGTTTTCTGTCCTTGTGATAGTTTGCTCAGAATGATGGTTTCCAGCTTCATCCATGTTCCTGTAAAGGACATGAACTCATCCTTTTTTATGGCTGCATAGTATTCCATGGTGTATGTGTGTCACATTTTCTTAATCCAGTCTATCACTGATGGACATTTGGGTTGGTTCCAAGTTTTTGCTATTGTGAATAGTGCCACAATAAGCATACATGTGCATGTGTCTTTATAGCAGCATGATTTATAATCCTTTGGGTATATGCCCAGTAATGGGATGGCTGGATCAAATGGTATTTCTAGTTCTAGATACTTGAGGAATTGTCACACTGTCTTCCACAATGGTTGAACTAGTTTACAGTCCCACCAACAGTGTAAAAGCATTCTTATTTCTCCACATCCTCTCCAGCACCTGTTGTTTCCTGACTTTTTAATGATCGCCATTCTAACTGGTGTGAGATGTGTATAACCCATATACATTTTATCATAAAATAATCCCATTTATAATTGCATACAAATATTCTTTAAAAATCTATCAATAATAAATAAATAGAATTTGCAAGAGAAATTAAAGACCTAGTGTGCATGCAAACACACCACACACACACACACACACAGGCACACACACAGCAAGCATATTTATGATAAAATATTGAAAGCTTTCCCCTTAAGACTGAGAAAAAGACAAGATGTCTGCTATCAAAAACCCTATTCAACCTTGTGGTGAATATCCTGGCCATTGGTCTAAGGAAAAAAAGGATAAGGATTGCAAATAAAGATATAAAATTCATGTTATTCAGAAATTACAAGATTGTGAATTTTAAAAATCCAAACAAATTCTATAGAAAAACCACTAGAATTTAGAATTTAGGAAAATTGCTGGAAACAAGGTAAATATAACAGATTAATTTTATTTGTATGTACCAGTATCAATTAGAAGATAAACATTTAAAAATGATCTCATGTATAATAGCATCAAAAATACTTTTTAATCTACCAATAATAAATAAATAAAATTTGCAAGAGAAATTAAAGAAGACCTAGTTAAATAGCAAGACATACCATATTAATGGATATAGGAAATCTCAATTTGTCAAGGCATCAAATGTCAATTCTCCCCAAATTTATAGATTTAATGCAATACAATCTCTCAGCAGGTGTGTGTGTGTGTGTGTGTAAATTGAAAAGCTGAACCTAAAATTTATGGAAATACCTGGGAAATAAATGTTTAGAAAAATACAAAAAACAAAGGTGAAAGATATACATTATCAGATATCAAGACCTATAATTAAGCTAGAGTAATTAAGACAATATAATACCAATGCAAAGATTAACAAATAGTCTGTGAAAAAGAATAGAGAATCTAGACATAGATTCAAACATAAATGAATGCTTTATTACTGTCATATGTGTTTATGACTAAGGAGTACTGGGGAAAGAATAGTCTTTTTAACCTTATGTATTTATTTTATTTTGAGACAGAGTCTCACTCTGTTGCCCAGGTTGAAGTGCAGTGGTATGATCTCGGCTCATTGTGGCCTACCTCTGTAGCCCAAGTGATCCACCTGCCTCAGCCTCCTAAGTAGTTGGAACTACAGGCACATTCCACCACACCTGGCTAACTTATTTTTTATTTTTTTGATAGAGACAGAATCCGTATGTTGCCCAGGTTGATCTTGAGTTCCTGGGCTTAAGTGATCCTCCCACATCAGCCTCCCAAAATGCTGAGATCACAGGCATGAGCCACTTTGCCTGGCCAGGATGGTCTTTTTATAAGTCGTGCTGGGTCAATTGGATATGATAAAATAAAACCTTACTCTTACATCATTCCATATACAAAAATTAACTTTTATAGTAAAAAACATAAAGATTCTGGAAGATAATATAGGAGAATATATCCATAAATTTGGGATATTAAGAAAATTCTGAATCCAGACACAGAAAATACTATCCACAAAGGAAAATATTTACAAACTGAACTATATTAAAATTAGAAACTTCTTTCCAACACAAAATACCATTAAGAGTGTGAAAAGGTAAGCCATAGAGCAAGAAAAGACAGTTGCAACTTTTTTCTATCTCTAAACTCCTACAAATTATTTTTTTTAAAGAGAAAACACATAAAAGAGTATATTCAAATGCTCAGTAAAGTTAGGAAAAGATCAACTTCATCATTCATCAGAAAAATGTAAATCAAACTTCAGAAAAGAAGCTATATCCTGATGATAATGATTTAAAATAATAACAATACAAAAGATGGTTATTACCACACGTTGACTGGGAAGAAGAGCAAATAGCCAGGCGCGGTGGCTCATGCCTGTAATCCCAGCACTTTGGGAGGCTGAAGCGGGCGGATCACCTGAGGTCAGGAGTTCGAGACCAGCTTGGCCAACATGGTGAAACCCCATCTCTATGAAAAATACAAAAATTAGACGGGCGTGGTGGCAAGTGCCTGTAGTCCCAGCTCAGGCGGCTGAGGCAGGAGAATCTCTTGAACCTGGGGGACAGAGGTTGCAGTGAGCCGAGATCACACCACTGCACTCCAGGCTGGGCGATAGAGTGAGACTCTGTCTGAAAAAAACAAAACGAAACGAAACAAAACAAAAACCTCTTGTGCTCTCATTGGGAGTGTAATCAGCACAACTACTTTGTAAATGAATGAATTGCTACCATACACAACAACATTAATGAACCTAGCAAACCTGGTATTGAGCAAAAGGAGGTAGGCACAAAAGAACACTGACTTGTGCGATTCCCTCTATATAAAGTTCACAACCCAGCAAAACTGCTTTATGGTGTACAGTCAAGATGTGGCTGTACAAGATGTGGCTTCCTTCAGGAAGGAGGGGATTTGTACCTGGGATTGGACATGAGAGGGATTCAGTGATGCTAATAATGTTCTACTTTTTGATCTGGGTGGTGGTTACAGAGGAAAGTATACTTTGTGCTGTGCACTTGTCTGTATGTCCATTTATAGTTCAGTGGAGAGCTTCGACTCAAAAAACAAAAATTGTAGAGAACAACCAGAGTCAAGAGACAGCCTATGGAATGAGAGAAAATATTCTCGTACCGTATATGTGTTAAGGGGTTAATATCCAAAGTACATACAGACCCCAAACAGCTCAATAGCCAGAAAACAAATAACCTGATTAAAAATGGGTAAAGGACCTGAAAAGTCATTTCTCAAGACAGGACATAGAAATGGCCAACAGGTATGTGAAAAAATGCTTAACATAACTAATCACCAAGGAAATGCAAATCAAAACCATGATGAGATATCACCTGACACCTGTTAGGATGGCTATTTTTAAAAATAAGAAAGATAAGTGTTGGCAAGGATGTGGAGAAAAGAGAACACGTGTACACTGTTGGTGGGAATGTAAATTAGTACAGCCATTATGGAAAACTATTTGGAGATTCCTCATAAAATTAAAAATAGAACTACCATATGAACCAACAATACCAATCCTAGGTGTGTGTTCATAGAAAATGAGATCAATATATCAAAGACCTATCTGCATTCCCATATTCATCGTAGCATTATTCACAATAACAAAGCTATGGAATACGGAATAAGCCCACGTGGCTCTAAGTGGATGAACAGATAAGGAAAATGTGGTACATATACACAATGGGAAACTATTCAGCCTTAAAAAAGAAGGGAACTCTGTCATTTGCAACAACATGGACAAACTGGGAAATATTAGGTGAAATGAAGTAAGCCAGGCACAAAAATACCACATGATCTCACTTATATGTGGAATCTAAAAAGTCGAACTCGTAGAAGCAGAGAGTAAAGTGGTGGTTACCAGAGGTAGGGTGGTAGAAGGATTGAGGAAAGGTTGGTGAAAAGATTAAAAATTTTCAGTTACACAGGAGGAATAAGTTTAGATCTATTGTACAACATGGTGATTATAGTTAATAACAATATGCTATTATTATATATATCATGTACTTGAAAATTGCTAAGAGAGTAGATTTCAAATGCTCTCACCAAAAAATAAGTATATAAGGTAATATATATGTTAATTAGCTTGATTTAGCCATCCCACAATGTGTACGTAGATCAAAACATCATGTTATACACCATAAATACATACAACTTTTACTTGTCAATTAAAAAATTGAAAATTAAAAAAATTTGAAAACTTTTAAGTAAATTGTTGGTATACCAGAAGAAGGTGAAATTACTTCATTAATGTAATTCCTCCAAGTGTGTGCTATTTACCAAAATACACACTGCTCTTAATATCCTGAAAAGCTGGATGTTGCTATTAAGTGCCATATGTTTTCTTATAATTCATTAAGGCTATAGTTTTTTTATATTGTATTGTAGGCTATTAAACTGTTTACTCTTTTTTTTTTTTTTTTTTTTTTGAGACGGAGTCTCGCTGTTGCCCAGGCTGGAGTGCAGTGGCCCGATCTCGGCTCACTGCAGGCTCCGCCCCCCAGGGTTCACGCCATTCTCCTGCCTCAGCCTCTCGAGTAGCTGGGACTACAGGCACCCGCCACCTCACCCGGCTAATTTTTTTTTGTATTTTTAGTAGAGACGGGGTTTCACCGTGTTAGCCAGGATGGTCTCGATCTCCTGACCTCGTGATCCGCCCGCCTCGGCCTCCCAAAGTGCTGAGATTACAGGCGTGAGCCACCGTGCCCGGCCTAAACTGTTTACTCTTAAAGAAGTCCAGCAACAAAACGAAAAATTGTAGACTTTCTGCTGTTGGGTTAGGAAACAAAACACATGAGAAACTTACCAATGCACTCCCAAATTGGAGTCAAAAGGTGTTTATTTTTTACCCCTTCCAAACCTGCTGCTCTTGCTGTTTTATTCCAGTGAATGGCACTGCCTCCATCTGGTTTTCAAGCAAGGACTGAGAGTTTTCTGTGATGGTCTCCCTTTTCCTCAACCTACAACACTCAGTTAATCCTGTCTTCCCGTCTTCTTTTTTGAAAAAATTTATTTTGGCTGGGCACGATGGCTCATGCCTGTAATCCCAGCACTTTGGGAGGCTGAGGCTGGCGAATCACGAGGTCAGGAGTTCGAGACCAGCCTGGACAACATGGTGAAACCCTGTCTCTACTAAAAGTACAAAAAATTAGCTGGGCATGGTGGCAGACGCCTGTAATCCCAGCTACTCAGGAGGCAGAGGCAGGAAAATCACTTGAACCCGACAGGCGGAGGTTGCAGTGAGCCAAAATCATAATACTGTACTTCAGCCTGGGCGACAGTGCAAGACTCCATCTCAAAAAAACAATTACTTTATTATGTATTTATTTATTTATGTTTGAGACAGAGTCTTGCTCTGTCACTGGGGCTGGAGTGCAGTGGCACGATCTCGGCTTACTGCAACCTCCGCCTCTTGGACTCAAGAATTCTCCTGCCTTAGCCTCCCAAGTAGCTGGGACTACGAGTGTACACCACCATGATGGACTAATTATTTATTTATTGTATTTTTAGTAGAGACAGGGTTTCACCATGTTGGCCAGGCTGGTCTCAAACTCCTGACCTCAAGTGATCCGCCTGCTTCTGCCTCCCAATGTGCTGGGATTACAGGCATGAGCCACCATGCCTGGCCAATCGTGTCTTCTTGTATTCTCCCTCTCAAATTCACTTACATCTCTCCACGCCCTCCACCTCATCCATAATCAGGTCACCGCCATCAGCTTCAAGGGGGTTCCTGCATTAGCCTCCAACCTCCAGTCCTGCCTCTGCTATCCACTCTCCCTTGAACCCTTGAGCACCCACTGGGCTCTTTGACGTCACCTCTGTTGAACACTTCTGTGGCTCTTCAGCCAGCCTGTAGGATGGGGTCAAAACTTCTTTTTTTTTTTTTTTTTATTATACTTTAAGTTTTAGGGTACATGTGCACATTGTGCAGCTTAGTTACATATGTATACATGTGCCATGCTGGTGTGCTGCACCCATTAACTCGTCATCTAGCATTAGGTATATCTCCCAGTGCTATCCCTCCCCCCTCCCCCCACCCCACAACAGTCCCCAGAGTGTGATATTCCCCTTCCTGTGTCCATGTGATCTCATTGTCCAATTCCCACCTATGAGTGAGAATATGCGGTGTTTGTTTTTTTGTTCTTGCGATAGTTTACTGAGAATGATGATTTCCAATTTCATCCATGTCCCTACAGAGGACATGAACTCATCATTTTTTATGGCTGCGTAGTATTCCATGATGTATATGTGCCACATTTTCTTTGAAAACTGGCACAAGACAGGGATGCCCTCTCTCACCACTCCTATTCAACATAGTGTTGGAAGTTCTGGTCAAAACTTCTTAACAAGGCTTAAGCGACCTTTCCTGACTTCCCCCTTGCCTCCACCCTGTTCCCACCCAGCTCAGGCTCACTGCAAACCTGGTGAGCTCCTACAGTCTTCCAAAGCTCCAGACTCTGCACATGCCCTTCCTCTTCTCTGAAACAGTCTTTCCTAATCATCTCAAGACCCAAGTGAGCATCCCTCCTAGGACCTCCAGGATGTCACCCTATCCTTCCCCCACCACAGCACACATCACACTTTCTAGTAACTGAGTGTTTGCTTATGTGAGCACAGGGACTGTGTCTGTGTGTTCATTGCTCTGTGCCTGTGCCCAGCGCAGTGGCTGACATGTGGTACCTCCTTGACGTGGCATCCAGTGAGTCCAGTGTTTGATAATATCTGTTAAAGAAGAGCTTGGCAAGTGGAAGAGTATGAATTGTGTCCCCGCACCACTCCAATTCATATGTTGATGTCCTAATCCCCCAGTAATTGAGAATGAGACTTTATTTGGAAATAGGGTTAGAGTAGATGCAATTAGTTACTATGTGATGAGGGGGTACCAAGGTGGCTCCTATTTCAAGATGACTGGTGTCCTTATAAAAAGGGAACATTGAGACATGAACAGGAACACAGAGAGAACACCATATGAGCACCAAAGATTGCCAGCAAACCACCAGAAGCTGGGGGAGAGGTCTGGACAGACGCCTTGCCCAGCCCTTAGAAGGACTTAAGCCTGTGCACACCTTGCCTTTGATCTTCCAGCCTCCAGATCTGAGACAGTAAGTTCCTGATGTCTCAGCCACTCAGTTCGTGGTATTGTACTACAGCAGTACTAGGAAACTAACACAGATAGGAAAGGGAATGATGATCAAAGGAACTCTGAAGCAATTACTAGTTTTTCTTTTTGTCTTCCCCATGCACAGCTGCTGAAAGCCGCATTTTAAACCTGAGAGCCTGTCAGGACACACAGAGGCATCCATGGAAAGCCTGTTTTGCGTGTGAACAGCTGGGAGCTGGCCCATGCTTCTTCAGTTCTGTGCTTTTTGGTCTACAGACTGATTTCTGTCATACTGAAGCAATCCTCACAATGTTCACAAGAATTCTGGACAGAAATACAATTATAATTGAGCATGAATCAGGCTGCTCTTTGACCCACTTCCTTGTAACTAAAAGTCATGTAGCACTAGATACTGACCATTCGCTAGATATCAACCACTCGCTAGATACCGACCACTCGCTAGATACTGACCATTCGCATCCCCACTGTTCCCATAGATAGCATCTCTGATGTTAGAATCAGAAGGCTTTTGTTTAAGAATTGCTTAGGCAGATCCTGAATTCTGGTGGAACAGCTGATGCCAACCAGTTTGAAGAGCCCCACAGAGGAACTGAACTGGCATGAGAATACAATGGCTTCCTCTCCCCATCCCATGACTTCACCTTGTACTCTTGACCAATCAACAATCTCCACACTTCATGCTACTCCAACCCTTTAAAACCCTCCTAGGGGAGATGGATTTGAAGTCTCCCCGTCTCCTCGTTCAACGGTGCTACAATTAAACCTTTCTCTCTGCTGCAACCCAGTGTTTCGGTGTATCGACTTGCCATGCGTCAGGCAATGGATCTATATGAAGAGGCATTCTTCAGACCTCCAGACACTGGCTAACCAGCATTTACTGTAAATCAAGAGGTTTACACTTGCCAACTGAAAACGCAGGTTGAAGAAATGGAGCTGAATTCCAGGTAAGCTGCAGTCAGGTTGAGGCAGCACAGTGGAAACTGTAGGCTATGCCCAGGGCTTTACACACCATCTCACTTAACCTCCCCAGCATTCCTCATTATCAAAGGATAGTTTGCTTCTCAGCTGCTCTGTAGTTAAGGACCAAATTCTCAAGCATCCCTACTTACAGTGGGCATGACGTTGAGCTTTCTTAGTAGGGCCTCGCCTGCTGATCACTTCCCTGCAGCTCCCTCGACACTATGCCAGCAGCTCCAGGCCTCCAACCCACAGCAACACCACGTGTCCTCTGCAAGCCTGTTAACACTCTCTGCTTGCCCAGCACTTGTGGACCAGCTTTGACCCAGGCAATCCGGCGAACTTCTGTGTCATCCAGGAGTGGCAAGCACACCTTCTCTCTCTTCCAAGTTCACCTTGCTCGGGCATGCTCCTGCAGCCTCAGGAATCATAGAGGGATTTTGTTACAGGTATTTACTTGCTTAAAAGAACTAAATAATTCACTGCTGTTTAAATTATTGTGTAGTCCCATTTCCATCCCTGGCTGGACCCAGACTCATACACACAGGAAAGTGGGGATGGCTGTATATTCATTTTGAGATGAGAAAACTGACATGCTGAGAAATCAACAGATTTGGTAAAAAACACACAGCTATGGTTATTTCTGCAACCCGAGCCCTCCCTCTGCTGCAGGGCTACCTGGCACAGCGTGCCCTGTGTGTGATCTCCATACAGTTTCGTGTTGCTCACTGACATCTGGGTATGTGAATGTTGCTTGTTAGTGGGTGGGAGCCTCTTTTATTTATTTGCTTCATTAAGGTGCATAATATATGTCAGTTCCTCAAGAGCATGACCAGGTCTCTGGGAGTCAAACAATTGATCTTCAGGCAGAGTGGGAAGGACAAATGAGCTGGATGGTTTTCCAATTGTTCATACACTCATTCCAAACACATTCATCGAGGAAAATCTCCTCCCTTCTCCCCAAGTCAGCAGCAGAAGAGAAACTTCTGAGGAATAAGACCCTTCTTACTCCTCATGGGAACACTCCCACCATGCTGCTGTCTTTGCTCAGCACTTTGGGTTTGGGGTTGATGGTTAATTTTCTGTGTAACTTGTTTAGGCTATGGTGCTAAGTTGTATGGTCAAACCCAAATCTAGATGTTGCTGTGATGGTATTTTGTAGTTGGATTAACATCCGCAATCGTTTGACTTTAAGTAAAGCAGATGACCCTCCATAATGTGGGTGGGCCTCATGTGAGCAGATGAAGACCCTGAGAGGAAAACCAGAGGTTTCCCAGAGAAGAGGGAATTCTGCCTCCAGACTGCAACATGGAAATCCTGCCTGCACTTCCAGCCTGCTGGTCTACCCTGGAGATTTCAGACTCACCAGCCCCCACAATTGCATAAGCTGATTCCTTAAAAATACATTTCCTTGCATATCTCCAAGAGATGCTGTTTGTCTGGAGAGCCCTGAGTGACATCGAGGCAGTCACCATCCAGGAGATGATCAAGCAGCCATTGCTAGTAACAGAAGCAGCTCCATCATTAAAATCCTCGGGGTGGCTAAATCCAGAAGAACTTCCAGGTCACTTTCTAGTGCCACCTGGAGAGTTTGTGGAGGACAAGGTGGCATGTGTCCAACGGAGGACAGGACGGGGGTGGGCAGTTTAGCAGCTCCCTGCTGGGAAGCTCAACAAGCTCAGAGTAACCATATTGAGGGGCTCTGGGGTCCCTGGGCTGGAGAGACTTCAGGCGCCCTGAGGACAGAGGTGTTCCTGGTGAGCTCAGGGACCCCAGCAAAGTCCTTGGCACAGAACAGAGGGAGGCAGGGAGCTGGGCAATAAAAATAAATCCCTGGGCACCTGGTACAGTGAGGCCCTGAGCTACGAAAAGTGTGGCTAATCCCTGGGTTCTGGTACAGGTTTAGAAGT
This sequence comes from Homo sapiens, assembly GCF_000001405.40. Classification (NCBI taxonomy): domain Eukaryota; kingdom Metazoa; phylum Chordata; class Mammalia; order Primates; family Hominidae; genus Homo; species Homo sapiens. The sequence goes on from NC_000002.12 coordinate 105,539,280, forward strand.
GTCGTGCCACAGTGACTCTGAAGCTGTGAAGAAATTATAGTTAACAACTAGTGCCAAATCTTTAAACAAGAGTCAGCAAACTATGGCCCATGGACCAAATATGACATGCCTCTTATACTTTATGTCCTGTCAGAATGGTTTTCACATTTTGAAGAAAAACTACTTTGTGGCATATGAACAGTCTATGAAACTCAAATTCCAGTGCTCAGGAATGACATTTTGTTGGAACCCAGTCATACCCGTTCCTTTGTGTATCGTCTGCAGCTGCCTTTATGCTACGATGGCAATGCTGAGTAATGGCGGCAGAGACCACTTAGCCCATGCTTAAAATATTTACCAGTCTGGCCTCTTACAGAAAGAAGCTCCTGCATTAAAACATCATAAAGCATTTTGTCTTCCTGGGAGGATTATAATTAGTGCGCCCTGTCATAGGCCCATAGCGTGATAAAATCAATAAATAAACAAGGATGCTCTTAGAAGTTTTCAACACATAAAAAATTCCAAGAAAGAAAAGCAATACAAATATTTTAATAAAAAAATGTGGTCACCTAACTCACAGAGGAACATGCAATGTTAAGTGAAAGTCCTAACCCCTGTACGGAAGCATTGTTGGGTGCTGTGAGCTTAGCAACATATGGTGATTTAATGCTACTGTAGAAGGGAGAGGTGGTTTTTAAGCACTGGTTTTAAAAGTGGCAAATCCAAGGCCAAAAGTCAGGACATGCCTTTGCCTGTCAGTGGGCACAGAACCCAGGACTGACCAGGTGGGTCCCCTGTCCTCAGAGATGCCACCTTGCCCTCTCCAATGAGGGGACTGTAAGAGTGGCTTGGTCCAAAATCATTTCCTTCTGGAGAGATCAAGTACAAGTGTTGCCACGCTCTTGACAGTTCCAAATGCAACTCTCTCCTTCTTCATTCCAAAGTGAGGAGGCTACTGGAGTGGAATTTCTGCCTGTGGAGGGAGAAAGGGGCAGTGAGCAAAGGCTGTCACCCTGCTCAAGTTCTGGCCTCTTCTCTGTTGTCTTTGCAACAGGGAGATACTACCGTGATTAAGCAGTGACCCTCTGGCTAATTGAGTAGACTAATCTCTTGCAGTTGGAACAATATAAACCCAGGGTATGGAGGAACCTTGAAAGTCCTCAATACCACCCTAAAAACCACCTCTAGTTGGAAAGAACAAAACTACACAGAGTGTAATTGATACCTACGGAAGCCCCAACACTTCAGCCCTTGGTTTCTGGGCATCTCTTCTGTGTCTTAATCTCCAAGGCCTGAGGGCTGTCCCATCCTCCTGCCCAATATAGATTATGAGCACAGAATTAAAGCACATGCACAAAGAGGGAAAGAATTGAATCAGTTTTCGAACGATGCTTCAGTTTGAAAATATGGCTTTCTTCATAAAATGTGTAGATAATTAAGGGAAAATATTATCTTAAAAAATATATTCATTTTCTTTTTTTTTTTTGGTTACATGCCTTTGACTTTCTGGGCATGTGTCTTCTGATTTAAAATAACAATAACAACAGTGTCATCACAGGAAATGAGCTTAAAAGGAAATGAGCCAGCTCGGAGCTTGGCCTAATCACTAGGAAATGGCCCTCATCTTTTCTGTAGGTTATCAATCCCCTAGCTCATCAGTGGCCCCTAAGAAATGCTGTGCCTTGTGGCATAATTATGCTTAATCATGTAGACTGTTGAGTAAACTTATGCTTATGCCTTTCCTGTTCCATGTTAGGTGTTATCCATTCAATTCCACTTCTTTGCAATGGTGAAGCCCCGTTTTGATGATACCTTCTTTTTGTAAATAGCCTTTTTTGCAGATTAATGCAGGGTCTACTGCACCTTGGCCCAAGTGGCCTCAGTTAATATTTGATGAATGAGTAAATGAATGAATGAATTAATAAACCCATCTGGATTTCAGGACCCTGATATCAGCAGGAGACGAGTAGAAGGAGGAGCCTTTGAAGTCAGCAGTGTCAGCTGGCTGGCAGGGGCCAGGTCATTGCCCTGGCTTGCTTCGTAGAGACTGTTCCAGTGACAAGTTCCTCATAGCGGGGTGAAAACGGAGGTGGGGAGAAGTCATTTCTTAACTCACCCCTGGGAAGCCCAGGGCAAATAGCAGGTGCCTTCCCCCATGACCCTCTCTGTCTCCGAGGCCCACTCCCATGGCCTTCCTTGTCTCTTGCAGGTGCATCTCTGCCTTCAGTATCAGGGATCAGGGGAGACTGTTGTCAGGGTGTGGTGGGTGTCACCAAAATCCTCATCCTCCTGTGTGGCAGCCCCGCCTAGAACGAGGTTGCAGTCAGGGAATCTGCCTGCCCCACGTTGGAAAAAGCAGGCACAGAGGATTCTTTGGAAGTGAAAATGCCCATAGAAAATTTCACAAGGTCTCGGAGGATGTGCTTGAAGTCCAGGGTGCGGTGTGCCTGTGGCTGATGTTTTAGGGGAGGAGAGTTCTCTATGGATGCAGCAGCTGTTATTGCTGGGTGGATTTGCTTCACACCCTTTGTTGATTCACAGCCTCAACATGCACACAGGTGAGCAGTAGCAACTGCCCTCTCCTCCGCCCTTTGTCACATTCCATCCAACACCAGTTGCTGTCTCTCTCATTCCAAGCTGTCTCCTAGGCCTGCTAAGCAATATACTAGCAATTAGTGGTGACTGAGTCACACCTAAGTATTTCAGCTTCTTTCCTGTATTCTATAGTGGCGTTCCCTCCTCTTCGTCTCCTGTCCCTCCTGCACAAGGCACTCTGTAGCAAACATTAATCTGATCCCATTAAACAATGCAATGCCCTCTACATTGCCTGGGGACAGGTCTGAAGAGATGCTTGCAGCCTGCCTTGAGTGCAGCCTGGCCTCGATCTCCTCAGCCATGCTCTGACCACCATGGCCATTTGGCCTTCCTGTCACCATCCCAGGCTTCCACTTGCGTCCTAGGCTAGTTGGGTTTAGTCCGCATCTACCTCCTCTCTCCTTTTGCTGATTTCTCGGAAGCGCGGCTGACAAATTGCTCCTTTCCAAAGCAATCCTGTCTTCTGTATGTTTTTTCTAAAGCCCTTCTTACCAACCACTGTCCCAGCACCATATGATGACTTAGTGACATGCCTTTTTACCTCACCCTCCACTGACCAGGAGCCAAATGTATAACACAATTCCTGACCTGTGCTTGGAGGGTGGTGGAACAGGCCACCCCAAAATAGGTCACTTTGGCAGAAGGATTCTCTTGAGCTGAAGGCACTTGAGAAATAGCAGATACAGGAAGGGCATTCGAATCACCCCTTTTCTTCCTAAAAACAAGGGATAAAAATCTCCCACGTGAAAAATGTACTCTCTGTAAAGGGAGAAAAGAATCATTCTTCTATGGGGAGTCGTAGTTGAAAGAATTCTGCATAAACAGACCTTTTTAAAAATAGTTCTTATTGGCCAGGCGTGGTGGATCATGCCTGTAATCCCAGCATTTTGGGAGGCCAAGGTGGGCGGATCACTTGAGGTCAGGAGTTCGAGACCAGCCTTGCCAACATGGTGAAACCCTGATCTCTACTAAAGATACAAAAATTAGCCAGGCACAGTGGCATGTGCCTGTAATCCCAGCTACTCGGGAGGCTGAGGCAGGAGAATCGCTTGAACCTGAGAGGCGGAGGTTGCAGTGAGCCGATACGGCACGATGGCACTCCAGCCTGGGTGACAGAGTGAGATTCCATCTCAAAGAAAAAAAAAATTAGTTCTTCTCTTCGTTTAGTCTCCCCACATGGTTGAGTCACTTGTCCACAATTCCCATTCAGTATACAATGTTCAACTCTAACCCCATCCTTGGGTGTCCATTTCCTTATGAGGGTTCTTGAGTCAGATAAAACTTAAATTACATTTGTTTGCTTTTCTCCAGTCAATCTATGTCAATTTAATTCTCAGGCCCAGCCAGGGACCCTAAGAGGGTAGATGTAAAGTTTTTCCTCCCCTACATGCTCAATAAATAAACACTGAGTGAACCTGAGGCCCAAAAGGTGTATGTGAGAGATGGTACCTTCCAGATTTCCTTGTAACATAAGAAAGCTAGGGCTGTGACATATGTCCAAGTCCCTCTCTTAGAGGTTCTGGCTTAACCAATTGTTACAAGGCCCCCCAGGTGATGGTGAGGTGCAGCAGTAATTAAGAAGAGGGCCTCTCCCCATATTGGACGATGAGAAAATTGAAGCCAGCAGAGCCTAAACAACTTGACCAAGCATGCAGTTAGTAAATGGCAGAGCCCAGGATGGAATGCAAATGCCTCAACTCTCATTGTCAGGAAGGAAGTAGCTGAAATATCCAAGTGCACCAGATAGAGTCCCAAAGGAACCTGCCACCATCAAGGTGGGGCAATTCAAAGAGGGTCTGGTTCACAGAAAGATAGTTTTCAATGGCTGTTGTGTAGGAGAAACACACAGGACACTATGCTGTTCCAGAGCTGGTGGTGGCCACACAGTTACCACCCTAGGCTGGAAGATACCTGGGAAGAGGGCAACTGCCTGAATCTGGAAGGAGGGAGATTAGTGTAGAGTTGGCTTGAGAGGAAAGTAAAGTTTGGCTGAGGAACTCGGGCTGCCCAAGGTGACCTTGCAAGAGAAAACAAGTAGAAAAACACCCTGATTCACTCTCCACTTCCCCTATCTCTGCCATCCTCAACTTCTGCAGGGGCTCCCTCTTGACTAAACCCAATCAGAAGCTGGGGGTCATGGACACCCTACTGATGTAGTTCATGCAGGACCCCTTCTGGGGCAGAGTACGATGGAAAAAGATGAGGAGCGGATCCAAGGGACCAATAGAAGATTCCAGCACATAAAACTATGTACTTAGGAAACTTTCAAGAATGGTCATGGTAAGTATAATTCCAATTCCTTTTTGGAAGCCATTTGGGCAAACCGCTAGGCCAGTGCTCATTCATGTTCAGTATCTAATGGACACAGGAACTCTCTTCTGCTTTCTCCACGGTTGTCACCTCTCGCCTCTCACCCAGGTTCTTATTTTATACACAGTTGTCCACTTGATTGAGGCAGCCCTTGATTATGATTCCCAGAATATTTTATAGGAAAGAACATGAGACAATGGACTCACAGACTGGAGCCTAGATGTCCGGTGGGCAAGCAGCAGCCCGCTGACTCAATTTCCATGACTTTGAAATGGGGAAGATAGAGTTGCTACACTACCTCCTAATGGGCACGTTACGAGGCCTAAGCAAGGGGCTTTAAAAAGCTTTATGGAAAACAAGGACAAAGTTACACATCATGAATGCACCACTGGGGAAGAAATTTTCCTCTACAATGAAAGGTCTTGCTGCTAACTTATTCTATGCAACTAATGGTTGTTGGAAGCACAGACCTTTAAGCTCTGCCCTTGAAATCTTAACTCATTCAACATCACAACGCGCAAATGAGGCAGGCCACATTAATTGCAGCTGATGGATGAGAAGGTGAGTCCCTAGGGGCTGAGTAACTTGAGCGGCCCCAGGAAGTCTGGCTGCTGGGATGCAACAGGGCACAGCTCTGAGCCCTTGTTCTTCATCTGCTGGTGTGGTCAGCCTGGAAAGGGGGTCCTGAGAACGAGGGAACACATGTGAGTGCTTAGGACCGGGGCTGGCATGGAGTGGACAGTTGGTAGCTATTCGTTATTAACTTTCCTGTTTGTTGTAACTTCTGAAAAACATTGACAAACTTGGGCATACCTGGCCAATGGCAAAATATGCCTCACTCAGATTCCGTCACAGCCCTGTGGTGATGGGGTGATGTCAGCCTTATTCTGAAGAACTAGAGCTCACTTCAGGGCAGCGGAGAGGAGTGGAGCTAGAACCACAGAGCTATCCTTGTGTTTGAAAAGGTGGCAGGCTTTTCTTCTTGACGAGAAAGGTCACTGGAATTTGTGCTTTATCAGCAAAATGCCGCCTGTCAGGACATTGAGTTTTTGCTTCATCTACCACCTAAATGTGCTTCTTTTAGCCACATGGACTTTCCTGGTCCTGTCTTCCATGTTAGTTCCCATTGCTCAACAAGGCAGTTAACTCCTCACGGGCGGGGACATTTTATTTCTAATACATCTGATCTGAAACACTACCAAAGACATTGGATGGGTGTGCAGCGTGTTTACTATTATCCCTCTCAAATTGCATGTGAGTTTCCTTCTTGAGTATCTTATATTCTAGACAGGCCCCAGGAACCCCTCATCCTTAAAGAAACGTGCGTATCTTTCAGGGGATGGGCTGTGGCTCTAGTCGGAACTGAGTCTGAATTCTGGCTTCGAGACGGTTCTCAGTTCTGAGGGCTTCAGCCACTCATTGAACCTCCCTGAACGGGACAGGAGCCTGAGGGCTGAGGATAATTCATGGAAAGCACTTAGCACAGTCCCTTCCTGCAGAATGTCCTTAAAACGATGCCATCATTTCCCTTCCTAAGCGTTCTCTCCCTTCCTATTTTGCTCCTCTTGTTATTCATGCAGTCTCTCAAAATAGAAGAGACTCATAAAACGTTGAGGAGATCCTGAGATCATTGTCCTAAACCTCTATCAGCCCATGCAATAATACACTGAATATTTTTCCCCTCCTTTTCTCCCAATTCAGATCGGTTCCTGCAGGTGGAAGAGCCTGCCAGTGGTTTCCCACCCTAGCTGGGGCGCCATCTCCTGGTCATCTCGGGAAGATACAGGTGTCTTATTCACTAAGCCTTTCTAGCCACAACAAGCAAATGTTCAATTCCAGTATTATTACCACATACTTTTAAAAGAAATAGGCAGAAGAGCAACCCAGATAGAATATTGGGGTTTTTGTATCTTGGCATCTTTGTTTTAACTTACCACAGTACTGGGGATGAGAGATAAAATGTATAAATTTATTTATTTATTTTATAAAATGGCTTTCATCTGAACAGTTGAACTTTTCAAGTGGGTGAAATGTTGTAAAAAAGTAGCAAATGATGACTAGGAGTCAGTGTAATTAATGTTTCGGGTGGAGTGAGTGCATTAGTGATACTGAATGAGGTTTAATGAGGTTCTTCTACACCCCAATCCTTCCTGCTCCCCAAAGCAAAGCAGAAAGGTTAGGACCTGAGGGGCTTTGTTGGCAGTGGTGCTGCTGTCTCCCACGGGATGCATTTCCTCCATGGAGCAGGTGCAGCGTGTGAGGGAAACCCACTCACCATTTGCGCCCTTGCCAATCACTGCTGTTGCTTCTCAGGAAAAATTCCGTCCTGCTCTTCAAACACAGCAACTTCTGGATGCTGGGGAACCACTGGTGACCACTGAGCAAAACCGTTTCCCTGTGAAGCACCAAGGGGATTTGTCCTTTCCCAGGGGAGAAGACTTCAGCAGGCAGAACAGGCTACGAGGCAGGGATGGAGAAAGAAAACGCCTCCAGGACACTGAGTCGCTGCTAGGTTGTGAGGGAAGCTGCACATCAGATAAAAAATTCAAAGTCCTCACTGTGCTGCTGAGGTGGAGCAGGTTTTGCAAGTGACACAGCCAAGAATCTTCATCAGGCACACCTGTGCAATCAGCTGCTGAAGCAGAGGCAGGGGGTTGACAAACTCACTATCATTGCCATCCGCAGGAAATACAGGACGTGCTGACTGCCTGTTGTTTCCGCTCCAGACTCCCCACCCTTGCTTCCCATAGCTTGCAATAGCTAAAAATTATAGCTAGACTAGTTGCTTAAAATACGGATGAGTCTAGGTTATTTGGGTTCCCACGTCCCTTTTTTTAAAACGTATTCCTTAACGTCCAGCCTACCACATTGTGTTGTGGTGAATGCATGACTCCCTGATAGAGCGAACAGAGACGCTTGCTCTCTTATATGCAAATGGTTAAGACTCTACGACGAGGCAACTCATTAACAGATAGCTAGATAGCTATTCACAAATAACTATTGTCATCTAAGCCTCAACATTTTGATAAAATGGTCCCAGCTTTTAGCTATCTTTTTTTTTTTAGATGGAGTTTCGCTCTTGGTAGCCCAGGCTGGAGTGCAGTTGCATGATCTCGGCTCACTGCAACCTCCACCTCCTGGGTCCAAGCTATTCTCCTGTCTCAGCCTCCTGAGTGGCTGGGATTATAGGCACCTGCCACCACGCCAGGCTAATTTTTGTATTTTTAGTAGAGATGGGGTTTCACAATGTTGGCCAGGCTGGTCTCGAACTCCTGACCTCAGGTGATCCACCTGCCTGCCTTGGCCTCCCAAAATGCTGGGATTACAAGCATGAGCCACTGCGCCCAGCCTAGCTATCTTATTTGTAGTCATTTCTAAAGCAAGTTACTTTATTCTATTCAATGTAAGCAACTATTTCGGCAATAATTTATGTTAGCTGTTACACCAAGAAGCTGTTACTTGACAAAGCAAGACTTTCTATGAGCATTTTCAATTGAATTTCTGTCTATGTGTTTGTTTAGTGACTGAGGCCAGTTTTTGGTTCCACTTACTTGAAATTTTTTTCTAGGGTAAAAGTTCTCCTCCAGCCGTAGGTCCTTGCATCTGTTACCACCTCCGACCTTGTTAGAAATAGATAATCGATGCCGCAAAGAGAAGTCAGTACAGAGACAAAAGACCTCAGTAAGGCCATCTTTACTTTCTGCAGAAAGGGTGCTTAATCGCAGATGGAACAATGGTGGGAGCACACTTGAACAAAGGAAAAGCAGACTTATTTATCCCTTATGCATTTGGGTTGTCCTTACTGCTGTGTCCTGCATCCATTGGCTGGAGCAGGACCTCACAATCTTAAACTGATACCCGATTTGCTAATAGCCTAAAACTTTCCTAAATAGGTAAGTGCAGGGAAGAACAAAGAAGTTGCTTAGAAAAGGTTTAAGGAAGCGATAACATTTCCAAATAAGGAAGGGGCATAGGCCGTGACCTGGGATGTGCCTGTGAGCATGTCCAACAGTTATATAGGATAGGGCTTAACAAAGAGTTATTAGCACAAAGCAAGGAGGCTTGAAGAAAGTTGGTCTTTAAAAGAAACTATTATTTCTAACACTTATGATTTATTCTTTAACAAGAAGGGGAACTTTGAAGGGGAAACTTTTTACTTTCTGCAATCCCTCCTCTTTTACTTTATCGTTTTCCTCTTCAAACTTGCTTAACATGTCTTGGCTTAGTTGTTTTGATTAACTCTTGGATGTATGGTGCAACATAATACCTAAGAAGAAGGAGTACACTTATTATAGTTGTTAAAGAGGTAAGAAGTGAGGCTACTTTTGTTTTTCTCTTTCTGGTTGCTGAATGCCAGAGTAAAAGGGATAGCCAATTGAACTAGAGCGTAAGTACTGCTCTGATTATTTGGTAAAGTGTCCAGTAAAGGTCCTCCATAATCCCACCATACATCCACTCAGGGATGAAAAAGGGCAGACTGATAGGTCAGCTCTTGAAAGTGCCTGACTTCACTGCATCCTGTTAAGTCTCCAAGGAATGCCAAATTTTTCCCCTTGTCGTTGGAGACACCAGGTAAAATTGGTTTTGGAAGATGGAGGCTGGACGGCCCTTGGGGGATGACCCACAGGGTGTCACTCCAGCCTGGGCGACAGAGCAAGACTCCGTCAAAAAATAAATAAATAAATAATTAAAAATATATATAATTTTAGCTTGTAGTATGTATTTTAATTGGTAATGTAAAGGTACCAAACCATAAATTCAAACAGTATAGAATAGAATGCAATGACAAGTAAACCTCCTTCCCCATCCTAGTACCCTGGCCAGCCTGGGACTCTTCTTCCAGACAACTTGTGTGAGCAAGTTCTTCAGTGTCTTCCCAGCAAGGGACTAATATGTCCAATTACTTTATTATGCATCTTGGTCTTTTAAATTAAAGAATTTATCTCGGTGTTCATTCCATAAAGATAACGAGCTTCTTTATTCTGTTAATAGTTGCATATTATCCTTTTATAGGAATAAACTGCAATTTATTTAACTAGGCTTTTGTGGATAGACATTTAGATTAGTGTCAGTTTTTTTTACATCTATAAAATAAATTCTTAGGCGTTACCAGATTATAGGCATCATTTCTCCTGGAAGTAAGAGCTTTGTAATTGGTGTTCCCTCATCTACTCTCAACCACTGTAATCCTTTTTGTACTCTGCAGCCTGAATGATCATTTTTCCACATGGGTATCCAGTTGTATCAGCACCATTTGTTGAAAAAAGACAATCTTTTCCCTCATTGAATTATTTTACATCTTTGCGAAAAAATCTATTGACTTATCTGTCTCTCTTTTTTTATATGTGTGTGTATATATGTATGTATGTATGTATGTATGTGTATATATATTTATCTTTAGGTATCTTTCTTTATATCTACCTGTTTATCCATTCATCCATCCCTCCATCCATCCATATATAAACTCTTTTGTTGCATTGATCTATACGTTTATCCACATGCACATTTCACACAGTCGTGATTACTGTTTTTGCTTTCCTGGGTCTTTCCCAGTTCCATATAATTTTAGAGTTAGCTTGTCAATTTCTATCAAAACAACTCAAAAAAAAAAAACAAAAAACATTTAAAAAAAGCCCTGCTGAGATGTTGATTAGGATCATGTTGAATATATATAGATCGATTTCACAATTGGGGAAGATCAATCTGGGGAGACTTATATCTTAATAATATTGGGTCTTTCCATCTACAACTTAATATATTTTTCTTTTTATGTAGGTGTTTTTTAGTTTGCCACATCAATATTTTACAGTGTTTTGTGTAAAGGTTTTGCATATTTTTAATTGAATTCATCTCTAAGTATTTAAGATTTTCTGATGCTCTTGTAAATCGTACTTCAAAATTTTTTCTTCTTCCAGTTGTTGTTGGTATATGGAGATAAAATTAGTTTTATGCATTCGTCACATAACCTCTCAGCAAACCATGAATACAAGGGAACTTTATTAGCCCAATAAGAGGCATCTATGAAAAACCTACAGCGGTCATCATACTTAATGGTGAGAGACTAAATGTCCTGCCCCCAAGGTTAAGAACAACATAAGGATATTTTATCTCAGCATTCCTATTCAATTTTTTACTGGAAGTTCTAAGCAGTGTAGTAAGGCAAGAAAAAAAGATACAGATTAGAAAGGAAGAAATTAAAAAGTCTCTATTTGGATATGACATAATTATTTATCTAGAAAATCCCTAAGAATGTAGAAAAAAATGTTTCTATAACTAGAAACTATACACTATATATACTATATAGCTATAACTAGGTGAGCAGGGTTGCAGGATGCAATGTTGATATTTAAGAGTGAAGCGTATTTCTTTCTTCCTTTTTTTTTTTTTTGAGACAGAGTCTTGCTCAGTCGCTCAGGCTGGAGTGCAGTGGCGCGATCTCGACTCATTGCAAGCTCTGCCTCCCAGTTTCATGCCATTCTCCTGCCTCGGCCTCCCGAGTAGCTGGGACTACAGGCGCCCACCACCACGCCTGGCTAATTTTTTTGTATTTTTAGTAGGGACGGGGTTTCACCGTGTTAGCCAGGATGGTCTTGATCTCCTGACCTCGTGACCCACCTGTCTTGGCCTCGCAAAGTGCTGGGATTACAGGCGTGAGCCACATGCCTGGCTGGGCCCGGCCGTGAAGCATATTTCTGTATGTGAACAGTAAACGATTGGAACTTGAAATTTTACAAATATTTACAAAAGCATCACAAGAAATAAAATACTTAGGTATAAGGAAGAGAGCCCTCACTAGCAACCAAATTTTGCTAGCACCTTGATTTTGGACTTCTCAGAGTTCAGACTACAAGAAACAAATTTCTGCTGTATTAAGCCAAAAGTAAAAAAACTTAGATATAAATCTAACAAATGATGTGCAGGATCAGTATGCTTAACTACAAAACACTGAAGAGAGAAATTAAAGGAGACCTAAATAAATGGAGAAATATATCATGTTCATGGATTGGAAGATACAATACCGTTAAGATGTCAATTCTATCCAATTAGATGTGGAGATTCAGCATAATCAAAGTCCCAGTAAACTTTTGAATCAATAAGACTCAGTAAGCTGATTCTAAAATGTATATGGATAAGCACAGGAACTGTTTGGAAAGGCCAAACAATATAGTTAATTGATTTTTGACAAAGATGTTAAGATAATTCAATGGAGAATTACTAATAGTAATTTGAGCAAAGGATTAAAAAAAGAGAACCTTAATATACACCTCAGAACTTTTTCAATATTAGCTCATGGATTATGACCTAAATATTAAACATAAAACTTAAAAAAGTGCAAAAGAAAATGTAGGAGAAGATCTACATAACCTAGAGTTTATCAAAGAGTTTTTAGATATGACTTCAAAAGATAAATTTAATTTGATCAGTTTGGGTGCAGTGGCTCATGCCTGTAATCCCAGAACTTTGGGAGGCCGAGGTGGGTGCATCACTTGAGGTCAGGAGTTCGAGACCAGCTTGGCCAACATGGCAAAACCCCATCTCTACTAAAAGCTAATACAAAAAATTACCTGGTCATGTTGGCAGGTGCCTATTAATTCCAGCTACTTGGGAGACTGAGGCAGGAGACTCGCTTGAACCCGGGGGCTGGGGTGGTGGTTATAGTGAGCCGAGATCGTACCACTGCACTTCAGCCTGGGTGAAAGAACAAAACTCCTTCTCAAAATAAATAAATAAATAAAAATAAAATAAAAAATAAAAATAATATGATCAAATTTAAAAGCTTTGCTCTGTGAAAGATACACAGAAATACAAAGAGAATAAAAAGATACCCAGAGAATGAAGACAAACCAGACTAGCAGGATATGTTTGCAAGTCACAAATCTAATAAAGATCTTGTATATGGAATACATAAGGAACACTCAAAACTCAGTAAGGAAACCACCCATTTCTTAAAAAATGGGCAAAGGATCTGAACGCACACTTAACGAAAGAAGACACAAGGACAGCAAGTTCCAAGCAAATGAAAAGATAGCAAATCCTAAGCAAATGAAAATGTAGCAAATCCTAAGCATATGAGCAGATACTCAACAATACCAGTCATTAGGGAAATGCAAATTAGAACTACAAACTTTACATACAAAACACAAGCTTGGAAATAAAAGTATTATGAATTTCAAGATGACAGGAGCAGAGCATTAAACCAAGTGGGGGGCCCCTCTGAGCCAAGGGCCCCATGTGACTGCGTAGGCCACCTGCCTGTAAAACCAGCCAACACAATTTGTGCAGAAAAAGAAAAATGGCAAAGTAGAAGCTTACTATTTTCAGCAGGTAAGCCCCAAATTACTGATAACCTTGATATTCATAGTGATAATACCTAAAGCAAAATCAATGTTGGTTAGATGTCAAGGTGGCTGATAACTTGTTAAATTAATTATTTACCAATTTGTTTCATGATATAAAATTTTCTCAAAGCATTTTCTAAAAGGAGACAAAATCAACAACAAAAATGTAAATACATTCCGTTCTATTATTCTCTTCTTGCGTAATTTTACCACACGATCAGTGCCTTAAGTAGCAAGATGATACAGGTAATCATAAAAACAGAATGGGCTCATATCATTGCTTTTTCTCTGGTCTGAATTTTAAAATCTTACTTGGGCATAGATTTCTACCAAATTGTTGAAAATAACATCTTCTTCTAAAGAAAAACATAAACGCACTTGGTCCGCATAGAACAAATGACTTTTTTTTTTCTTTCTTTCTTTTCTTTTTTTTTCAAGACGAAGTCTTGCTCTATCACTCAGGCTGGAGTGCAGTGGCACGATCTCGGCTCACTGCAACCTCCACTTCCCAGGTTCAAGCAATTCTCCTGCCTCAGCCTCCTGAGTAGCTGGGATTACAGGCACACGCCACCACACCCTGCTACTTTTTGTATTTTTAGTAGAGATGGGGTTTCACCATTTTGGCCAGGCAGGTCTGGAACTCCTGACCTCGTGATCAGCCTGCCTCAACCTCCCAAAGTGCTGGGATTACAGGCGTGAGCTGCCACACCCGGCCACAAATGACTTTTCAAAAAGTTGCAGATCTTAGAGAGTCATCTCGGTTCCAAGAAGAATAAGAACTTTTTATAAGGCAAAATCATTTCTGTTAACAGGGGAAAATTTTTATCTAACGACGTTTAGTGGGAAATGGGAAAATTCTCATTTCCCCTGGCCAAATGCTATTGACAGAGCAATAACAAAAGGAGAAAAGCATGTCTGTGAAGATTATGTGAGAATTTCCAATAGCTGGTATCTGAGAATTGCTCTGGTCAATTGCAGAAACTGCTTTAAAAAGAAAGAAAAATACCTTTCAGGGATGAAGCTATCATACCAAAATTTAGAACGTCCTATTCCTCAGTTAGATGAACTAAGGGCTAATTTTTCCCCCGCACCAGGACAGGCAATTCATTCCAGGGACCACTCAGTAATTCATGATAGGGAGTTGAAGTTTCTGCATTTCTAAAATGCAACTGTTTTGTTAGTTTCTTGCCAGAAGCTGTCTTGTAAAACATAGCTAATCCTGTGTTTGTGTACCTATGATTCACAGCTGAAATATGACAGGAATGTGGTTTTTATTTTTATTTTATCATTATTATTATTACTTTCTGAGATGGAGTCTCACTCTGTCACCCAGGCTGAAGTACAGTGGCGTGATCTCGGCTCACTGCAACCTCTGCTTCCTGGGTTCAAGCGATTCTCATGTTTCAGCCTCAAAAGTAGCTGAGACTACAGGTACTCGCCACCACGCCTGGCTAATTGTTTTTTATTTTTAGTAGAGGCGGGGTTTCCCCATAGTGGCCAGGCTGGTCTTGAACTACTGACCTCAGGTGATCCTCCTGCCTCGGCTTCCCAAAGTTCTAGGATTACAGGTGTGAGCCACTGTGCCTGGCTGGAAGCCAGGTTCTTAATGCTCTAGATCATTGCAGATCTTGCTAAAGGCCTGGAAGAAATAGGAAGGCAGGAGAACTTTTAAAAAAAATTGTCAGTGAAGCTCTGCATTGTCATTCAGTAAGCTGGCTCAGGTAGTCTTCAGGTGGACAACATCTTGAGCCAAAGTTGGCTCCAGGTACAACTGCTGCTGTTGGTAAGTCCTTCCTCTAGCATTGATTACAGTCCAGCAGAAGCTGCTGTTCTCATCATGGGCTGGGTACAAAGGGAAGATATCCATCTGTTCTTGTCTCTGGATGAATATATTTAATCAAAATGAATACAGATCTCTCCTGTCATATTAGATTTTATTTTCCTGGTCACTGAAGATTTCCAGACAGATTGCTGGTATGTACTTTTTAGAACAATCACATTTGGATTTTAGAGGGATATTGACAGAAACACAAATGTTTATATGTCTCAATTTCACTAACATTTTTAGGGTTTTCCTATATATGAGCATGTAGAGGAAATAGAATAGAAAGGGGAATAGTAAACTAAACTAGGTTTGTCTGCCTTTATCTATGACCTTTATCTATGACCTTACATTACAATACAGGAGATAACATATGTGGGTGAATAAATATGACAAAGAAAGTGGTAAGGGTTATAAAGCAGGCAACGCAAGACACTGTCATTGTTCAGAACAGCACAAGATTGCTTCCAACTAGGGCGATTCAAAAGGAAAGCTCAGCATGGAGAAGCCAGTGTTGTAGCTGGGTGTCAAGGATGGACCCATATGGCCACTTTGTGTGGGGACCTTAGAAGCAAAGGCAGATCTCTCGGAATTTCAAGACTCATGTTGGAAATGGCAAGTTCATCCTGTGGAGCTATACAGTCAGGTCTCAGCAGAAGAACTTGCAGAGGTTGAATTTACATTGCAGAAAATTTAGATACCTGGCTAAAGCGGGAGTCACTGAAGCTTGCGAGCCTGAAAGTGACTTGATCTTGCAGTTGTCAGGAAAATAATTCTCCAAGGGAGTGCAAGGTAGATAAAACTTGAGAGAGAAGGGAACAGGGGAGACCATCTGGGGGTTACCAGAAATGTTTGGGTAAGAGACAGCAAAACTCTGAACCAGTAGGGAGGGGTGAAGACGGAGAAGGGTAGGGAGTTGTTGGGTTTGGGGAATTAGAGACCCAGTGATGTTGGCATTGAAGATGATGGTGCCTTCCATCACTTTGTCATTTTGCAGGTGAGAGAAGGGTCCAGTCCGTTCACAGTCCTGCACAAGGGGAAGTAGCTTCCTGATGGAAATTTCCAATCATGCATGTTTGTTTCTCTAAACTCCACTGTTCTGTCTTTTTCAGCTGTGTGACATTTTTGGGACTTACTAGCAATCACTTTATTTTCTCATTTTCCTAAATTTGTGGACAGGGCAACTGACATGATCTAATTGAACTGAAAACTTTGGAGATGTATGAAACGCTAGTTGCTAGAGTTCCTCATCTGGGAACATGTTCGGTATGTGTAACTTTCAACTTTGAAGTAGTAGAAGAGAGAAGTTCTGCAGACCAAAACTTCCTTGCAGCCTATAGTTTTCCATTTAAGAAGACTACATGGAGGTTTCCTGGTCCAACTATGCCAACTATGGGGGGGCAATGGTGACTCTGCCTCAGGATCTCAGTTACTGGGATTGACCTAACATTACTGCTTCCCAAGGTGTGTTATAAAGATGGGGAAGAAAGTTTTCTAAATCAAATACATTTGAGAAACGCTAGATTGAATAACATAAACAGATGACTTCACCATGGGACTTTTCAGTCTTCAGCACATGAGTGTGCACTATACATCTTTAAGGGGGCACTGTGTGCTATTCTTCCCAAATGTAGTTGATCAAAATCCATATTTCATGCATTATCTCGGTCCTGCATTCTTAGTAAGCACCTACTCACTACTCACAGTGACTTCACAATGCCTGGCAGGATGACCCCACAGATGTACTTGAATCTGGACCTATATACCCAGAACTGATAAATCAAACCACTTCCTGAGTTCAAGATTGAGGGGCTGAGACAGAGACCCCCTTTGTACAGCACTGTGTCTGTCCCTCAGTGCTTGACACTGAGTGCTGTCCAGTTTTGACTGAGCACACTCATTGCATATGGGGCCACAGGAAGGGGCATGAGGACTGGATTTGGTGTCTAGAGGCCTGAATTAGCAGCCTTGAGATGCCTTTTACCTGCGTCCTGATCTTGGGCAAGTTGCCTAATCTTTTTGGGTCTCCTCTGGAAAAATAAGGATAAAACGTCATTTTATCCTGTAATAATTATCAACCACTTTCTCAATGCTAGGCATTGCTCTAGATGAGGGGATAGAATGGTTGCTCAGCCCAGGGCCTTAAACCTTCCTTGGCAGAAAAAAACCCCTCTTCCTGGAGCAGTGGGTCCCTTGGGTTCAGATTAATTTCCATCTGTCCCCAAATAACTCACAACTGAGTGAGCAGGAGCCTCCTCGCTCCTGAGGTCTATGAGTTATTTGGCCCCACACTAGGAGCCTCTGGTCCCCTCCCCTCCCTTCCTTCACTATTGGAGAGAAGGAGTGCAGCATTTGAACCCCACGTAAGTATCACCCATCAGGCTCACTGCAGGGTTCATGGATTCCCTTGTCCTAGGTATGTTTACAATAGCTCATGAGTTCTTCACAATTTGCTCACAAGGAAATGGTAACCGCCAAAGTTGGAAAACCAACCATTTGGGGCCAAAGGAAAGCCTGAGGTGAGGGTGCAGTTTGGCTGCAGCGCCATGGGAATTTCTAAAGGCAGAACTTGGCTGTTTTATCTCGTTCCATCTCCCCACGGAATTAAAAACTGATGAATCAAAGCTCTTCTCCAGAAATGTGCTACAGGAATGACAACATTTCCCCTGACAAGTCTTTTATATATTAAAGTGGCTCCACATTAAGGCTGAGGCTCAGTGGGAGGACTGAAATGTGGAATTGAAAATGTCTTTTTCACAGAGCTGGACAAGGCATGGAAAAGAGGCAGGATTCTGGGAAGTGGCCAGCGCTGGTGGGAGCATGGTTCCTGCAGAGACAGGGAGGACACCCTGGCACTCAGCCCTGCATGCGCAGTCCACCCCACAGCTCCTTCTCAGGAAGCAACACTCTAGGTTTACAAAATTAACACGGCTAGGTTCGATGTTTCCCTCGTTGAATCCACACAACAGCATTTCAACTCCTCTGCATTCCCCGATGGGGAAACCAAGGCTCTGAGTAGCAATGTCAGTCGCCCGAGAATGTATGACTTCCTAATGGCACATTAGGAAGCTTGATCTGGAATGATACTTATTTATACTGACTGTGCCACCTGCATCAGGAAACAGATGGCACACTCAAAATAGATAAGTCAAGGAGATTTCTTTGTGCAGAGGCTACTGATAAGGTGTGGGTGAGTATCATGCTGGCTTGGTGGCAGCCAAGCTGTTAGCCCCTGGGAAGAAAAGGCAAGAAAGTGGGTCTCAAGTACAGGAGAGGGCTGTGCAAAGCAGCCTCTGCAGACCCAGGACACAGCCCTCTCCAGGCGGCCCTGTGGGACGGAGTCACTGGGACTGCTGCCCTGCCCTTGTCCTCTCCCCTCACTCCCTCTCACTCCTGCCAGATCTATCCCAAGCAGAAGCCGGGGGCATGGGAACCCTTGATGTGGTTCCTGCAGGTCAGCCTTGGGGCAGAGAGCAGGGAGGAGAAGGCATGAGGATCCGATGAACTTGGACTGAGAAAGTAACACTGTGCCTGGCTACTCATGAGTCTGGGATAATAGAAATAGACAAATCCAGCTGGAACATTACTAATGTTCTTCCCAAGGACACACTGAAGCTGTGACATGTCAGAACAACTACTGCTTTCTCATTCACAGAAAGACCTTGTTCTCTCAAGTCACAGACTGTTGAAAACTCTGCCGTCTGCAGTTGCAGGAGTAACAAGCAGCATCCCACCTTTGGATGGAAGTCACTCTGATACAGAGAAGCTGCTTCAATTTCCACTCCAGCTGTAAAGTTTCAGATGAAGGAATTCTAGGCACAAAATTCCACATCCGTTTTAATGTCTTGATTTCCAAAGAAACAGGACCCTCCATCCACTCTGCCATCCAGTCCTGAGGCTGACCCATTGTATTAGTCTGTTCTCATGCTGCTGATAAAGACACACCCGTGACTGGGTAATTTATAAAGAAAAAGAGGTTTGTTGGACTCACAGTTCCACATGGCCGGGGAGCCCTCACAATCACGGTGGAAGGTAAAAGGCACGTCTTACATGGCAGCAGACAAGAGAGAATGAGAACCAAGCAAAAAGGGAAACCCCTTATAAAACCATCACATCTCATAAGGCTTATTCACCTACCATGAGAACAATATGGGGGAACCAACCCCATGATTCAATTATCTCCCACCGGGTCCCTCTCACAACATGTGGGAATTATGGGAGCTACAGTTCAAGAAGAGATTTGGATGAGGACACAGCCAAACCATATCACCCATCAACATGCAACACTGCTTTGTTTCAGCTTATAAAATGATGGCTGAATTTAAATTTCACCCAAGCTCCACTCTTCCCCAAGTCCTATAATAATTCTGTCTCTCTCTCTCTCTCTTTTTTTTTTTTTTTTTTGGTGAGACAGGGTCTCACTCTGTTGCCCAGGCTGGAGTGCAGTGGGTGATCATGGCTCACTGCAGTCTCAAACTCCTGGGCTCAAGTGATTCTCCAGCTTCAGCCTCCTGAGTAGCTGGGACTACAGGTGTGTGCCACCATGCCTGGCTAATTTTCTTTCTTTTTTGTAGAGACAGGGATCTTTCTATGTTGTCCAGGCTGGTCTTGAACTCCCAGCTTCAAGCAATCATCCTGCCTCAGCCTCTCAAAGTGCTGGGATTGCAAGCATAATAACTCTATCTTTTCCCTTTCTGGTAAATGCCCCAAAACTGTGGTGTATGCTGTTCCTCACTGCTCCAAGCCAATAACCCTGACCTAATCAGACTTCATGTGTGCCCCTGGTGTTTGGGTCTTGGGCAAGGATCAATGGAGAAATCGGCTTACTCTTCCTTCCCCCTTAAACTACAGAGTAATGTGATGGTCACTTTCTATCAATGACTGTATTGGTGTTTATGAGCCTCTCTCAAGCTTTCAGGAAACAGCATGGGTTTTAATCCTAGTAGGGAACCTGCTTGTCCATGCAGGAAATGTTTAGCAATTTTCTCTCTTCCTTTTGAGTTTTCTCTTTGTCCAGATCACTGTAATTTTTTTCCCCTTCTATTCTGCTGGGCATTCTGTGAGCCCTTTTGAATGGAGGTTGGACCTTTCTTGCCTCTCTGCCTCCAGGGGAGGACTTTGAGCTCTTACACAGCAAGTACTTTACGGGGAAAGACGGGACAGGCTGCACCACACACACCTGGGGTGTGGTGGGCTCCCCACACTGGCGAGTGTGTGGGCAGCTGAGAGATGAGTTGGGTTTTCTGGTTCCCTTGGAGGGAGTTCTCAGTTGCTTTTCTGATTCAGAAATGGAGCAGCAACCCCCTCCATACACACCTTCCTTGGCAAAGCTTCTCTGCCTGGAGCAGCAGGTCCCTTAGGTTCAGATTAAGGGCCTTCCTACTCCTGAGGTCTAAGAGTCACTGGCCCTAAGACAGGGCCCTCTGGTGCCCTCCCCTCTCTTCCCTCACTGTCGGGGAGAAGGAGTGCAGCACCTGAACCCCACGGGTACTGCCTATCAGGCTCACTGCAGGGTTCACATTGGTGTGCTGAGGTTTGTGCATCCCCCACCTCCACTCCCACCCTCCACCCCTCTCTGGGGAGGATGCTGTCTGCATTCGTCACCATCCTGACTCAGGACCAGACTTCAGGTTTCTTCAGAAATTGGTGGGATCTTAACTCTTAAGCTCTCAAATTGGGTGCTTCTTTCCAGTGGCCACTGTCACAGGACCCCTGAGACCCTCACGTTCAGACCTGAGCCAGGCTGAAAGGAGAAGCACCACATCAGGCATCCAAGTGCTGATTCTGCCATGGGGTCAGCCCGTGCTGCCAGCACAGCCAGGCGACAGGTTGGAGGTGCTCGGCTTTGGGCTTGGGTGTAGTAGGGGGAACATTTCTCCCTCTCTGCCCCTTGCTGGTTCTGCCAGTGGGGATTGCTGGGCGGCCCAAACCCCACGAATGAGGAGCGGAGCCAGTGCTGCTTTGCATGGCCTGCGAATGTGGGTTAGGAAGCCCACGCATCAGCCCCTCACTGCTACTGTTTGGATGGAAACTTCCCAATGTGTCTAATAAAGTTCTGTCAAAACCCCCGGGCCGCGGGCTCTTAGGAGGTAGTTGAGTAGCATTTGACTTCTTAAATTTATTCATTTATTTACTTCTAACTGTGGTAAACGCACATGACATAAAATTGGCCATTTTAACCATTTTTAGGTGTACAATTTAGTGGCATTAAGCACATTCACACAGTTGTGCAGCCATCACCACCATCCAGCTCCCGCACTCTTCAACCTCTCAAACAGAAACTCTACCCATTCAACAACTCCCCACTTCTCTCTCCTGCCAGACCAACAACCCCCTTTCTACTGTCTATCTCTGTGAACTTGACCACTCCAGTACCTCATGTGGGTACAATCATGCAGTGTTTGTCCTTCCGTGACTGGCTTATTTCACTGGATAGAATGACCTCAGGGTCTATCCACATCACAGCATGTGTAGACTCTCCTTCCTCTTTAAGGCTGAGTAGTATTCCACTGTATAACATAAGCCACGTTTTGCCCGTGCACCCATCCATCCATGCACACTTCAGTTGCTTCCACTCTTGGGCTGTTGTGAACACGGGTGTGTGGGTGTCGTCTCGGCGGCATACATTTTGACTCCTGCCAATCAAAGATATTCAATAGACATCTTCTGATGTCTATAGTTCAAGCTTGTGGGGAAAATTCCAGCTGTGTGGCTCTTTAGACAACTAAACAAGTCAGCATCCCCCATCCCTCCCACTCCCCATAGAAAAGAGAAAGAGCATGCCTGTTCTAGAGATTGTGACTCCTTGGAGCTTCTGCCTCAGCCAGCAGCGCCATCCCTGAAACCGTGAGGGAAAAGTGCTCTTCATTTGTCCACGTGCCCTTGGCTATTCTTAGTGGGAAGAAGCAAGCCTGGCTCTAATTTAATGTTCATTTCCTGCCATGAATGTTGCAGGGGGTCCTGCGTCATCCTCAGGACCCTGCAATGGAATTTCCAAGGGGCTTGCCTATCTGGTCTTCAGCTCACTCATGAGCCCTTTTGGCAGCCTGCACAACACCATGTTGATTTGTGACAGTTCTCCCAGTCCCTAAGCGGTATGTTTGTGCATTAGGAGGTTTGCGCCCTCCTTGCCAAGGGCCCATCTCTCTCCCTCGGCCACTGTTGGCAGCTCCCAAGCTCCCCCCACCTCTACCAGACGAGGAGAGCTGGAGCTCTGAGCACAGCCTCCATGGCAGACCCGTGTGTGTCGGGCCCTGCACCACCCCAGTGGAGGGCGGTGCGTGGTTTGGTCTTTGTTCCCTGGGTGGAAACTCCGCCTCTCCACTGCAGGTCCCTGATGCTGGAGAGTAGGAAGGTCACAGTCTGGGGGAGCTGACTTCCAGCACCACCCCCACCAAAGGCTACTCAGGAACAAGGTTTCCCTTGTGGGAAACCTACTCTCCTCTCTTACACTGTGGAGGCCCAGCTCTCCAGAGGAGCTGAGCTGGGGGCAGTATTGCAAACTGGCTCTGGCACAACCCAAGCCAAACTTGTGGGCTCCACAGGCCCAACACAAGAAGTTGGTCTAATTACAACCATCTCCAGCCTCTCTCAGATGTTCTGGGACCATCTCCAGCAAGAAACTCAGGGGCATTGGTCTATGGGGTCCACATCCCATGTCACAGTAGGCAACACATTATCAGCGGAGCCGCGAGCACGGGGCTGTGCCATGTTGCCATGCCCAGCAACTAGCTCCCACAGGGAAGGCCCAGACACTGGAATTCAGACAGCATTGACCTCAGGGATGGCCCTGCCCTTGAGGAGCAGAAAAAGAACAGAAAAGGGAAACCAGCTGGAAGCTGAGTGTGTCCCTTCCATGAGCCCAGCATCAGCTACAGAGGGTAGCAACAAAGGATGGAACCACAAGACAGTGCCAATGAGACAAGTAACCGAGGGACTCATTGTAAAAAGCCTTCATGAATGGCACCATGGCCAAACCTGGGAGTGGGCTCGCACGCTCAGCACAAGTGCGAATCTTACACTGTGTGAATAAAGGCTCCCAGGCCTGTCAGCGCCGCAAGGCAGAGCCCCAGACTCCCAAGGCCTCGGCTTTCCAACCTCAGAACTACTGCAATTTGGACCACATAATTCCTTTTCGCTGGCTGTCCTGTCCGTTGTAAGACGTTTATTTAGCGGTGTCCCCGGCTTCTATCTACTCAATTCCGGTAGCAATCCCCACTCCCAGTACGACAATCAAAAATGTCTTCAGGCGGGGCGCGGCGGCTCACGCCTGTAATCCCAGAACTTTGGGAGGCTGAGGAAGATGAATCGCCTGAGCTCAGGAGTTCAAGACTGGCCTGGGCAACCTGGTGAAAGCCCATCTCTACTAAAAATACAAAAATTAGCCAGGGGTGGTGGCATGTACCTGTAGTCCCAGCTATGTCGGGGGCTAAGGTGGGAGGATTGCTTGGGCCCAGGATGTCGAGGCTGCAGTGAGTCATGTTCGTGCCACTGCACTACAGCCTAGATGACAAAGGGAGACCCTGTCTCAAAAAAAAAAAAAAAAAAAAAAAGTTTCCAGACCTTGCCAAATGACTCCTGGGGAGCAAAATAGATATTTATGAAGAATTTTGTATGTACCCATAACAGTTTCATACGTAGTAACCTATATAACTCTTACAATATCATGAGGTAAGTATTATGATTGACCCAATTTTGCAAATGGGGAAACTGAGGCTATGAGGGATAGGCAACTTGCCCAAGGTCACACAGATAGTAAGTGGCAGAGCTGGGGTGAAAATCACAGGTGACACTCTAGACCCAAGCCCCTACCAGGTGTGCAAAGCTGCCTCACTTATTCTGATGACCTCATTTAATTTGCTTGATAACCCATTTTACAGATGTGGACACAGAAGTCGGTATCTCATCCAAGGTAGGTCACACAACTAGTGACAGGCAGAGTTCAAGCTGAAACCCTGGCATGTGAGCTGCTAAAGTCCATACTCTGAAAACTAGATTTCAAAGCAGAGGAGGAGTGGTAAAAACAAATGAACAGAGGAAGCCGATCTCTCTGTTGTTGAGTGGGATGTGGGATTAAGTGGGCTGAAGGTGGATTCTGCATAGAGTAGAGGCTTTTGCCCTCACGGGAGGTCAGCTCAGCTGATGTGGTGGCTTCTGGTCTCCGTTGAAGCCTTGCAACTGCACCAGGCGACCCCTGGGGTTTGCTTCCTGCTACAGCGATGGACTCTGAGCCTGGTGGCTCCCTTCCATTCCAAAACCACTCATCTGCGTGTTCCTGAGCCATCTGAGCTCATTCCCACCCAGCCATTCCTTCCAATGAGGGCAGTTACAAAGGTGTGAAGCAGGGCTGACTTGGTATCTTGTGCCATCAACCTGCGGTGTGACCTTTAGCAAGTTTCTCAGCCTACATGAGCCTCAGTGTATAAATACAAAAAATGGGAGCCCGGCACCCGCTCATTAGGCTGGGAGGGTATAAAGCACACAGTAGACACTCAGACAATGGTGCTATACCAACTCTGTATTGTCCCACACTCTCCCCTCCACATTCTATATCTCTCTTTATGTGCTATGAGCTGTAAAAATGATTTCATTTCATGTCTTAGACTCCAACTGACTGAGTTTTTTTTTTTTTTTTTTTTTTTGAGTGCAGTAATAAGCCCTCAGGTGTCTGGCTGAAAATCAGTGTTGTCGCTTGTGTCGACTTATTCTGATAAACAATAGTCGCTCCCCAGGTTGCCTTCATGTCCATTCCCACATAGTAGCTTTTTGTAGCATCGAGATAGAAATCTGCAGTGGAGGATTCATTTTATTTTCCCTGTCAAATAGCTCTGCCCTTATTTTGAGCAATTTAAGATGAAATAAAGCCAATTGTGAGGAACTGATTCAGCAGGAGGGACTGGGGCTTGGGCAGTGCACACAGCTGTGTGCGGCTCACAGGCCAGCACCTGGCACTTCCGAAGCCCAGCGCAGCAGCAGCACAGCGGCTTACCTTAGTTCCAGGCAGCTCCCAGTTTAGCAAGGGTGGGGCCATTCTGGGACGGTCATCTCAGCAACATACAGTAGAATAGAAAGCCCGTGAGCAGTTTATTCAGCGAGATCTGGGAAAAGCCTGGCTCCATTGTCCACCCAACCTGTGACTTCAGGCTTCAGCACTGACTTTTCTGAATGTTGACTCTCTCACGTGTGAAGTGAGGAGACCGGTCCTGCCTCAGAGGTGGTTTGTGAGCATTCAGCAGGATAAAGACTTCGAGGTCCCTGGGACTTAGAGTGGCCGCTCAGTGCCTTGCAGTTCCTCTCCTGCGATCCTTGTTTTGATCCATCCAGCCCTTTCTGATGTGCAGATGCTATTTCCCCATCAGTTGTGTCCACTCCTTTATTCTGGCTGCCTGACAGTTAACACCCCCTCTGGTGATAGACATAGCATCTGAGAGTGCTTTGGGATGATATAAATGGAACTGGAATTCATTCAAGCAATTTCTAGTGCATCTGGGCTGGGAATTGCCTTGAATAGTATTTTTGAGCCAATCCCTGCCACCACCCTCACTGAAAGCAGCCTTTAGTTGCTATACTGAGACCAGGCCATATAAGAAGGTTTTCCCCATCCCTAAGTTGGGACCTATACTCAATCATTACCTAGGAGACTTCAGGGAAGCAACCTTTGTCAGTGGCAAACAAACGCTTCCTTCACGTGGTGTCTCCTGACTGTCTCCTGACTAGTCACTAGTTCCTGGATGGGTGTGAATTTACTGGGGGCTTATGGCTGAGAATAAGAACTTGTCCTCTGACACAACAGCTCACCAATGCAGCAACTCCTTCCATGGTGATTGCAATGGGTTAATTTTATGTGTCAACTTGACTGGGCCATGGGATGCCCAGATAGCTGGTTGAACATTATGTCTGGGTGTGTCTGTGAGAGTGTTTCTAGAAGAGATGAGCATCTGAATTGGTGGGCTGAGCAAAGCGGACAGTCCTCCTCAATGTGAGTGGGCATCATCCAGTCCATCGAGGGCCTGAGCAGAATAAAAAGGTAGGGGAAGATTGAATTATTTCTCTGCCTAATAAATTGAGCTAGGACACGGATCTTCCTACCCTCATTCTTCTGGTTCTCTGACTTCAGACTGAAATCTTTACCATTGGCCCTCTGGCTTCCAGGCCTTGAAATGACCACTGTCTGGGTTTCCTGGGCCTCAGAGTTGCTGATGGCAGATCATGGGTTTTATAAGCCTCTATAATTTTGTGGGCCAATTCCTTATATAAATCTCTTTCTAGAGATAAACATATTTCCTATGGGTCTGTTTTTCTTCAGAACCCTGACGAATACAGTGGTTGTCTTTATTGACCCGGGCTTCAGTGAAGGGCATCTGTGTGCCACACTGGCCACTGCATGTTCTATCTGAGCGGTTAGCAGTACACATCAGGACATGTTAGCATTTCGAGGAAATGATGGTCCTCAGTTGGAACCTATGCCTGGAAAACTAATTTGCAGAAGCCTTGTCATTGTCTTAAGTGGCTCCAAAGAATATTCATGGCATTGCAGAGAAACATATAGAATAGGGTGCATGCACAGTGAAATCACCCAGTGCCTGGCGCTCCCACCCCCAGAGTTGTTTTTTTTTTTTTTTTTTTTTTTTTTTTTTGAGACAGAATCTCACTCTGTTGCCCAAGCTGGAGTGCAGTGGTGTGATCTTGGCTCACTACCACCTCTGCCTCCCGGGTTAAAGCGATTCTCCTGCCTCAGCCTCCTGAGTAGCTGGGATTTCAAGCATGCACCACCATGCCCAGCTAATATTTTTGTATTTATAGTACAGATGAGGTTTCACCATGTTGGCCAGGCTGAATTCCTGGCTCAAGTGATCTGCCCGCCTCAGCCTCCAAAAATGCTGGGATTACAGCACCCCAGGGATTCTGATTTAACTGGTCTGGGGTCAGCATCAGCTCTGGGAGCTTTATGTGATCTCCAGGGTTTCTAACATGAAGGCCAAGTTGAGCATACATTAGACAGGCCTGAGTTTAAGCCCTCAGTCATTGATGAGTTGTGGAATCTTGGTAAAGTCACTGAACTTCTCTGACCTCAGTTTTATCACCTGTAAAAGGATGGATATACGATTGATCCCAGAACCTTGTCTTAAGGATGACATAGACAGGATGTGTGAAGTGACCGAGGTGTCTAATGGAACAAGAGTGTCTGCAAAGTGAGGACCTCCCCACTAGGCACCTGCATGGGAGGTCAGGGAATGTGCCTTCAGGGAGGCCTCAGCGTTTTCAGATTGGAGCCCTTAGCTGAGGCCAAATGCTAATGTTCCCTGCACTTACGTCCCCTCTCACTGTTCCTCCCATCCCCTGGCTGGATTGTGCTCTCTACACCGCCCCACCATGGCCTGGAATAAGACCAAAAATATTTGAGAATTGAGCTTGCTGTTTTCAAACACCTCAGATGCCTAGAATCTCTAGTTCTTAAATCACTTTGGGTTCATGGACCTTCAATAATGTGAACATGCACTTAGGCACACTGAAAGCAGTTTGGATATGGCTCGAGGGTGTTTCTCAAGCCACTGAGTCTATCGCTAACCCCATGTTGAGAGTGCCGGATCTGAGTGAACCAGTGAGGTCTGACACTGAGAAAAGAACTGACAAAGCCATGGTTTATTCTTGGTTAGTTGCTTGGTAAAGTAGCTGGTAAAGTCAGTGGTGAAATTGGGAAGAAGATTCCTATTCCTTATCCTGTTTCACTGGTGCTAAGGACTTGTTTTCACTCTGCCCTTTACAAAGCAAGGAGTTGGAAAAGAGCTTAAAGTTCATTACACTTGATCTTGTTCATCAAGATGTAAAGGTATAAGAAAAATGCTTATTAGGAAGAATCTGGTTAAGTGTCCCTCCCTGATGTTCCCAGTGGGTGCTAAGCTTCCCCTACCACAGCAGTGATCACCCCATGGGGTATTTGCTTGGTGGTCTGCCTGTCTCTAACACTATGAGGCGCCCTGGGGACCAGGGACACACCTGTCCTGTTCACCCAGGCGTCCCCACTACCAGGCACAGGTTAAGCAATTGATACATATTTATGGAATGAATGAATGAATAATTACTCGAAAAACAAAAGAGAGCAGTCAAAATACATAAGCATGGGCCAGCGCCGTGGCTCACGCCTATAATCCCAGACTTGGGAGGCAGAGGTGGGTGGATCACGAGGTCAAGAGATCGAGACGATCCTGGACAACATGGTGAAACCTTGTCTCTACTAAAAATCCAAAAATTAGCTGGTCGTGGTGGTGGGCACCTGTAGTCCCAGCTAGTCAGAAGGCTGAGGCAGGAGAATCGCTTGAACCCAGGAGGCGGAGATTGCAGTGAGCCAAGATCGCACCATTGCACTTCAGCCTGGGTGACAGAGCGAGACTCCATCTCAAAAAAAAAAAAAAAACAGCATAAGCATGATTCATTTAACTAAACATTCCACACAGTATCCATCCAAACTCAGAATGTGTGTTGTGTTTAAACATTTTAAGTGTTTAAACATTTAGTTATAAGTCAGCTGCGTTTGGGGCTTCTTCCTTTCTCATTGCCCCCTGTGTCTGTAGTTTCTCAGTAAGAAGTGAGACCCTGTGCATTCAATACCTGTAGACAAGAACCTGCCAATTCTGATGCCAGAGACTCAGGCAAAACCATTAGGGAGCGTCTGGAATGTTTTTAAAGCACTGCGTCCCCTCCCAGGGAGAGTTAAATGCTATCATCGGGTCAGTGCTGGACACCGGAGAGCACACAGCTATGCTCTCTCGTTGAGGCACTCTCATCCATATGCATTCTCTCACCTTAGAATAAATGACACCCCTGCAGAATAGGTCTTCGCCAGACTGTTTACAGAGCAGCGGACACGGGAAGCCCATGAATACGGAGGCAGCATCGCAGTGAAAGACGGTGGGGTGCGGTGTGCAAGGAGAGCCTTTGAGGCAGTCAGGAAAACACCAGGGTGTGAGGGGTGTCGTTACGGTTTGCAGATGACAAAGGTGGCAAGGGAATCTAAAAACCTCCAAGCAAGGGCGAAACAACCATTTGCAGAGAAGTCTTTGAGCTCTAAATGCCTCGCTGCCACCTCATACTCTCACGGAATTGATTTCCGCCCCTTGGAGAAACTATTTGCTGTGACCTACTTTTTCACATGAAAGACCTCACTAAAGTGTTCTTTTCTCTTCACTGAAGGTTTGAAAAAAAAAATTCTTTTTCTAACTCTTACACATCCATGCTATGGGTGAGGACGCCTTAGCTAAGAATGCCCTACCCAGCGCTGTCCCGTAGGACTTTCTGTGACGATGGAAATGTTCACTATCTGTGCTGTCCGGTGTGACAGCCATGGCCACATGTGGCCACCAGGCACTTGAGACACGGCTGCTAGCATGATGGAGGAACTGAATTTGAAATTTTATTTAATTTTAATTAAACTTAAATGTAGCCATATATACTAGGGTCTACAGACCAGGCCTTCGCATTCCCCTATCAAAAGAGTTCCTGGTCATGTTGTTAAAGTGAAAAAAGAAAGGCAAATTGTAGTGTTATATATTTAGTATAAATATATACACCCACCCCAAACAAAACAATATATTACATTTGTGCATAAAAATGCTTTTAAATGCACAGAAAAATGGCTGAAATTATACCCAACAGACCAATATAAAAAAGGAGAACAATTTACAAGTGTTTTCTTGTAAGATATATCTTGGGTTTTATTTTTTTTTTCTTGTGGTCCAGTTATCGTGACAAATCCACCTGGATCTAATATCTAAGACCACAGAAGCTTGAGAACAGGCAGACCAGCTGTAAGACTTTTTTTTCTTTTCTTTTTCTTTTTTCTTTCTTTCTTTCTTTTTTTTTTTTTTTTTTTTTTTGAGTTGGAGTCTCACTCTGTTGCCCAGGCTGGATTGTAGTGGTGCGATCTGAGCTTACTGCAACCTCTGCCTCCCAGGTTCAAGCAATCCTCCTGCCTCAGTCTCCTGAGTAGCTGCAATTATAGGCACACACCACCACCCCTGGCCAATTTTTGTAATTTTGGTAGAGATAGAGTTTCACCATGTTGGTCAGGCTGGTCTTGAACTCCTGGCCTCAGGTGATCCAACTGCTTAGGCCTCTCAAAGTGCTGGGATTACAGGAATGAACCACCATGCTTTGTCATAAGACATTCTTTTTAAAGAACCCAGAGATCCTCCACAGCAGGTTGTGGGACAAGCCAAAATGCACACATGCATCCATGTGCACCAAGTCGCGTGGAATATGCTGTTCTCAACCTCAACTGTGCATCAGAATTGCCTTTTCAAAATATCCAGAGGCTTTGCATCCCACCCCAAAGATTCTATTTCAATTTATACAGAATGGTCCCAGGGCAATGGTATTTTTGAAAGGCTGCCGGGGTGATTCTATTGTATAGCCAGGGCTGAGAATGCCTGAGCTGGAAGCAGCACATAGAGGAATACCCAGCAACAGGGAGCCGCAGAGCTGGGAACGGCCGAGTAGGAAGATGCCTCAGCCCGTCAGCCACTGTGAGTGAGGAGCAGGATGCAGAAGGACCTACTTGTCTTGGCCTCATGGAGAGAAACATGGCATCTGAACCATGGAGAGCCCCAGGGTTTCATCCTAGTCTCTGGGTACCCTCGCTTCTTAGGTAATCTCTCATCTCCTGTGGCTTTAAATTATGAATGCCATCTCCATGCAGTAATTGAAAATCCTCAGCCAGACTGCGATTTCCAACTTCCTACATGCCATCCCTACCTGGATGTCTAGCCAGCCTCAGCCATCACACAGCCACACTTGCATGACTCCTCCATCCCGAGATCCCCTCTCTCAGACAATAGCCCCGCCGTTCTGTAACTGCCCCCTCCGGAAGGTGTGCAGAGCACACTGAGCCCTCTCTTTCCCTCACACCTCACATCGATTTTATCCTCAGGTCCTGCTGGCTCTAATGTTGAAATATATTGTGACCAACCCCTTCTTACCAACTCCATCCCAGCATGCCGGCCCACACTGCCAACATCCTCTGAACATTGTACCAACCCCCAAATGCATCT
The DNA here is from genome assembly GCF_000001405.40 of Homo sapiens. Lineage (NCBI taxonomy): Eukaryota > Metazoa > Chordata > Mammalia > Primates > Hominidae > Homo > Homo sapiens. Next base: position 105,570,371 of record NC_000002.12, read on the forward strand.
CCAGTGCTCCTTCTCTCTTCCTCCTTGCAGCAGAGGCCACAAACAGCAGCCGGAAGAAACTTGTTAACTCAGCCCTGCGGCTCCATAGGTGAGCATGCTCACCCTCCAGGGGCTTCCCATCCCCTCAGAGCAACACCTGGTGACACGCTGCGGTGCACAGGCTCCGACACCACCCGGTGTCGCTCCCTTCCAGATCCACCGCCTTCTACTCCATGCCTTTCCCACTGAGTCCCATCACAGGGTCTCCCTGTTGTTCTTGAATATTCTCTCCCCCAGAGCCTCTGCACCAGATTGCACACCCCTCCATCACCAAATTCACCAAGATCTCTGCTCAAATCCCACCTCTTGGAGTGGGGTTTGGGGGGCTTTCCTGGCCCTTCAATCTCTATCAAGAATACTCTCCCTCCCCTACCAGCTTTCCTCTGCGGCCTCCTACCTGGCCTTATTTTTCTACCCATCACTTATGGCTACCTAAAATTACTGCTTGTTTTTGTTTCTCTGCCTCCTCCCCTGTCCTCCCCTGGAATCTAAGTCCCTGCAGGACAGAAGGTGCCTTGCAGCTGCACTGCTGGCTCCTGGAACAGGGTTGGCATGACCGCGGCCAGGCAGGTGCTCCATGTGTGCTGACTGAGTCTTCATTAAAAGCTGCACAACAAACACAATGAAGTGTTTGTTAATTTAACTTTTTAAAATTATGGTAAAATAGATGTAATATGCAATTTCTATTTTTGACATTTTCAAGAATACAGTTCGGTGGCATTGAGTACATTCACTTTGCTGTGCATCTATCACCACCATCCACCTACAGGACATTTTTGTCATCCCAAGCTCTGCACCCATTAAATGCTAACTCCCCTTCTTCCTCCTCCCAGCCCGACACCCACCCCCCACCATTCTACTTTCTGTCTCTGTGAATCTGACTACTCTAGGGATGTTAGGGACGTCATACAAGTAGAATCATGCAGTATTTTTCCTTTTGTGATGGCTTATTTCACTCAGCGTAATGTCCTCAAGATTAATCCATATTGTAGCATGTGTCAGGGCTTCCCTCCTCCTCAAGGCTGAATAATATTCCACTGCATGTCTAGACCACATTCTGTTCTCCCATTCAACTGTCAATGGACATTCGAATTGTTCTCATTCAACTTGCAGCCACAGTGCTTGCAAAATATGAAGTACGAACAAAAGGATACAGGGCGATCCAGTGCGATCCAGTGTCACCAAGAGCCCCAGTTTTCCAGGAAGCCAGCAAAGCAGGACATTCCAAGGGTCCCTGTGGAGGCCTTGGGGCAGCAGGGTCAGAACTGAGAGGCCTGGATGTGTGGCAGGCACGGAATGACCGATTTCATCAGTAGCATTACACTGAGTAATCACCAACCACCAACTCCTTCAATTACTACCACAACGCGGCTGAGAAGAGGAAGATCTGAAGAGGAAGAGAAACGTGTGGTCTTCTTCTGCCCTGGTTTGAGGCTGAGGTGTCCCTGGTAGCCCTGAGGGGCCTCCTGGCTGTCCTTGGCAGGTGTGGCTGTCCTCACTGGCCACTGGCTTTCTCCTTACACCTACCCAATGCCCCCCATGAGGCTGACTCCCCCTTCTCACCTTTCCCTCTCCCCACTCACCTGCCAGCCCTTCCCATTAGGACCCCAGAGCCTATATGAAGGAGCAAACGGGCTCACTGTTTTATTTCTTTAAAACTTAAGACCCCATGAAACAAAGCAAGGTCTGGTCATATTGGGTTGTGTCACAGTTTGAAAAAGGCAAGGTCATGTCTGCAAGAATGACTCTGCTGCTAGGAGGGCAAGAAGGCTGGGATGGCCAGGCTAGAGATGTGTGGTGGGAATTTGGGGAAGAGAGGTTGGTTAAGGAAGGGAGAACCAATGGTGAAAGGACTGGAAAGAAGACACACAGGGAAAGGTGGTGTTCTCTACCGAGGGGAGGCCTGTCTTGGGTAGGGCTTAGGAGTGAAGGAAGGGGGATGTCTCATTCAGCCTCCATTCTGAATACCCTCTAAGTTATCTCAATAGGACACGTGGCTCCTCAAAGTGAGGTCTATGGGTAGGGCTGGTCTCTGACTGTCTGTTACCAGCCCTCAATGAGAAAAGCACAGAAATGAGAGTCAAGTGAGTAGAAACTTGTGCCTTTGGCGTGGCTGCAGCAGCCACTAGCTGCAATCAGTGGCCTTGGCTTGTGGGTGGGTCTGAGACCAGGGCAGGTGCTGTTCAGCATGTGCTGAGATGCAGGCAGTATGAGTCACGTGCTGTCAGGGACTGTTGGACCTTCAGGGGTCTGGGAGAGGTGGAGGACACTGGTTTTCACTACAGCCGGTTTGAGGAGGTGTGCCCTGAGCCATGCTCCATGACCCCGCACACTGGCATCTCCTCCAGAGCCTGTTCCCAACCTGGGCACCAGGTGATGTCATTGGCCTGCATTTCGGGGCATATGTGCACAAAAGAGACCTCTGTCCACCCTAGACTCACATTCTACCCAATGGGGGGAGCCTGGGACCAAGGCGATCTGAGGAAACAGCAAAGTCCCTCCTCCAATTTCCTCTTGCTTGAGTGTTCTCTCTGAGTAGAATGGGGGGAGGTGGGGTGGAAATGTCCCTATTTCTTAATCCCTTTAATTTATTTAAATTGGTCTCTCTCCACACATGCAATTGAATGTGCACAAGTTTGTATGTATAATTTGACTCCACTGTAGAAGTTACCACCCAAGCAAAAACCAGACTGATCACGTGCTCAGCAGGAACCAGGCACTGGGATGATGGCTTTGCAAGAGCTTTGACTCCTCACATCGAATCTGTGAGGAAGGTGCTGTTACTATCATGCCCACTTCACACATGGGTTTTAGCTCTTCCCACCAACTGTTGTTGGTTGAATCGTGCCCTTCCCCTTCCCCTATGTACACCTAGTAATATATGTTCAAGTCCTAACCCTTAGTACCTGTTAATGTGATCGTATTTGGAAATTGAGTCTTTGCAGATGTAATCAAGTCAAGAGGAGGTCATTAGAAAGGGCCTTGATCCAGTATGACTCACGTCCTCATAAGGAGGAATCTGGACACAAACACACAGAGAGGGAAGACAATGTGAAGAGACGCAGGGATAAAATGGCCATGTGCAAACTGAGGATTAAAATGATGCATCTACAAGCCCCAGAATGCCAAAGCCTGCAGCAACCACCAGGAGCTAGAGAGGGGCAACGAAGAACTCCCCTACTACTTTCAGAGGGAGTGTGGCCATGCCAACACCTTGGCTTCAGACTTCAGCCTCCAGACTGTGAGACAATCCATTTCTGTTGCTTTAAACCACCCGGTTTTGGGGATTGGTTTGTTTGCTTTCGTTTTTGTTTCTTTGCAGCGTTAGCAAACGAATGTACCCTGTGCCTGGATATAACCAAGTAACCTAGGCCTGGCCAAACAGAGTCCCTTAACCACCCTCTATCCACTATGATTATAGTTCAGGAAGGAGCAAGGAAGTTGAGTTGATTGGAAGCATCATAGCTTTTTCCATAACTGCAGGGAAAGAGAATTTATTTTGATGGATTCCTCAACTGCAAATGTTGGCTCCAAGCCTCTGTCAATCACCTGGATCCAGCCACACCTAAAGTCATGACACTTTTAGCCACATAAGCACTCAATTCCTCTTGTCTTTTTTTTTTAGCTGGATTTCTCCCATTTGCAACCACAGAGTGATGGCTTTAGATAGTCTGCATAGTCAGCAAGGCTTTTTGGGTGGCGTCTGACCTACCAGCCACCTTCCCTCTGCTCTGCAGGCAAGATCCAGCTTATCGCAGGAGGACTACAGGAACCTCACACTGCTAAGCCACCAAGCTAAATTACCGTGGAACAATGTTGCCAAAATAATAGCCTCTCAGAACAGCTTGATGTCTTTTTCTTCATATGGTTTCCCAAGCAGGATATGAAGTTGGCATCATTATGTGATGAGGGATTTACTCAGCAGGACCAGGAAGGGGTAGGGTGGGGTGGGAAAGAGCTGTGGCTCTGCAAGGGAACCTCCAGGTTTAAGTGCAGCTCCCAGACAGTGATCCACGTGTGCTGCCCTGGGCCGGAACTTCCACGCACGTGCAGAAGCCTGTGCACTGGTGAGTGGGGAGCAGAACACCTGTTGGCAAATCAGCCTCTCTAGACCTTGCTAGAGTGGCAATTAGGCCTTCTCTGAGAGCAAAACAAATTATCTTAATAGATATGTAACCCTCAGATCCTATTGGAAAAACGTTAGATCATTGGGGGACTATGTATTTTTAATCAAAAGTTGGCATTTTTATAAAGAGCATGTGATTTGACCATTTTTAGTCTATGCCCTCAATGCAATTTAAATATGACATGCTGAGCATACACTCAGTTTTGTTCTTAAAAGAACAAACCTTGAACCTGGCTAGAATTCAGTAATTTTTTTCTTTGAACCAACAATGTTGAGAACTGAATTTTTGAAATATATGTATAAACCAAAACTTACCAAAGGGAGAAGCTTATTTAATTTCAACCAGCTCTTACTGCGTGTCTTCTAACACAGGGCTTAGAAAACTAAATAATCTATGGCTCTTGTTCTTGCTCTTGAAAAGCTGCCAGTCCTTGGTAAAGCCTAAGAGACCTGAATTTTGGAAAAGCATTTTGGAATGCTTTTAGTTGCAAGAAACAAATGAACAAAACTAACCCCAAGGAACATAAACAATACAGGAAATTTAAAACTCACAAAGACTTAAAGCCTGAAAATAGATTTGCCTTCAGGTGAAGCTTGATCCAGGACCTCCATGACCCAATTTTTTTCCATCTTTCCTGTTTTCAGATTTCCATTCTTGGCAATGTCCTCTCCTCTCTCAACCTCGGCTTGTCCTCTCAACCCCTTTGCTAGCCTGCTCCCTGGGAACTAAGAAGGGGTTCCCAGAGAAGGTAATGCTTAGAATTTTGAGGCAGAATGTGCATGGGATTGACAATAAAGAAAGCACATTCCAGAAGGGAGTATCCTTCTCAAAGGCAAGAAGGAGTGAAGCCACAGGAGAGTCAGGGGAGCTGCAGGTAGTTTTTATGCTGCTGGAGGAGAGAGTCTACTTGAGGGACTAGCAGTGATGGATGCTCAGGGGTAGGGAGGAGGTAGCAGGAGGAGGGATGGGGACCATGAGCTCTGTTCTGAGCGGAGCTGAGGTGGAAGCACTTTATCCTGAAGACGATGGAGAATAATTCTAAGCTGCGTATGCAAGGATGGGATCTGCACTTCAAAGTGAAAGCAAAAAAGACCAACTCAAACAATAAGAAAGTGTATTATCTCATAGAACTGCAAGTTCAGAGGGAGGGTGGGTCCAGGCTTGGCAAGATTAGTGGCTCAAAGATACCCTCAAGGACCTAGTTTCTTTCTGTTTCTCTGTTCTGCCACTTTCTGTGTGAGCTTCAGCCAAGGTCTGGCTCCCGGCATGGTTGCAGGATCGCAGCCAGAGGCAGGCAGGGCCATATGTCGTTCCCAAACCCATCCAATAATGGAGACAGAGAGGGGGCGGAGAGAAGGAAAGGGAGAGGAAAAGGGAGAGAGAGAGGTTCCAAAGGGGCCCATCGGGAACAAGGAATCTGAGTGGGAAACCAACAGTGCCCTTCTCGAAGGCTTTCATTTCCTTCTTCAACACCCAGGGCCTGTTGTATTTCGGAATTCAGTACTTTTTGGATTTCAGGAGGGTAACAGAGTGCCTGTACCTCATCTTTTAGGAGGGTAACAGAGTGCATTAGACCCCACAGGGGCTCTGAGGTGCTGACCCCACCCCACCACACCAATGACTCTGCATAAAGGGCATGGACGCCAGGTGCCCTGCTCAGTCAGGGCAGGCTTGGCAGCCCGGGGGCCACAGTGTGCGGCGCGTTCCTTCATTCTTGTATGGACCCCAGTGCCCAGGACGTTCCTTGACTGCTCTGTGAGCAGGGGGAGGAGGGCTGGAGGGAGCGGGTGGGGGGGCAGTCAGAGAGGTGATTTCTGAGGCTATGGGGACGTGCCAGTGGGTTGCGAGATGGTCTGAAGGAGAACAGACGCGACGGGAGTGGGAAACTGTGGGGACACGAAAGAGATTCCAGAGAAATGAGGAGGCAAGGGTGAAAGAGGATTACCTGGAAAAATCAAATAGCAGAGTCCTTCTTCTGCCACTAGAGGTCATGAAGAATTAAGACTAAGTCACTTAAATTGGTGAGGTGTTTGCAGTTCCTTTCTGTGAAAAGATCTCCAGGACAAAGAGACAAACAAAGAGATTTGTTGACGTATTTCAGATCCAGAACGATGAGCTACACACTTTCTGAAATCCACAAGTGTGTGTCTCGTAAGCTCCTATGAGTGTGGTCTTTCTTAAGAGCTCAAGCTCCCTCCGGTCTTGAATTGCCTTGACATCACACACTCAGGTGGGCCCTGCCTCCAAGCCCACCTTGTGAAAACAGGGACGGGGGACCGCCACTAGGGAGAGAACGTGAGAGTTGGAAGGGGCCCAGGCCCATGGGAAGTCCAAAGTGGGCTGTCCAGGTAGGGAATCTGAGGCCAGTGAGGAAAGAAGGACTTTTCGAGGCCACAGAGCTGTGTGGGGCAGAGGTGGCACTAGAGTGAGTTTCCCTGGTGTGAGGCCCAGGCTCTGTCCTCTGCATGATCCGGGGGTGGGGGACGCTGGAAGCCTGGTTGACTAGAAGGAAAGACAAGCCAGAGGCCAGTGCTACTCTCCACTTCTGCCCTTTGCTGAGCTGGCCCTGACCCCTTCCAGGCCTCAGGGCCTCCTGCTGCCCTGACTTAAAGCTCCGTTTCCCACGATCTGTACAGATCCTGACTCACACCCTCCTCTTCATGTCCTTGGGCTACTTTCTCTTTGACTAACAGTTTTAAATTTTTATTTATTTTTATTTTTGATACATAGTATTGTACACATTTATGAGGTATGTGGAATATTTTTACATGCACAGAATGTGTAATGATTAAGTCAGTACAAACATAAGTTAGAAAGAAGAAATAAGGTTTTTTTTCTTTCTTTTTTTTTTTTTATTTGAGATGGAGTCTCGCTCTGTCGCCCAGGCTGGAGTGCAGTGACTTGATCTCGGCTCACTGCAAGCTCTATCTCCCAGGTTCACGCCATTCTCCTGCCTCAGCCTCCTGAGTAGCTGGGACTACAGGCGCCCGCCACCATGCCCAGCTAATTTTTTGTATTTTTAGTAGAGACAGGGTTTTACCATGTTAGCCAGGATGCTCTTGATCTCCTGACCTCGTGATAAATAAGTTTTTTTAGTAAAGTAATTCAAACTTTTCGATTCGGGGTACATGTGGAGGTGTGTTACAAGGGTATGTTACATGATGCTGAGGTTTGTGGTATGATTCATCCCATCACCCAGGTAGTGAACATAGTACCCAATAGGTACTTTTTCAGCATTTGTTCCTTCCCCTTCGTCCCCCCTCTAGCAGTCCTCAGTGTCTATTGCTGCCATCTAAATGTTCATGAGTATCCAGTGTTTAGCTCCCACTTATAAGTGAGAATATTTGGTATTTGCTTATCTGTTCCTCCATTAAGTCACTTAAGATAATGGCTTCCAGCTGCATCCCTATTGCTGTCAAGGATCTGATTTTGTTCTTTTTTATGGCTGCATAGTATTCCATGATGTATAAGGACCACGTTTTCTTTATCCAGCCCACCATTGTTGGGCACCTGGGTTGATTCCATGTCTTCGCTATTGGGAATAGCACTATGATCATCATACGAGTGTATGTGTCTTTTTGGTAGAATGATTTATTTTAGATGAAATAAGTTCTGAAGCTCAATAGCAGAGTAGGATTACTATATTTAATGACAATGTATTGTATATTTCAAAATACCTAGAAGGGAGGGTTTGAAATGACCCAATACATAGAAATGATAAATACTTCAGGTGAGGGACACGTGATGATTGACTGTCAGTTTTGAAGCCTGGTTTTGCACAAACACCTCACCCCAACTGCAAACACTGATAAGGGCGGCTTCCCATCCTCAAAGGCTCACACCTGCCCATGTCTTTCCTGGTGTGAACCTGTTCTCCTGCTGCATCACACAGCTGGCCTTATAGGCCATTTTTCTGGATTTTTGTATCGTGTGATGCTGTCATGGGCCACGCTCCTCTCTGCCCCAGCCCAGGTGCAATGCCAGGGAGATCACCTGAGATGACAAGCCTGCATCCTGCCATGCACATGGTCCTGTCTGATGGCTCATTTTGGGGCTGAAGATACAGGCTTATTTAAGGTGGTAGCTAACATCTTTACCCCGAAGAGGTCCAGGTTCTTCCTTTTGGAGCCTGAGAAAATAAACAGTTTTAAGAGTAAGCATGTGGGCAGGGATGCCTAAAATTGAGTCAAGAAAATTAAGCTGGAAGAAAGCTTATTCATATGCAAGGAGTATCATTAGGTCCATTGGTAATAAACTAATAAAATGTTCTATAAATACTCCATGAGAAGTATCCACTGGGCATCATCAGGTGGTCGGTCTGTGGTAGCTCCTGGGAAGCTAAAGGACTAATGGATTTCATACATGTTCCCATAAAACCCGGAGCTCATTTCCAGGATGAGGAAGAGCCAACAGAAAGACTGAATGAGGCCAGGCACAGGGACAGGCGCTCTTCTCTCAGGGGCGGCAGGCCCATTCAGAGCAAGATCTGATCGCTATAAGCCCTTTATCATAAAGGAACATATCATAAAGGATATGGATAAATTCGTTTTTGGTATCAAAGTTTTTTTTGTTGCTGCTTTCAGCGTTTTATTAACTCATATATGTGAAAGCTCTTCATGGGGTAGTGAATAGAGTATTTTCCACGCTGTGATTTGTCTGGCAATGGGAGTGAAAAGTAGCATTATTAGAAAAAAAAAAAAATCCCCTAAGATCCCTGTCAGAGTTTTTTTCCCTTCTATGCTATTTTCTGTTTTTTGGTTTTTTTTTTTTTTTTTTGGCAGTAAAAAAAAATCATCGTTCACTCTGATGCAGAGAACTAAGGAGAATTTTCAAGGTAATTTTTATCTGAGGAAAGAAAAAAAAAAAACACCGTGTAAATCACTTGGAGGTCATTTTTTCCCATGCCTTGTTGAATCTGTTGAGCCTCTCCCAGTCCTCTGGCAGCCTTGAAGAAGTTCCTGAAGACTCAGTTCTTACATTTCTGCCAGTGGTGACTTTATTCAAACTTGGAACCTTCCACTCTTTCGTAAGAGTGTACGCACAGTTTCCTTTTGTCCTCATGGAATGTTGCTGCTCCCCCCAGAAAGGACTGCCAAGCAGCAGCCCCTCAACTTGCAAAGATGCGGAGGAGCCTGTCTGCAGGGCTTCCGTCAGCTTATTTTTTACTTTGGGAAAAAGTCTGTGCCCACAGGCCTCTCCTCCTCCCTCAGTCTCCTTCCCTTCTTTCTCTGACCCCTGCTTCCCTGGGACTCCGCTGAGCTGGCCTGTCCACTTTGCCTCCTTGAAGATGGGGCACTCGTAAGACCAGCATGCTGAGGTTGACCCACTGGCACCACGTGACTTCAGCATGGTAGTTTAGTAAAAGGCCAGCTCTCCTTAGGAATGATGGCGGAGAGGGAGAAGGTATGGAAAACACAGAAAACCCCACCCTGCACCACTGAAGTGGAGATAGAGCAGCCACAGAGAGTGGATGGGCAAGGACTCTCCTCTGGCCTCTCATGTCCTGGGCTTCAGGGTCCCCATGACAACTGTCCATGGGCACCCACACACCCAGGAACCTACAGGTGCTGGGATTGGACCTCCAGGCAGGCCAGTGGTTCTCGAGCTGCATGCTCAGCACCCTGGAGGGCCTGTTAGAATACAGAGGCCTGCACCCCACCCCAAGTTTTCAATTCAATAAACTTGAGGTGTGGCCCCCAGGTGTGCACTTCTGACAGCTTCCCATGTGCCGCTGAGGACCCAGGTCCAGGGACCCCCTCACTTGGAGAACTACTGGGGTTAGCAAATAAGGCAGAAAGTAGGTAAGCAGAAGTCCTGGTTTGTTTAACCTGCATGATGAATTGTTCAGTGACGACTCACTGCAATTTCTCGCTCACTTTCTGTATTTTATACCTGAATTTCTCTTTGTCAAGAACTGGGAAGGGCCTGAGATTGACACTCCTTGCAAGTTAACCTGTTAACTGGCACAGTTTCGAGAATGCTGGCAGAAGACACAAGACGCCTGGGATAGAGGCAGAGGACAGTTTGCAACTCACAGCCACAACAGCAGCTAGGGTGTCAGCACTTGCACCAGTTTCCAAAGTCATCCCTCAGGGTGATGGTGGCACCTGCACCGTTGTGGGTTGTGCTGTAGAAGAGGAGCCTCGTGCTTAGGGAACCTAAGTCTTTTCTAACAGACAGTATGCCTGCCTGACTGTAACCTTGGAGAGAGACATTTCCTTATTACACTGACAGTAAAAATAACAACAACAACCACCAAACCAAATCAAAACAAAACAAAAAATTTTAAAAAAATCTTTTTGTTCCAGGGATAGATATTATCCCCATATATCAAGGCTATTGATGTACAAACATTCTTAAAATATAGTCTGGAACAAAGGCATCAAACACTTCCACTCTCAAGACGTGCAAAAACCTGAGACCCATGGAGAATTATCTCCAAACATCCTTCTACTTCTTCTCATTGGAAATTACTAAAATGCAAAATCCCCTTAAGGCTATCATGGTAGGCAGAATAATACCTCTTCCTCCCCACAAGATGTCCACCTTGAAACCTGTGAATATGCTACCTTACAGGTTTATTAGTTTCCCTTGGCTGCTGTAACAAAGTACCACCAGCTTGTTGGCTTAAAACAAGAGAAATTTATTGTCTCACAGTTCTGAAAGCTGAAAGTCTAAAATCAAAGTATAGTAGGATCAAGCTCCCTCTGAAGTTTCTAAGTGGGGATCTTTCTTGCCTCCTTTCATGCTGATCATTCCAGGAGTTTCTTGGCTCATCAATGCATCATGCCAGTCTTTGCTAGTGTCTCCATATGGCATTCTCCCTGTGTGTCTGGGTCTTCACATGGCTGTGTACTTATAAGGACACCAGTTGGCCAGGCATGATGGCTCATACTTGTAATTCCAGCAGCTTGAGAGACTGAGGCAGGAGGATCTTGAGGTCAGGAGTTTTGAGACCAGCCTGGGAGACATAGTGAGACCATGTCTCTACAAAAAAAATGAAAAAATTAGCTGGGTGTGATGGCATGCTCCTGCAGTCCCAGCTACTTGGGAGGCTGAGGTGGGAGGATCCCTTGAGCCCAGGAGTCCGCAGCTGTAGTGAGCTATCATCATGCCATTGCACTCCAGGCAACACTCTGGGCAACAGAGTTAGAACCTATCTCTAAAAAACGATAGAGAAAAGACACCAGTCATACTGGTTAAGGGGCTCACCCTACTCTAGTATGATCTCATCCTGACTAATTACATCTCAGTGGCCCTATTTCCAAATAAGGTCCCATTCTGTGGCACTAGGTGGGGGGTTAGGACTTCTTTTCTTTTGGCCGGGGGTGGGGGGGAGATGCAACTGGACCCATAGCACCTGACAAAGAGGAATTAAGGCTGCTCATCAACTGACCTTAATAAGGAGATGATCCTGAATTGTTGGGGTTGAGGAACAGTGTAATCATAAGGGTCCTTAAAAGTGGAAGAAGGAGGCAAAGAAGGTCAGAGCAACGCAATGTGAGAAGGACTTGGCCTTACATTACTGGCTTTGAAGATCGAGGAAGGGACCATGAGCCCAGCAATGTGGTGGCCCCTAGAAGCTGGGAAAGACCAGCAAACAGATTCTCCCCGGATCCTCCAGGAAGGAAGGCCATCCTACAAACACCTTGATTCTAGCCTGGTGAGACCTCTGTGGACTTCTGACCTGCTGGAATAGAACATGATAAATTCATGTTGTTTCAAGCCACGACATTTGTGATAATTTGTTCCAGCCACCATAGAAATCTAATAAACCCATCAAGCACAGCACAGTTGAGGTAGCACGACTTTATGGCTGCAGGCTGTTTCCTCTATTTTCTTGGATACCACAACTTAATATATTTCACATGGTCATTGTTTGCCATTTCTAATCCCATGACTGTAGTACGTTTATAACTGTTTCTGCATTTCACAAATAAGGGATTTTGCTCAGAGAGCCGATTTCTCTTTGCTTACTTCTTTTTCCCTTATTTAGAGTTTTGCATTTCTCTGTACCATTTCCAGGTGTTTGAACTCACAATGACTACTTTATCTCAGGCTTTGCTTCGCTTCTCAATTAAAATTTTGTGTTGATAGAAGATAGGAGTGCTTGCTTGTTTAATATCTGTTTATCTAGCTTGATGATGCCATGTTTATATAATAGGAGCTCTGGAAATTAATCAATATTTCTAATGAAGCAACACCCCACTCCTCCGTAGGTGTAATAGCTGGAAAAGTTTGAGATGCTTGCATATTACAACCACTCTGGCCATAGATTGTATGTATGTTAAGTGCTTCCAGGGAAGGGACTGGATCTCACTCACCTTTGAATTCTCTTAAGTGTGGAGCCTTGAACATTTTAGACTCTGACTGAATAATTGATAAATGATCAAAGATGGGGAGAGTTGTTTTCTTGAGATTTTTCTGTGTTCTGGAAGCTTTTATTTGCTGTATCTCTGTATTGTTTTCCATTCCCCTGCCATCCCTCCAGTTACCTCATCTTTCTGTAACTAAGCTTCCTGAGACAGAACAAAGTCCTGCGGGTGTGGTCTCATTAGAGGCTCTGAGCTGTGAGGTAATGCTTCTCTTCATAATGATGCCTTGTTCTTACCTGGCACCTTACTAATAAAATTCATAGCTGGTGAGGAGCATGTACACACACACACACTCACACACACACTCTCACTCCCTTCGAAGAGCTGAGCAAAAGTAGGTTACCAGTTCCCTCAGAAAACATAGAATGCCAGTCAAGCACCCTCATATTTTTTTCAAGGGACCCCTTCCTTAATTGTCCAATATGTTTCTAAAGAAAACATAATATTACCTTGAAATGTTAGAGTGTCTTTCCTCTTGGGTCTCAAAGGACAGGTGGAAACCTGAGCTTATCTCTATAACATCCCCATGAGATCAACACTCCTGCATTTGAATGCGACCTATTTAATTGGAGTGTAAGGCAGGGAAAGTCCCCCAGAGAGTGGAGATTTCCATGAAAGAATGCCCAGGAATATGGCCACTGTGTAGGGAAGACTGAAGCACAATTTATTTGAAGGACAATATAATTTTTCTAGAAGAATCAAGTAATTACTGAGAGATGTCAGATGATGAGATTTCTGGAACTCTTAGGATGTTTTGGAGTCAACTATAGCTTGCCACTTACTTCACTTGATCCAGAAATGTACAGTTAAATGGCCTCAAGGTTAAGTGGAGGAGAAGGAGGATTTGGATTTGCACAGCAGTTTCCAAATCAAAGCTGAGGTGTCTGAGTTCAGCCTGGAGTGGATTACACTAAACTGCTAAAGTTGGGACATTGTGAGAAAATTTCTGATGTAAATCCTGGTAGAAAACCTGAACTATGTCGTGTTTCATCTGGGTGTGGGAGCTGCCTTGCTATTGACTAATCCCTCAGTACACTCCAAATGTCCCTACAGATTTAAAAACACCCATGTCAGGGCTTCCTTCTTTGTCTTGCCAACATATGCATATGTTGTTTAACTCTCTAAAGTCTTTCAAAAAGGTGTTGATTGTGATGAAAGAAATATTACTTGTAGGACACATAGATGCATCCATCCATCCTGGACACATTGATCTACCACATGCAAATTAGTTTAACTTTCTGTCCAAAAATGCTTTAGACCAGACTAGATTTAACCTTCATTTCTGGAATGTTTAAGTACTTTGCATGATGGACAATTGAAAATACAATTCTCAGCCTCTTGCGACCTTTACTGACTGATGTGATTATGAAAATACCAAGATGGTCAGGACTTCTGGAGCAAGGTCATGGACTGGACCAGCGCCATGCTGAGCCATGTGGAGCACAGGGCAAATGAAGCATCATTCACATGGATCCTTTCTTTATTTAAAATTGTGACCTTTGTTCATCGTGGATTTCCCACCACAATGACTGTAAATCTTACGAAGACAGAGAGCATTGAAGAAGAGACTGGAAGTTGGAAATCAAATAGAAAAGTGGTACTTGACTTAGCAGATGAAGAAAATGACACCCTTAGCTGGCAGTGACAACAGCTGAGAAATGATCTTATTTACACTGTGGTACCCCTCTCCTCCCACACGGAAACCCTTACCAACTGGAGGAAGTGCATTTCTATCAGTGGGGGTGAGAGAGGACTGGATGAAAGCCTTCCTTAAGGAGTGGCTAAGTTCAGCAGCAGCAGACAGGAAGTTTATTTTCTGGAGAAAGTAACCTGAGGCTGTCTGAACTTGGGCACCAACCATGCTGAAGGAAGGGTATGGAAGTCAGACAGTGAGTAAATGCTCAAAACTCCAATCTCCTTCCCACTGTAGGATGGGGGCCCTGGAAAATAGCCATTTACCCTCCAGGCAGGGGATTAGAGGTGTCTTGTCTAGAGACACTCACCAGCAGATGAAACTGATGCTGGGACTCCTAAGGAAATGGCCTGCCTGACCAGCTTCCAGTGCAGGCCCTGGGTGGAAGCCCAGCAGAGCCTCCAGTCAGCCCTTAGTGGCCCACTCAAGATCATCAGACAAGGTGCTCAGGGAGAATATGTCACAGCAATGACCAGAAGTCAAGCAACAGAAAAAGAGCAGTCTGCCAAAGCAGAGGCTACTGGGACAGAAGAAGAGAACAATAATTACCTCAGAGAGACAAGAGAGGACACTGCACCCACAACACAAGAAGAGGGTCTTATATCAAAGAAATACTCACGGGACAAAAAAAAAAAATAGAAAATAAAGATGTGGTAGGTGAAATTGGAAACCAAGTGAGAAAGTTGAAAGATAATGTTGAGGAAATGCCCCAAAAGAAAGCAGAGTAAAAAGATCAAGAGATTGGAGAGGGGGGTGAAAAAAAAAGAAAAGAAAATTGGAGAATGGCCTGGCATGGTGGCTCACGCCTGTAATCCCAGCACTTTGGGAGGCTGAGGTGGGTGGATCACCTGAGGTTAGGAGTTCGAGACCAGCCTGACCAACATGGTGAAACCCCATCTTTACTAAAAAAAATACAAAACTTAGCCAGGCATGGTGGCACCTGTAATCCCAGCTAATCAGGAGGCTGAAGCAGGAGAATCGCGTGAACCTAGGAGGTGGAGGTTGCAGTGAGCCGAGATCACACCATTGCACTCCAGTCTAGGCAACGAGAGCAAAATTCCATCTCAAAAAAAAAAGAAAGAAAGAAAAAATTGGAGAATCAATGCAGGTAACAGGAATCCAACAAACAAATCACAGGAGTAAGTATAGACAGGAGATAGTGGGGAGGAAATCATTTAGGAAGTAGCAGAGGAACATTGCTCAGAACTAAAGGACACTATTCTTTTGTCCACCATGTACCCTGCTCAAAGTACAAAAATGATCTGGGCCAGGTGTGGTGGCTCACGCCTGTAATCCCAGCACTTTGGGGGGGCCGAGGTGGGTGGATCACTTGAGCTCAGAAGTTCAAGACCACCCTAGCCAACATGGCAAAACTCTGGCTCTACAAAAAGTAGAAAAATTAGCTGGGTGTGGTGGCACACGCCTGTAGTCCCAGCTACTCTGGAGGCTGAGGCAGGAGGATCGCTTGAGCCTGGGAAGTGGAGGTGTAGTGAACTGAGATTGCACCACTGCACTTCAACCTGAGTGACAGAGTGAGACCCTGTCTCAAAAAAAAAAAAAAAATCCACAGCAAGGTATATCATTGCAAAATTTTGGAAGATGGGGGGCAAATACTGGAAAGCACTTGCAGAGACAAGTAACAGTATGCAGACAAAGAACCACGAATCTGAATGACGGTGGACTTTTTTATATCAACTCCTGAGCTAGAAGACAATGAAGTAATGCTTTCAAAATTTCTGGAGAGAAGTGACTTTTATCCTAGGATCCTTTTTTTTTTTTTTTAAGTTTCTTTTTTTTTTTTATTATACTTTAAGTTTTAGGGTACATGTGCACATTGTGCAGGTTAGTTACATATGTATACATGTGCCATGCTGGTGCGCTGCACCCACTAACTCGTCATCTAGCATTAGGTATATCTCCCAATGCTACCCCTCCCCCCTCCCCCCTCCCCCCACCCCACCACAGTCCCCAGAGTGTGATATTCCCCTTCCTGTGACCATGTGATCTCATTGTTCAATTCCCACCTATGAGTGAGAATATGCGGTGTTTGGTTTTTTGTTCTTGCGATAGTTTACTGAGAATGATGGTTTCCAATTTCATCCATGTCCCTACAAAGGACATGAACTCATCATTTTTTATGGCTGCATAGTATTCCATGGTGTATATGTGCCACATTTTCTTAATCCAGTCTATCATTGTTGGACATTTGGGTTGGTTCCAAGTCTTTGCTATTGTGAATAATGCCGCAATAAACATACGTGTGCATGTGTCTTTATAGCAGCATGATTTATAGTCATTTGGGTATATACCCAGTAATGGGATGGCTGGGTCAAATGGTATTTCTAGTTCTAGATCCCTGAGGAATGGCCACACTGACTTCCACAATGGTTGAACTAGTTTACAGTCCCACCAACAGTGTAAAAGTGTTCCTATTTCTCCACATCCTCTCCAGCACCTGTTGTTTCCTGACTTTTTAATGATTGCCATTCTAACTGGTGTGAGATGGTATCTCATAGTGGTTTTGATTTGCATTTCTCTGATGGCCAGTGATGATGAGCATTTTTTCATGTATTTTTTGGCTGCATAAATGTCTTCTTTTGAGAAGTGTCTGTTCATGTCCTTCGCCCACTTTTTGATGGGGTTGTTTGTTTTTTTCTTGTAAATTTGTTTGAGTTCATTGTAGATTCTGGATATTAGCCCTTTGTCAGATGAGTAGGTTGCGAAAATTTTCTCCCATGTTGTAAGTTGCCTGTTCACTCTGATGGTAGTTTCTTTTGCTGTGCAGAAGCTCTTTAGTTTAATTAGATCCCATTTGTCAATTTTGGCTTTTGTTGCCATTGCTTTTGGTTGTTTATCCTAGGATTCTGTTCCCAATTCAAAAATCACATACGTGTGAAGGTAGAATATAGACTTGGTAGGATATACAAGATTTCAAGAACTTTGCCTCACAAGAAATCACTAAAAAAGTTACTACAGGAACACTGGATGAGGAAGAAATGAAATGCCAAGAACAAATGATGTGGCATGGACATTTCTTCAGGAATGAATGGATCCTGACATGTCTGAATAGGTCAAGAGGAGACTGACACAACTAGGTAGAGTTTGGGTGTGAAGTTGTAACAAGTTCACAGAAAGTTAAGTGTGCGCATGTACACACACATACACACCCCTCACAAGCCCGGGACAACTATGAGCTCCAGAGAATGCAAAATATTGTGCATGAAAGAAAAAGTAAGCATAGTAGACTGTGTGACTTGACTATAAATAGCATTTGCAAGCATAATTATGGAAACACTGACTACTGCCATAACCAAATTACACTGTATGTGTATTGATATTGAGAGGATGGGAGGACAAGTGATGTGTCTGAATGAAATAGCGGTAGAATGGCTGGGGGTGGGGGAAGGTATGAGAACAGAGTTGTCATCCTCCACAAAAGGGAGTCAATAGATAATGCCTAAAATGGAAGACTCAAAGGAAGAGGATCACCAGCATGCTATTTGGAGCTATGAAAGGAATTACCAAGAATGTGCTGCATGAAGGGCTGGGGGCTGCCTTTGGGGAGTGGAAAATGCTAAGGACGCACTGCAGTTTTTCATAAAAAGCCTTGTAGAACAATTTGACTTTAAAATGTGTGCACATATAATTTTGTCAGAAAAAAAAACAAATTAGAAAACGAAGAGGATGTGGATCCCTAAGAGCAGTTTACAGGCCATGATAGAGCTGAGAGAGAGGGTAGATCGTTCAGACGTGATTCTCTGCATGCAGTAATTCTCTGCTGCAGGTGGATGGGAATTTTCAGTGACACTTTTGTCCTCCGAGTGATATGCAGATACCTCGCTTTTGAGAACTTGTCACTTCGGTTGGACAACAACCACTCTCCAATTATGCTACTGCTTTACGGCTTTGAAAAAGTAGGAAGTATATGAGTATGTTTCTAGGGCAGGAAATATGGATAATAATTAGAGTTAATGAATAAAGCTTCCAATGTTAGCCAGGGTAGCATGAGAATTAATTATAAATTTGATTAAAGAGATTAGAGTTCATTAAAAGTTAAGTGTTCTGCTTCCTCATGTTTTGATCTCAGGTTAGTGAATGAGGTTCGCTGTTGAGGAGTGTGCTCTACTCGAGATCCCCGAGCTAAAGCTAAATCAGGTTAAGTACATCCTTTCCTTGCCTCCCAAACTCCCAACCTAGGAGTCATGCATAATTTCCATGCACATGCAGGGGATGAAATCTCTTTAATCCTTATGACTTTTCCCTCGGGCCTGCCACTCTCACTGAATTCTGTGAATTTTTAATTAACCTAGAGTTGAAGATGTATAGGCAGTTATATATCCTCAAAGATTCAAATGGTTTTTCAGCTCCCGTTTGAATGGCTCTTCTAACAAGGCCTGAAATAAAGCTGTGTGAAAAACAGAAGTCCGAAAGAGTGCTCACTTTAGAAAAATTGAAATAAGCAATTATTATAGTTAATATTGACAAAAACAAGAGCTAGGGAACAAAACCAGTTTTTAGTATTGTGCTGGTGATTTCCATGTGCCCCACCATGCACTCATTCTCAGTGTTTCCCTGCCCCTTGTGCCCCAGGGGTTGAACCTTCCTTGGCTGCTTCTCTTGGGCTCCTTGGCCCTTTGCCTTCTGGTTGGGGGCTTAGATTCAGTGGGTGGTGGCAGAGGTGGGGAAGCTGGGTAGCCAGTGGCTGCCTCTTTGGTTACAGGTTACAACTCCACTTGTTCTGGCCCCAAGCTCTCTCTGGGCTCCAGTAACATTGCTCCTTTCTTCTGCCCCTTCAGGCCCAAGGCAATAACAGCTTCCCACATATACGAGTCACCATCCTTTGTTGGTTCCATTAAACCCATCTGAAGAGTTGTTTAATGAAACTTTCTTCAATGAAACTTTCAGAATGTGCCAACTGCTTTCTGCCAAGATCCTGAACTGATCTGAATCAGGTTTTTGGCCATGTCATCTACGTGTCTCCCTGTCTCCTATGTGTCTCCCTGTCTCTCCCACCAACTTACAAGTCTCTGAGGGCAACATATCTGACTTACCATAGTTGTGTCCCCAGTGTTTAGAACATCACCTGGTCTACTATAAGCATTCAATATTTGCTTGATGGATGAAACAGTGTACCCATTAGTGAATTCCTAGATGTGGTGCTTTATTTTTGGGGAAAAGTTGAGGTTATCTAACATCCAGACCAGAAGACATGAGTGGAAATGGTATAGTTTGGGACAGAGACATGTGCCACTGTCTGTGGTTGGCAGTCATTAACATGTTTGGGTCAAGCTCCCTCCTTCACCCCACACAAATCTCCATTAGAGCCTTATAAAACCAACTGCTTCAGAAACCATTTCATCTGAAGAACTGGATACAGAAGCTCATATGCACAAAACATGGCGTGGGTTTGGACACCAAGTCTATCATTTAGATGCTTTTGGCCATTAACAGCATATTTAATTTCCAGAGGCTTAAAAAATAAAGATTATTACTATCTCATGTAATAAAAGTCCTGGAGGTTGGGGTGCTTCTTCTCTTTTGTCCTTTCCACCCCTCCCCAATCTCCCCAGTATGGCCACAAGATGGTGGCCACTGCCCTAGGCACAATCTTCACACAAGTCCACCAAAAGGCAGGAAAGGAGGCTCTTTTTGCTTGTTTCATTTTATTAGGGAGTCCTTCAGCAGACACACCCTCACATCCATTGGCCTTGATTGGCTCTCATGCCCATCACCTAGCTAGCTGCAAGAGAGGCTAGGGAAGAGAGTCTCTGTTTTTTTGTTTTTTGTTTTTTTGACAGTGTCTTGCTCTGTCACCCACGCTGGAGTGCAGTGGCGCAATCTCGGCTCACTGCATCTTTTGCCTCCCAGGTTCAAGCGATTCTCCTATCTCAGCATCCGAAGTAGCTGGGACTACAGGCATGCACCACCATACTTGGCTAATTTTTGTATTTTTAGTAGAGATGGGGTTTTGCCACACTGGCCAGGCTGGTCTCGAACTCCTGACCTCAAGTGATCCTCCTGCCTCAGCCTCCCACAGTGCTGGGATTACAGGTGTGAGCCAATGCACCTGGCCGAGTATCTGGTGCTTTCAGCCTTTACAGTGAGAGGTTATCTCCATCAGTGCTTTAGACTGAGTGTTTTTGTCCCCCACATTTATATAATGAAGCTCGTACCCACAAGGTGATGGTATTAGGAAATGGGGCCTTTGGGAGGTGATTCAGTCATGAAAATAGAGTCCTATCAATGGGATTAGTGCCTTATAAGAGGAGACACAGAGCTTGCTGTCTCTCTGGCCTCTGCCATTGAGGATACAATGAGAAGAAGGCCATTCGTAAGCCAGGAAATGGGTCCTCGCCAGACATTGAATCTGCTGACACCTTGATCTTGAATCTGCTGACACCTTGATCTTGGACTTCACAGCCTCCAGAACTGTGATGAATAAATGTCTGTGGTATAAGCCACACAGTTCATGGTAATTTGTTATAGCAGCCTGAACAGATTAAGACAACCAGCAAGGAAGAAGGAGTAGAAGAAAAGCTGTTGGATGAACAACTAACAGTGTCAGCAACATAAATCAAAGAAGCAGATGAGAAGAATGCCACAATCGCTGAGGTTTCCACACATGCTCGATAGAGAAAGTTACTTTTTAGCTAAACTTAACGTGCATTCTTCATGTGGGTTGATTTATTTGAATAGAGAAACTCCAGGAGAAACCATGGTGATGTCAGTCTGTCCCTCTGTAAGATGAAAATAATGATGCTGACAGCTGTTTCACAATGAAATGTAGGTTACAAGTAAATATTTATAAAGGCATTATGAGATCCAAAGATAAAAGCTGTCATGGCACTAAAAATACATACACACCCTCACACCTGACACTGTTCTTTCTTCTCAGTTGTATTTTCATCACCATCAAGAGTATATTCACAAAGCCCTTCACATTTCACACAACGCTTTTGCACACACTGCCTTAGTAAATTATCTTGAACACACCCGGAATGGTTCCTATGATGATGTGTTTGTCTTGCGGATGAAAAGAGCAGCTAGGTAAGGAAGCTGGGACTTGAACCCAGGTCCTCTCACTATTAAACCTGAGGGGTTTTTCTCAGTGCCTTTGTAAGGAGGCAGGTAACGCAAAGGTAGGACAATGGGGAGTGTGAGGACATGAAGACCCGGAGATGAAGATATTCAACACAGATTCAGATCCAATTTTTAAAAACTGCTCTGTTTATGCCCTCCAAAATTATAAATACATGTGTCCTTTGACTCAGCAATTCCACTTCCAGGAATTTATCCTACAGATATACTCATATATATGCAAAACAACCCAATGGTCATCGATTGGAGACTAGTTAATTAAATGTTGGTAAGTCTGTACAAAGGATTAGTATGCAGCTATTTAAAAGGGCATAGCTATTATCATGCTAATATGAATCTATCTTCAAGATATACAATAAAGTGAAAAGAACATTTGTGCATACCAGTACATATTTTCTTGCATGTTCGTGAAATATCTTTAAGAATATAAAGGAAACTGGTAACATTGACTGAATCCAGGAAGGGGAACCAGGAAGCTTTTTGCAAATATCCTTTTGTAAGTATTGATTTTTGAAACATATTAATGCATTTCTTATTTTTAATAACTAACTAAAATGCTGTGTAATTAAAAAAGAAACTCAGTGGGGCAGTTTGGTCTGCCGTTCTGTGACCTCTTCCCTGGGGCCCAGGCTGCGTCACAGCCACCGTTCAATCTGTCCACCCTCATGCTGGCCTGGCATGCCACTGGGCTCATTCAGTGTGTAATTTGTTGACTCAGATCATTTCATTCTTTTAGCTTTGTGGGTCAGTACTTGAGGCTGTTCAGGCCCAACACTGGACTCATTATCTGCTCAGAGCTGCTGCTCCTCCTGGGCTGTCTCTGAATGGTGTTTCCACCCTCCCCGCCATCCAAGGTCAAACCCCAGTTTCCTCCGGCCTTTCTCTATCTCACTGTACTCCCTCTGTCTACCCAGTCCCTGGGCCCCAGCACACCCACATGAATTCCTTGTCTGTCATCCATGAAATTCTGCCCAGTCTGCTTCGTGAGCACCACTGGAACTATCCTTCTCACCCCTCCTGCTCCAGAGGAGTGTCTCATTATCTTTCACCTATGCCACTGCTGTGGCCTCCTTGCTCACCTGCCTGTCACCCCTTTTTCCCACCTTAGACCACCCTACCTCCTTCCTCCAGGACCACCTGAAGACACAAATCTCATCCTGTCATTTCTCTGTTTAGAAGTCCACAGACTCCCCCAACAAGAGTTGGGCTCCTTTAGAATGACACGAGGGGACTTTCACAGCTGGTTACCTTCCCGTCGCCCACCACCCCCATGCCCACCTCCACGTCTCCTTCCTGGCACGGCTTCTCCATTGTTGGTGCACAGCAGGTGGGCGGAGCCCACCTATGGGGCTGGAAACTTACACAAAATGAATGCAAAACTCCTTATACAAAAATCACACATGAAATTGAATGTGTATTTACAACAAAAACTTGTAACAAGTTATACATTTTTTAAAGCCTTGGGATACCCAGAAAATAAGAGAACATTTTCATTAATTAACTATGTGATACCTCTATGCTACATCCTCTGATAACCTTGTTATGTGGCACTGATTTTTATTGCCTTTTCTACAGAGAACAGAAGAGAATACCATCTTTCCTCTAGCATGGTTGATTGAAAATCCCTTTCATTATTGATAGTTAAGTGAAGTTTCCTTTTTACAACTCACTATTAGTCATGCATGCCGGGAAGCAATCCCTATGTTGGTGGAGATGCGTCAAACGTGCGGCCTCACGCACAGATGAATTCACCATCTATATAGCATGCCACATGCTTGGGTTCCACAGACACAAGCATTCCAGTCAATCTGATTTCATGCAATTCCCATTAAAAACTAAAAGATCTGTATGGTGTGTTTTTAATGGTATCAGCTGCATTTGTTCCAGGTGGTCAATTCGATTTTGTGCAATTCTCATCAGAAAGGAAAAAGACTGCATGATGTGTCTGTAGCAGTATCGACTGTGTTTCAGGTGGTCAGTGACACCATCTGGTGCTGGGAGGAAGTCCAGCCCAGCAGCAGAGGTGATGTTCCCAAAGGGAGACAACAGTTGACTGGCAAGTAGCTAGCAGGGGTCTCCCGGCCCTGGAAGAGCTGCCTTGCCTGAGAATGCAGCATGGCCCCAGGCAAGCTCCCTGCTGGAGCCTCTGCTTTCTTACCTGTAAAAAGCAGATGAGGACACTTAGCTGCCCGTGTTCTGTGACGTTCAGTGAGAGAGCGTATGCACAGCATCTGTCCCAGGACAGCCCCTTGCTCCTGACAGTCCTCTCTTCAGCCTTCCCCACAGCTGGGGGAATCACAGTGACAAAGGGTCCAGGTGGGCTGTCCTCACCACAGCATTGGCTACGCTCATTCTAGGTCTACCCCCAAGCCCACCTGCCCGCCCTTGCTTATCCAGGCTATGTCCCGAGGTACGGCAAAGACGGGACCGTGACAGACTGCTCCAGCCTTCCCCGTGCTCAGCAATATCCCTGCAAGAGAGAAGCCCCTCAACCTAATTTCCAGGGAGCCTTCAGCCTTCCATGGAAGTGTTGATAGGCCTCCCAGGGCTTCTGCCTTATGAAATGAAGACAGTAATTCACAAGTTTGACCCAAGTCTTGTGCCACAAATGGGCAAATCAGAAAGCTAAAAAAAAAAAAAAAAAGAAATCCCTCAACCACCTACCTTGCTAGATTCCAAAAGCCATATATTTGGTGTTAAAAATAATCTGGAGAGATTAGTCCAACTCATTTGGTTTTCAGGTGAATAAACTAATCTATACCTACAACCGAAATTAAACCCCAGTAAGTGTTATTTGTATAGGACCCTGTGCTTCTTTGGGGACAATTATTATTTGCCCAAAGATCAATTAGTTTCAAATCTCCCATATAATAACTATGCATGTAATAGGAACCTTCTAGAGAAATGTCAGAGC
This sequence comes from Homo sapiens, assembly GCF_000001405.40. Classification (NCBI taxonomy): domain Eukaryota; kingdom Metazoa; phylum Chordata; class Mammalia; order Primates; family Hominidae; genus Homo; species Homo sapiens. Next base: position 105,594,617 of record NC_000002.12, read on the forward strand.
CCAACAGGTGGCTTGAGCGTACCAGGCCCTCAGGCAGGTCAACAGGGGACTTATTTTGGCTTTGTGGGTGTGGCTGCCACTTGCCACAAGACCTTGAGAATCCATCAAGTTCCCCAGCAGGGCAGTCACCGTATCTACTTGTTTCTGACACACCCAAGAACAGGGGCCTAGAATATAGACAAAAGTAATTCACTACTGGAAAAGACACTGGGAAAAAGAGAAATGCCTGTGGTGAAGACCCAGCATAAGATTCCATCAAGTGATGAGGGTCTCAGGCCAGATGTCCCCAGCACCAGGTGGCAATCTGGCTTGGCCTCAGTGGCAGATACAGTCACATGAGGCAGAAATGGCAGCATCCTTGCCAGGGGCCCTATCTGGTGTCTTTGCAAGAAAAAATGGGCAAAGGAGACCTCAGAAACATCTTGGTGGAGTCTCTTCCTATCTAATCCAGCCCCAGAGCTGGGAAGAGGCCCCACAAGCAGGCTGCACAAAGGTTGGGAGAATGTGGCCTGTTAAGCCTTGGAGTAAACCCAATTCCTAGATTGGTCAGGGTCTGGAGGGTTTGGGCCTCTTTCCTATAAGTGGAGTGAAGGGAGGGTGATGGGTGATGGCTGGTGTGTGTCGAGTCTTCCAGGACAGCCTCCTCCAAACCCGCCTGCTATGGCTGGCCCTCGCAGGTGTGAGCTGCCACTTCCCACTGGCCTGCCCTCCATCCTCGGCCTTCCTCTCTGTGCATAAGCCCCTGTTTCCTCTCCCAGGCAGAGAAGGCTTAGTTCTCACTGATTTCTGCCTTTTTGTCCTCCTGCCTTGTTTAAACAAGGATGGTTCTCCATCCCATCAATCCAGAGAAAGTCCTGCACTAATTACTGGAGCAGTGAAATAGGGCAGTAAGAACCTCAGGGGGTATAAAATATTGGCCCTATTCTTTAGGAGCTTTATTGGGGTCAAAGATTTTAAATAACAACGCCGGGGGTAAGGCTGAGTCACATGTGTGGTGAAATAGCTTTGCCACACTAACCCCCAGAGCCGTTCCACAAGGACAATCCACGATTTGCAGGAGGGCAGCTCCATCTGTTTGAAAGCATTGAACCAGGAGTCAGAAGACGCAGACACTAACGAGGCTGCTCGGCTGGTCGTGTGGGCAGGGGTGAGTCACCCTGCCCAGTCATCTCACCTGCAGCCTGCAGGAGTCTCTGCTGTGGGGAATACTGGTCTGGGTGGTCAAGAGGCCTGAGAGCTCTTCCTTGCTCACCACCAACAGTAGCATCCTGTATGCTTCCTTAGCCTGCATCTCCATAAAATCATAGTGTGATGGTTTGTAAGGCTTTCCAGCTCCGGAACTCTAGGACCTTTGAATGAGGTAATGGATAGGAAAGCTCTAAACCATTGCATGCTTGCAGGACATTATTGTGTTATTACTACCTCTGGCAATAAAGATTCCATAAAGGAATTGGAATTTGAATTTGGCCTTGAAGGAAGAGTAGAGCTTGGATGATGGTACAGTGTGCAAAGAGCATGATGCATAAGCTGGGAAAAGCAAGGGGGAAAAGGAGAGGGGGCAAGCAGAGACTCTGGCTAGGGACAGACTGGTGGAACTTAGATGGCCATGATGGGAGACTCAGGGTCATTCATCCATGCATCCTCTGGGGACAGGGGCTCAGGTAGGCGGCAACATCCTGGAAATACCTTGGGGGCCTGAGCTAAGGCTGCACAGGCCCCATCTCCTGTGACTATGCCCTTCCCACAAGCCCGTGAGCACCACAGCCTGCCCTCACTGTGAAAGGAATCAGAAAGGAGGCTGAAATCCAGCACCACTCCCCCTTCCAAGAGGAAGTCTGTCAAGGGATTGCGATTTTTTGGTTGGCTGTACTGGAGAGTCTTAACCTCTCGTTGAGCTCTGATCTGAGTATGCCTAAGGCTCCTTCTTTCTGGGGCTTTGGAAACCCCTTCTTTGAACAGGGAGTCAGCCATGGCATAAACGATGACTTTTATGAAAGTCAATTTTTAAGTCTTTGGCACATAGCACTGAACACTTCATAGGCCTCATTGGCACTAAGGAAGTCACAGACTGCATAGCTAACATTGCATTTGAAGATGTCTCTGCAAGCGGAAGCTGTCTTTGGTGTGGGAGGTAGCCACGTTTAATTATCATTCACAGACACTCCTCAACACTGTTCCTGGATGCCTCAGCCATTATTCTGGTGGCTTCTAAAATAAAGTCTGGTGACTATTTTGTGTGAGTGTGTGGATGGCCTGCAAGGCACCTGTCTTGTTTTTGCGGCATTGGTTTATCTAAAGAAAATTGCAGAGCTCAACAGGAAGGGAAAGTCTCTTCTCCCCTGGAGCCGAGAGGATCCTTGGTGGAGAGAAACAATAGGGACTGTGTTTGGGTGAGTCTGGTGCATCTTTGGGCCGCCACCACTCACCTTGTATCGTCCCTGCACAGGGCCCGGTCTTTAGGGTGTCATCCCTGGAGAGGAAACACCATCGCTATCACTCTTCCCAAGATTTTTCAGGCCTCATGTGCTCATCCTCCTGGTGCTGAGCTGTGCAAGTTGCAGATGGCCTTGTCCGGAATTGCTCGGGGAACACACGCACAGTTTCTGCCTGCTGGGGAAGAGAGAGGCAGGATCCAAATGGACTCAGCCTCTTTAGGCCACCTCTCCCTGATAGCTGCCCATAGTTGAAGCTGGCCTTGCACAAAGGGGCCACCAGTCCCAGCTGGTGACACAGTAGAGTAGGTGGGTGAGAGTCAGCACGCACACAGGAGTAAAAATAGGAAGAAGTGCATTGCTAACCAGGGCGTCTTGCTATACCCGGATGCAAATGATCATATACTGATGCTGCCGGGGTTATCAAAGCAGAGAGAGAGACAGACTTCAGACACCAGCACCAAGCTCCCTCCTCCCCAAGGACAGTAGTTTAAAAAACATTTCTCGTGATGTCATCCTCATTTAAAACCAGCGTAGAGACACAGTGAAAATGGTTTCAATGAAAAACACAACATGATGGTGGAAAACAAGAGTTCTGAGTCTCAGTAACACAGCTCCTGCCCCCTCCAAATTGAGGACTAACAAGAAAATGCAAGAGGAGGAAAAAAGCCCCAAGAGCAGCATGGAACTCCGTCTGTCACTTGGCATCATGCAGCTGGGTAAGATAATCTGAGACCTTGTCATTAGAGACATGCCGAATTCTTAAGCTGGGTAAAACCTAAATCCTGTAAGAATGGCCTCAGAAGGGGTCGTGGTGTGTGCAAGCCTCATTATGAAATAGCCAAACCCGGCCAGTCTTATGAGCATTTATTTGCTAACTTGGGGGATGTAAGAAAAGCAGATCTCTGTGAGTGTTTCACAGGATCCCAGTGCCAGGAAAAGCCTTCAACATGCCATGTCATCTGTCCCTCTCCCAGGGCCTTCAGCCACAGCCAGAGCAAGGGACCAACTGCCACTCAGAGGCCAAACCCTTCCCTGCCTCCCTCTGCCTGCCTCCCACTCTGTGCACTGCTCCCACACTGGAAATTTCTACCCTCTGAATAATCCGATTAACTTGTATCCAGCCAGCCATTGCCAAAGTGAAAGCATATTGCCTGGGAGGAAGTGAAAGAATGAATCCATTGGAAGCCACCAATGCGCAGGCACAAGTCAGTTTGTTGGAATGGCTGGGCTTGGAATGGGGAGTATAGGGCTGCCCTGGGGTCCTGGACTGGGAATGGGAAGCTGCTGCCTAGGGGAGGAAGGGAAAGGCCTAGCACTGACACCAACAGTGCCAGAGTGGGTACATAGGATGCTAGTGACAGCTGGGACTGGGCGCTGCTAATAAGGAGGAGAAGAATATGCTGAAAACAGACTCACTTACTTTACAATTTTGCCTAGAGCCAGGCCTGCATTTAACTTTCCCAGAAGTGAACCTGTCAGCAAACCAGGGAAGGGCCGTTTGTAATTTGCTGGGGTTTGCAAAAGCCCAGGTGGCTGCGGCTAGAGCTTTTGCTCTGCACATCACCTTCCCTCTCAGGTGCTTGGGTGGGACCCTCAATTGGAGCAGCCGAGAGCCCCAGGTTTCTGACTCAAGGTTAGGAAGGACCATTTCAGCCAGAATTCCACCGTCTCGGCTGTCTGAGCAATTCAGCACATTCCTGAAGATCTAAAGGCCTCTGTAGTTACTACCTTTTAGGACTTGCTTAGACCTCAGTGGGCCTTTTGCTGTTTAGAATTCTACTGATTTATTTCTTTATGTTCTTTTTAATTTTTTTTTTTTTTTTTTTTTTTTGTTAGAGGAAGGGAAGAAGCCATCTGTCAGTAGCTCATGCTACAAGCAAGGGAGGCTGGGCTCCTTCTTGCTCTCTTAGAACTCCCTCACATGCATTCTCAGCACCCAACCAGAGCCCTGATTTCATTCTCTTTTTACATAAAGGCTTGCCCCCAGGAGAGTTTCAAGAAGCTAAAGCAAAACAAAGCAAAACCAAAAGAAAGCAAAACTCCCCTAAATGTGCAGTGGCCTACCTGAACTCTGGGCCTGACTGTCTCACTTTTGAGCTGTGTGGCACCCTTCAGGCTGGCTAGCCTCTCTGGTTTCATTTCCCTCGTATATAAAATAACCGAGTTCACCAGATACACTCTAAAGTTTCTCCAGGCGTTGACATTTTTTGATCTCAAGGTCTGGGGAATGACATCATTTCCGATCACTGATCACTTCCAAATAACAGTGAGGTCTGTCCCCAAAGGAACTGAAAGGAACTTCCAGAATTGTGTTGTTCTTTCCGTTCAAAGCACCCAAAGTCTGGAGAGCAACCCGACATGTCTCCTTTGACAGTATACAATTTACATAATCTTTACAAATCTTCTCATCACTGCAATATGAAATCTATAAATATAGTAGCTACTAAGCCACAGTCAGGGAGGAAAGCAGCTGCAGTCCCTCCATGAACACAAAGGAAGGAGGAGAAAAAAACTAAAAAAAGGAGGTTTAGAAATCCCTCCAGAAGGTTGCTTGCAAAAGGGAAAAAGTACACAAGAAAGTTTTCCTCTAACTTACCTCTAAAACAGACTGGGATGAATGGATGCTTCCCCCACAAGGAAGAGAGGTAGACAGTTTTGGCACAACTTTATCCCTTCATCATGGGAATGGGTGGTATAACCAGTGCCAACAAACAGGATACCAAGGAGGACGCTCTATGCGTTTATTTCTCCCATTCCTGATCTATCAATAGCTTCTGAGTGTGCTTTAGGATACACCGTGCTTACAGATTAGTTATGTATAAAGTATAAAGACAGACTGCCTGGACTCAATGTGATAAATCTCTGAATATGAGAGGAAAAAAATTGTGTACAAAACAGCAAACGTAAGTTGTGGGGAGTCTTGTCTAATGGGACCAGCAAATGTTTCAGCCAAGACATTGATCATACCAAGCCTTGATAACAAATGCTGGATCTTAATGGGTCTTCCCTCCGGGAAAAACTAATTCAATCAGAGGAAATAAAAATGGATCACACTTGCTTCTTCTCTCAATTTTACAGTGTTAACTGGCAGCTCCAGGGGTGAGCCCAAAATAATTCCACACACAGCTGTAACAAAGTAGACAGCACCATGTAACAATTGGGTCTCCATTTCTTATCACTATGGACATGGACATCTTAGACCACAGTGCTATAGGCATTTGCTCCCTAAACTCACTGCTGATGCTCGGAACAGTTTTTGTTGAGGCGACTGCAAACATGGCGGAAGCAGCACAGCGGACCGGTCGGTGATTAACGGTGTGAGGCACAGTCCAATTCCTTCATTAACATTTGGCGTTCCAAGGCAGAGGTTTCAAAGTGTTTATAGTCAAAGAAATCCTTCTTCAAACAAAGTCTAATGCAGAAACCCAGTACATCAAACAGAAGAGTGAAGGCGCCCTGTTTGAGGGGATCATGGTGGAAAAGATGGGGATGGGATGGAGGGGTGGGGAGCGCTACTTAAAATGGGTTGCTGCCCTAGGGGCACCTCGGCAGCCCCTGAGATTCTAAGGAGCAGTTTAAGAACCTCCAGTGGGAGGGGTTTATCACATTCTGTGCACGATGCTTTGGAATGTTAACCAAAAATATCACAAATTTATAAATTGTGAGGAGAGGAGATTTTATTTCTTGTAAAGGGTTACAGCCTGCAAGGTGGCCATCCTGCAGGCTCAGAAGTGTGCCTCTGGCCAAGACCGGAGTCAGGCACTTCGAAGGAGGAGGGGCTGGGACAGAAGCTTCATGCTGGACAGGGTGGCCAAACATACGTATTCAACAGGTTACAGGAAGAACTACGAATATTCATGAAGGTAGTCCCGACACATGCATATTGAACAAACATGCATGTAACATACAACCCAGGTTCACTTTGGGGTGGAGATTTAACATTTAAATGTATTAAAATTAGGCCCCATACCTCAAAAGGTCTTTTCAGGACATGAAGGCGGATGAATGTACTTTCTGCAAACCAGCCAGAACCAGTCCATGGCCGGTGGTCTCTTATCAGGAGAAAGTTACTGGAGTCAGTCTCCCATCCAATCAAAGCTGTAGTTACGGCTGGTGCAACAGGGGTCAGTTACTCAGCGTCCGTGAGCTGGGTGAGTTGTAATTGTTTTAATCTTGCTTATCTTGAGGGCAGTTCTTGTTTAGCTGCTGGAGAAAAGGAAAAACCTTGTGGCAGTTAGAACCTAGTTTATTCTTTAAGTGTTGTGTGTGTGGTGTGTGTGACTTAACTCTTGGCTTGGCATGGCCTTAGGTCTTGTTTATAATTTGGTGTCTTATGGCCACAAAGAGTTCATTCTGTCGGTCTTATGATCTCTATTTTAACATTAATGCTGGTTGGTTTTTGTGTCTAAAGAGAAAAAAGGCGGGGGTATAACAAGGTATATTTGACCTCCTGTCCCTTCATGGCTGGGAACTAAGTTTTAAGGTTTTCCTGGGATCCCTTCGGCCACAAGGGGATCCATTTTGTTGGTGGAGGAGCTTAGCATCTTATTTTTAGTTTACAGGAAGGAGCAAAAAATCCTGATACTGGCTTTGACCTGCTTTTGTTGGAAAGCTGAGAACCAACCAGGCTATTTTTTTTCACTTAATAAACCCACTGGAACATACATACATACACACATACAAAAGCAACATTTTAAAGACATGTCACAGATGGACTTCAGTTGGAGTCCCCCTAAAACTCATTTGAATTTGTATTAAGCCCAACTTGGAGGAAGGGTAGGGATGCAATTATAATGCAGTGATAGGCCAACACTGGCTCACACCAGTGGATGAGAACCTCTTGTTAAATTTCCAGCAATTTTCCAAGGTGATTTTTAAACACCGCCATTATTAAAAATTAAACTCTGTATCCAGCAATTGCACTCTTTGGTATTTACCCAAATGAGTTGAAAACTTATGTCCACATAACAACTTATAATACACACAGATGTTTATAGTAGCTTCATTTATAAATGCCAAAATCTGGAAGTAACCAAAATGTAGGTGAATGGCTACATAAATTGTGGTACATCCAGGCAGTGGAATAGTATTCAGCATTAAGGAGAAATGAGCTACCAAGCCATGAAAAGACATGGAGGAATATTAAGTGTATATTACTAAGTGAAAGAAAAAGCCAGCCGGGTGTGTTGACTCACGCCTGTAATCCCAGCACTTTGGGAAACTGGGGCAGGCGGATCACGAGGTCAAGAGATCAAGACCATCCTGGCCAACATGGTGAAACCCCGTCTCTACTGAAAATACAAAAATTAGCCGGGCGTGGTGGCGCATGCCTGTAGTCCCAGCTACAGCTACTCAGGAGGCTGAGGCAGGAGAATCACTTGAACCAGAAGGCGGAGGTTGCAGTGAGCGGAGATCCTGCCATTGCACTCCAGCCTGGCGACAGAGTGAGACTCTGTTAAAAAGAGAAAGAAAGAAAGAAAGACAGAAAGAGAGAGAGAGAGAGAAGGAAGGAAGGAAGGAAGGAAGGAAGGAAGGAAGGAAGGAAGGAAAGAAGGAAAGATGGAAAGAAGGAAAGAAGGAAGGAAAGAAAGGGAAAGAAAGAAAGAAAGAAAGAGAGACAGAAAGAAAGAAAGAAAGAGCCAATCTAAAAAGACTACAAACTATATGATTGTAACTATATGACCTTCTGAAAGAAGAAAAATTATAGAGATAATTAAAAGATCAGTGGTTCCCAGGGTTTGCGGGAGGAAGGAATGAAAAGGCAGAGCACAGACTTTTAGGGTGATGAAACTATTCTTTATGATACTGTAATGGTGGATACATATCATTATATGTTTATCAAAACCCATAAAATGTACAAGACCAAGAGTGAACACTAATATAAACTATGGACTTTGGATGATAATCGTGAGTCCATGTAGGTTTATCAGTTGTAACAAATGTATTGCATGGTGTAGGATATTGATAGTGGGGTAGAAGGAGCTGTGGGAGAAGATGCAGGGGATATATGGGAACTCTGCACTTTCTGCTCAGTTTTGCTGTGAACCTAAAACTGTTCTAAAAAATAAAGTCTACTAAAAAATAAACTGTATAAGATTTAATTAAATATATTAAAAGCAGAGGTAATTGATCTTCAAAATGGATGACCTCCTGTTTTATGATATATTACTATCATCTATACTCTTATTTCTATCTATTGTATCTGTATAAAGGAGTTATTATACAATGGTGTACATCCGTGTAACTCTTCCCAACTCCGTGTTAAGTGACCTCAATTTGGTAGCTTGAAATCAACTTGGCCATAGCTGGTAGTGTTTGCAGTATAGAAGTAGGCAACCACTACATAACAGCACTTTGCCCCCAAAGACAGCTGATTATTTTTAAAATTATTACTAATATTTTTCAGAATCAAGGTCTTGCTCTGTTGCCCAGGCTGAAGTGCAGTGATGTGATCATAGCTCATTATAACCTCGAACTCTTGGGCTCAAGCAATCCTCCTGCCCCAGCCCCTCAATTATCTAAGATTACAGGTACACATTACAACATCCATTTTGTTGTTGTTGTTGTTTTGTACAGACATGGTCCCACTATGTTGCCCAGACTGGTCTTGGCCTCCCAAAGTGTTAGGGGGCTAGCTGACAAGCCCAGCCCAGAGCTGGTTATTGCACATCTGTGGCATACCACTAATAGTGGGTACAGTTGTTGGACTCATGTTTAGGATCAGTAACATATATACACCTGAGAATGTCAATCAAAATACGCCTTTTGGAAACATTATGGAAGCATAGATCTTCACATATGATTAATTTAAGGTTTACTCTGAAGTCATCCAGAGACCTCTTTAGAATGGTTCCAAGAATTCCCTCTTTTGAAAGCCAACCAATCTAAGGAATTAAATCACTCAAATTTGAAGAAGACAAATATGCCTCAGGAGCAGCACTCTTGCTATCGAAATCACTCAGATCATGTTCTGAGTGATAGATCCTAATCGCTGAACTGTTTACTGTAATTAAGTCTATCAGCATGGTTTTCTCCTGACGAAAATAAAGTTTGGTATATTATGTCTTTTGCAAAAGGTGTCTCTTATCTCCTTTAACTTGTAAATCTATGAGTCAGTAAGATTTCTCTTCAAAACCTGATTTTTCTTCCCTCCTCATGGATATAAAGAACTTAAAAAAATCAAATTAATATTGCCCACAAGAAAGAAGTTGGTTGCAAGCACCATTATTTTATGCAAACACTATTATATCCTGCTATATCTCATCAAGAATATTTGTGTGTCTGAGGAACATGTAGATCTTTTACCAGCCTTTGTTTCCATCGATGAAGTATGCAAGTTTGAAATAGATTCCAATCTGTCAATGCTTCTTTTGAGTCTACATTGTGGTGCTACTGTACAAACCAAACATGGAGGAACAGTTTTGATATAGAGGCAATCTCACTTGTAATTGGTGTTAGCACAACTGTTTGCTTTTAGCCCAACGACTCTCAGCACTGCCTGCCTGTTAGCATCAGTGGATAAGGGAAGGAGAGCTTTAAAAAAAAAAACACTGAAGCTCAGGTCCCAACACCAGGGATTCTGACTTAATTGGTCTTAAGAGAGTTGAGGGAATCAATAAGTTGTCAAATCTTTCCAGGTGATTCTAATATATAGCTATGATGAAGACCTACTATTTGAACCTATATAAAAATCATTTGATGCAGTTGATGTGAATTTGTTATTTGTTGACCTGAGACATAGGGGAACAAGTCAAGTCAAGTCCAATAAAAAACAAATCAATCATCTCTGATTATGGCATGATTTCAGTGTCTTTTGGATAGTTTAAAAAAATGGTGCTTCAGCATCAATAATATCACATAAAATCACCCTCTCTGTTGGGCAACTTCTAACATTAAAAGGTAAGTCCTATAAAGTCAGTTCAGTTATATCCCACTGAGGGTCCACTCTGCAGCCAGTGAGTGAGTGGTGGAAGGCGCTGGCACCACCATGTTCCAGGCTGCTTTGTGGTTAGGCTTCATTCTGCTTCCTCTCCTGGCACTGCCTTGCTTCTGACCCATTTTCTAAGCCAGATCTCTCAGTCTCCTGCCAATTCTGTGAGCCTCATATCCTTGTGAAAAAATTCTTCCCGTCACCAACCCCCGCCCTTCTTTTTGCTTAAAATAGTCAGAAGCACTTTTTGTTCCTTGGAAGAGAAAGATTCCTAACTGATACTTTGTCATACCCCTAAAGGAAACAGAAACCAGTGACCAGTTTTCAAAAAAAAAAAATTTCTGAACCTAAGAACATAAAAATTCAAGAAGAAAATAGTTGGGAGACTTGCCCTGCAAAAAAATAAATGTTGCAAAGTATACAGAAAAAGGAAATAGAACAGAACAGAGCATCTGAAAGCAGCCTCAGGCATATGGAGGCTCGGGCTATAACAGAGACGGCGTGATACATTGCAGAAAGGACAGGTTACTCAGCAAACGGTGCTTGGAAAATTAACACTCAGTGCGGGAGAAAATACATTACTTTCTGAGGTATGAAAAATCTAAATGCAAAATCAAAACTTTAAAACAGTTGGAAGAAAATGCAAGAAAATATAGGCCAGGCGCAATCGCTCACACCTGTAATCCCAGCACTTTGGGAGGCCGAGGTGGGCGGATCACTTAAGGTCAGGAGTTTGAGACCAGCCTGGCCAACATAGTAAAGAGCTGTCTCTACTAAAAATATAAAAATTAGCCAGTGTGGTGGCGAGCAGCTGTAGCCCTAGCTACTCAGGAGGCTGAGGCAGGAGAATTGCTTGAAACCAGGAGGAAGAGGTTGCAGTGAGCCAAGATCGTGCCACTGACCTCCAGCCTGGCTACAGAGCAAGACTCTGTCTTGAAAAAAAAAAAAAAATCTCTTTATGCCATATACATGTACCCAAAACTGAAAGGGAAAGACTGATGTATTTGACTACAATTAGGTAAACTTTATTTATTTATTCATTTTTATTTTTAGACACAGAGTCTTGCTCTGTCGCCCAGGCTGGAGTGCAGTGGTGTGACGGCAGCTCACTGCAGCCTCAAACCCTTGGGCTCAAGGGATTCTCCTGCCTCAGCCTCCTAAGTAGCTATGACTACAGGAGTGCCCCACCATGCCACGCTAATGTTGTATTTTTTTATTATTTATTTATTTATTTTTGTAGAGACAGGGTCTCTCTTTGTTGCCCAGGCTGGTCTCAAATTCCTGGGTTTAAGTAATCCTCCTGCCGTGGCTTCCCAAGGTGCTGGGATTACAGGCATGAGCCACTGCACCTGGCCCCAAAATTTATCATATGAAAAGCCACCATAAACAAAGTGAATAGGCAAGTCACCAGTTAGAAAAAGATTTGCAATTTAGATAACCAGAAAAGGATTAGAACTTAGTATGTGTAAAAAATTCATACAAATCAGTAAGCTATAAACAGGCCAATAGAAAAAATGAGCAAGGGATATAAATGGATAAAACACAGAAAAGAAAAACTGAATAGCCTATATATATGAAAACATGATTATTCACTAGTAATAAGAAAAATGAGTTATTTTAGTTTATACTCAAAAGTATTGATGAAGATGTAGAGAAATGAGAACTCACAAACTGCTGGCAGAAGCGTGAACTGGCTCAAGACTTTGAAAGACAATTTGGCAATAGATGGTTAAGGGGAAGATGAGTATGTATCGTCTACCCGAGCAGTGTTGCTTTCATGGTTCATGCTAGAGAAACTCACACTTGGCCATGATGGCACATGTATAAAAGTGCTCATTGTAGCATTGCTTATATCAGAAGAAAAGGCAAAAATCAAAATGTCCATTAACAGTAAATAGGTAAATTATAGTATATTTATACAGTAGAATACTATACTTATCACACAGGATTAAAAGTTAATTAACTAAAGCAGCATACTTCATCATGAATGAATGTCAAAAACATAATGTCAAGTGGGAGAAAAGCAAGTTGCAAAATTATATCAGTTAAACCAATTATTTAAAATTGGTATATTATGTCTTTTGCAAAAGGAATCTCTTATCTCCTTTAACTCGTAAATCTATGAATCGGTAAGGCTTCTCTTCAAAATGTGATTTTTTCCCCTCCTCATGGATATAAAGAACTTTAAAAAAACCAAACTAATATTGCCCACAAGAGAGAAGCTTATTGCAAGCACCATTATTTTATGCAAACACTATTATATCCTGCTATATCTCATCAAGAATATTTGTGTGTCTGAGGAACATGTCAATATTATCTATAGGAAAAGTATAAAAACATAATCAAGAAGAACATTCACTAACCTCTGCATAGTTAGTTCCTAGTGAGGGAAGGAAGGGAATGACATCAAGAAGCCAAAGGCAATTCGATTGCATCTGTAGTTTCCATTCCTTAAAAAATATCTGAACCTAATTTACTAAATCTGGGTAATGGTATGATGAGAGTATATTATTTTCTGTACTCATTTGTCCTATTTTAAATATTTTTATTAAGTGTCCCAACCTGACTTTTTCTCCTTTCAACTAAGATACTGAAAGGCTTTTTGCCCCAGAACTACTTTTGAAAGGCTTTTTTCAAAAAAAGATACCAAAAGGCTTTTTGGACCCAGAGATATTTTTGAAAGGCTTCTTTAGGCCAGGTACCGTGGCTCATGCCTGTAATCCCAACACTTTGGGAGGCTGAGGCGGGCGGATCACTTGAGGTCAGGGGTTCGAGACCAGCCTGGCCAACATGGTGAAACTCCATCTCTACTAAAAATACAAAAAGTAGCCGGGCATGGTGGTGGGCTCCTATAATCTCAGCTAACTGGGGAGGCTGAGGCAGGAGAATTGCTTGAACCAGGGAGGTGAAGGTTGCAGTGAGCAGAGATTGCACCATTGTACTGTACCCTGGACAGCAGAGTGAGACTCTATCTTAAAAAAAAAAAAAAAAAAAAAAGAAGTAGAAATTCTGAGATGGAAAAGCTTTTTGCCCCAGAGCTTATGCTTTCACATGTCACTATTGCAGCTCCCAGCCCTGTGGGGTTTCACTCTAGGTGTTATCACTTGCTTTGATTATAAGACTCTAAACCACAGCCCTGGGTGAACCCTGGCCCATCTGGCATGAAGACAGAAGACCATCATACAATTGCCAGCCTCTTCTTTTCACTCATCCTCATAGTCAAGAAATATGTGTATGTGTCCACTGCAGCCTGTGTTTGCTCTGCCCCCTCTCTTCACGCCACACTCCCAGCTTGATGTTTGCCAGTTCATGCTTGTGCCAGTTGTTGGCACTTACTCTCTGGCGAGTGTACAGCTGACCTTACTGCCTCTGGCTCCTCCTTCCTGTGCTCTTGCTCTTCCATCCACCAACTTTATTAATACTCTGTTTTATGACCCAGGTTACCGAGGAGACCTCAAATCAGGGTGGAGAAGGTACGTCTGCATACCATGCTCTCCCTCCCCAACCTCTCCTCTGCAGGTCCATAGTCACCTATTCGTGATGCTCCTCAGACATGGCCATCCAGGCGTTGCCCACCTCTCGTTGTTGTGAAATACACTCAATTGCTATCTATTGATACCTATTTTTATATTTTACTACAGTGGCAATGAAAGAATTATTTGGGGGAGGATAGGTAGTAGGAATAGCTTTATTAAAAGAAAAATAAAGATCACAGATTTTGCTGTATACATTTCCAAATTCTTCATCACAGTTTTTTTTTTTCTTCACGAGGATTGGATTGTACTGCATATGGCACTTTGAAACCTGCCTTTTCCCTTTATGATTTATTCTGGGCACCTTTTTTTCAGATCAATGATTTTTTTTCTTTTTCTTTTCTTTTTGTTTTGTTTTGTTTTGAGACAGGGTCTTACTCTGTCACCCAGGCTGAGTGCAGTGGCCTCATCTCGGCTCACTGCAACCTCAACCTCCTGGGCTCAAGCAATCCTCCTGCCTCAGCCTCCCAAGTAGCTAGGACCACAGATGCGTACCACCACACTCAGCTAATTTTTTTTTTTTTTTTTTTGTAGAGACAGGATTTTGCCACATTGCCCAGGCTGGTCTCAAACACCTGGGCTCAAGCAGTCACCCTGCTTTGGCCTCCCAAAGTGCTGGGATTCCAGGAGGTCAATGACCTCAAGCTCCTCTATTCCCAGCAGCACTTCTGAGCTCCTGGCAGGAACATATATTCATGTATAAGCATGAAAAGGGGGGTCCCCAACTCTGCCAAGGGTGGGAGTAGGGAGCCACGGTAGACTCCCTCACAAACACAATTGGAGATGACCAGAAGGCTAAACATTGGTGCCTTTGGCCTTCAAGATACCCTTTAGAAGACAATTATTATATTTTCTTGAGTGTGAATGGAGATAGGATGGGAGGAGCAGCTTCCAGGACCCTGCCCCACGGCAGACCGGCCTCTGCCCTGTGGATCCCAGGACCCTGCCCAACAGCAGGCTGCCCTCTGCCCTGTGCATCCCAAGCACTTTCTCTGTGCTGCCTGGTGTTGCAGAAGTCCTGCCTCGCCATGGACACCGTGGAAATGAACAGGCTTGCTGAGTGACTGGCATTTGCAAAGCTTTCACAAATAACACTAAACACCGTGATTTCCTCAAGATGTTCTGGAGCCCTCAGACTGGGCCCTCTCTGTTGTGGGGTGCTCAATCTTCCCAGGCTCAGGCTGCCCCAGGGGCTGGGCCACGCTGCCCCAGGGGCTGGGCCACGCAGCCCCTATCGTCACCCTCACTACCCAGGCCTCTAGCCTGCACCCTTCCCCTCCCTACACTCCCCACAGGCAGCTCTCATCAAGCAACTGCTTCTCCAAGCGCTTGTGACTAAACCCCAAAGAGGCCTGGAAAGAGGATGTTGGAAACAAGCAGGGGGTGCACTTTGGGGGAGGCGAGGCCTGGGAAGCCGGCACACTTCTATGTGAGTGGAGGCTGTTGGCTGATTGGCCACTTGACCTTTGACCTGAGCCCCAAGGAAAGTGCACCCTCCTCTCTTTCATTTTGTTTATGGCTTCATACAAGCTTCCCATTTACGTGAACATTCTGACAGAAGAGGGCTCTCATTTGGCCAGGTCCTGAAAGCAGAGAATTCTGCTCCTTCTATGGGACCAGCAGCCTCTCTTGCGGGCGTTTGGCTCTGCCTGCGAGGCAGGTGGGCTGCCAAGGCTTCCCAGCTGGGCTTTTCTGCTTTAGATAAGCTGAGATATTTGTGCATGAAACCTTCTGCGATGTGACCCTGCGAAATGCATGCTGCGCCACACCCTTTTATCGTTGTTAATTGAGAGCAGAGTGTTGCTAAACTTACCATGTGATGGATATTTCTCCGTTTTGATATTGCACAGAATGAAGAACATAGCAGACAGATGAAGTAGGCCTGGTGGTGCTCTGAGCAGAACAAATCCTAAGGCCAGGTTAGACTAGCTTTGCACTGTTTCCCTCGTGTCTAGATTTCTGAAGGATGAGTCTTTTGATTTGTTTCTAACCTGCTTAAAAGAGATGGGGAGGCGGAGGAAGCAAGGAGCCGAGGTGCAGCCGGATGCCTCCCAGGATGAATAATGGCAACAAGAAACAGAGTTCTTAAAGCCCAGATGATAAGGGCCTCAGTCTGGGTGTGAATGAACTTGGCCTGACTTCTTTGCTGCCGTCATATGAACCGGAAGGAGACAGCTTAGATAGAGCAAGCCTGCTCCTTCCAGAAGCACGAGGGTCCTGTGGCGGTTTTTGCTTCAAACACCGCAGAACACAGAGCAAACCCCATGACGCCGTCCTTCAACTAAACAGCCCAAAGCAGCAAACTAGAGGTTTCCATTTTTAGTTTGCAAGGGGAACAACTGAGCTTTCATGAGTTGGAATTTGCTAACGTAAATTGAGCCTTTGTAAGAGGGCTGAAATTGACCCTGGAGACGGAAAGCACAGGAAATATTTGCTGTGGTCGGTGGGAGAGGACGCTCCGCAGACAAAGCCGCCTGCTTCTCCCGTCAGGCCTGCCTCCTCTCTAGGCAAATATTGGAGGGATGACTTTTTTATTTGCAGAGAGGATTTGGCTAATTTTGTTTTATTTGTGTACCTTACATTCATGGAGCACTCTGCACAGTCTGTTGGATAATCTCTAATTATTCCTTTCCTCTTCACACCTGTGAGGCCGATGCTCAGCATATTTCAGAGGAAGCTGGCACCAGGGATGAGGGAATCTGCCCAAGCATGAGTCACCTGGAATATTAAACCAGAACCAACACACAAATGATCTGTGCAAAGAGGTCAGCAAAATAAAGGATTCACTGCAATTCATCCTTCTGTGGTCACTGCCGGGCTTTGGGCTCCCATCCCTTCCCGGCCCTCCCATTCCATATCCCTCTTCTGTATTTGCAGGCAGCACCATTGAAGTGTGTTTGACAGACAGAACTACTGTTTTGAATCAACCCTCTGAGATGTCTAAATCAGCCTGTCAGACTTTGCTCCCTCTATCACGTTTCCCAAGAAGAGGATCAGAGATAAAGAGAAATATGGAAATTTGGAGTAAAAGGTGAGTCTAGAGAACAAGAAAAAAAAAATGTGCCTTCAGAGACTACAACAAAGGAACCCAACAAAATATAGGACAATCTGGTTACTATGTTGAAGTCACAAATGTGAAGAAAATAATATACCAAAACGTTTCAGAAAAATCCAACTACTATAGCCAAGCGAATGACACATTAGTGACATAATGAACAATTAGAATTAAAACTTTTTAAAGTGTCGTAAAAATATTTCTTTATTGTTTAAAAATGAGATTTCAAAATGTTTCCAAACCTCATCAGTGAAGGACATACCTACATTTCTAACCCAGATGAGGTTTTTGAAATGTGGAATATAGAAGCAGTCCCTTTAAAAAGAAAAAGAATGCCTTTCATGCTGGATTTGTACAATTTCCATATGTTTTAGTAATCAAGAAGTACAGAATCCCTTGAAATGTGCAGAGATTCAAGGCTAGAGCCAACATAGCATTCAGAGTCTTAAATAAACATATAATGTTTGGGAAAGCAATATTCTGGATGTTAATTTTCAATCTCTAGGTATACCTGTCAGTCTTTAAGATGGAAACTTCTGCTTGTCAGAGTTTGAGGCCTCTGTGAACTTGCAGGGGGTGAGTCCTGGCTTGGCCCACTCACCGATCCCCAAACACTGGCGAGGAAGAAACTGAAACAGCTGTAACCACTCACTTAAATATACCATGGCATTCGTACAAATGATCGTCGACTTTGAACCCAAGAGCTGGGGTCCAATAGGAAGACAACTCCAAATCAGGCCTTAAAAACCTGGTTTCAGAATACACATTGCTGCCTTGCCTTTGTGGGTTTGTTTATTCGGCAATTGCATGTTAAGGAAGTGGGAGTAGAAATCACTTATTTGGACACTTATTAAGCTGGTCAAATTCTCCTAATTCTAGAATCTGAAGTACAGCATCTGTGGAAAAATACAGGGGATGAGATTATAGAGACAGAAACCAGCCTGTATAATGCTAAGACTTTCTGTCTGGGGGTGCTAGACATGTGAGCCCACCACCCTCCCCAGCTAGGTTCATTTTTTTTTTTTTTTTTTTTTTTTTTTTCTGAAAATTGCTCAGTTTCCAGCTTAGAAAAGATTGGACATAACATGGAACCTTAGATCTTTAGCCAATAACCATGTTTATAGGTGCTGAGGACCTGAGATCCTGCCTAGTTAGAAGCAGATCTCAAGCACTCACGATGGCCATCAGGGATGAGGTGGTCCAGCTTGATTCTCTTCTGGAAACCACAGACATAAATAGTATAATCTAAACACTAACATACCATGAATCATGGTTTATATTTTTAAATATTATTTGCAAAAATATAAAATTGAAGTAAATTAGTTGCCCCATTGGTGAGCAAGGCTGTCTTAGAGCAGGCACGCAAGATTTCTAAGTGGACTATTTCAGGCCATGACAACCTTGCCCTTGAACATGGTCAGAAAGCCCAGGCTGTGCTTTTCATAAATAAGATTCATGTTCTTTATTCTGGAACCTAGCACTGTGCCTGGCCCAAAGCTGGTATTCAATAGCTATTCATGCAGCTAAATTGGGGAGCTTCTTAGCTGGTCTAACTTGTTCACCGTTCATTCTGTACTTTGCTACGATGTTAATCAGCCTGATACACTACATACAAGAAGGATGTGAACCCAATCGAGCCCCAAAGCCCTTGTTTCAGGCCTTAGAACCTACTGTTCTTTCTTATGTATCCCTTCATGAATTCTACAATGGCCTTCTGAGAATCTTCTATGCACCTATAGTAGCACCTACTGTATTACTTTTTATAGTGTAATTGTGTCTCTTTTTTTTTTTTTTTTTTTTTTTGAGACAGAGTTTTGCTGTTTCTGCCCAGGCTGGAGTGCAATGGTGCGATCTCGGCTCACTGCAACTTCCGCCTCCTGGGTTTAAGCAATTCTCCTGCCTCATCCTCCTGAGTACCTGGGACTACAGGCATGCGCCATCACTCCCAGCTAATTTTGTATTTTTAGTAGAGATGGGATTTCACTATGTTGGCCAGGCTGGTTTCGAACTCCTTACCTCAGGTGGTCCGCCTGCCTCGGCCTCCCAAAGTGCTGGGATTACAGGCATGAGCCACCCCCACCGGCCCATAATTGTGTCTTAAATATCCCCCCCAAGATATATTTTTTAAAATATCTTGTTTTGCCTTCCTGACTTTCTAAGCTGCGTGCCTTGCACTTGAGGCTGTGTCTGTTTACACCAGGAGAACGCTGCTTTCTTCACCCGAATCCAGGCCGGTTCAGTGGCTGCTGGGGCCACCTGCATTTTCTGCTTATTCCCTGTCTACTTTAGATCCACAAAATGCTCCTTCACCACATGCAGTAGCACCCAAGAAAGCAGTGCCTGCTAGACTATTAAGCTGATGACTGCAACAGTGCAGGGGGCACTCATGAGGTGAGGGACAGAGCTGGGGGGCAGCGGGAACCATTTCACCCAACTCGACGGCTCCTCTCACCCACAGGTCGACCCAGATTCCTGTCTCAGTTCCTAGCCTTTCAAAGGATAGTTTTGGGGTAAAAGTAGTATTTTTATATACATATATAGTAAAAATATAAAGAAATGCCAGGAAGGACCAAGATCAAAGTCAAGATGGGTACTTTCCTCCCATCATCTGTGACAACATGGATGAACCTTGAAGACATTGTGCTGAGCGAAGCAAACCAGGCACACGTAGACAGGCACCACATGATCTCACATGGGCGAGCTGAAAGGGTTAAACTTATAGCCGTAGAGATAGAATGGTGGCTCCCAGGGCCTGGGGGCTTGGGAGATGTAGGTCAAAAGATACAAAGTTTCAGTTAGACAGGAGGCACGAGTTCAAGAGCTGGGTTGTACAACATGGAGACTACGGTTAATAACAATGTATTATATACTTGAAAATTGCCAAGCGAGTATCTACTTGCTTTTGTGATGTGTTCTCATCACAAAACAGTGAGCTAATTCATATGTTAATTAGCTGGATGTAGCCATTCCCCAATGTATACAGATTTCAAAACTCATGTTGTACACCATAAGTATCTACAATACTTATTTGTCCGTTTAGATATTAATTAATTAATGAACTAAAGGAAACAACTCGGGGAAATAAGCAGAACCAAGGCCTTCATCTTGTTTTGGAACAGCACATGCACTGTGTAAATTGAAGAATATGCAAAAACAGGCTGGGAGCAGTGGCTCACGCCTGTAATCCCAGCACTTTGGGAGGCCGAGACGGGTGGATCTTTTGAGGTCAGGAGTTCAAGACCAGCCTGGCCAACATGGCGAAACCCCATCTCTACTAAAAATACAAAAAATACCCAGGCGGTAGTGGCATGTGCCTGTAATCCCAGATACTTGAGAGGCCGAGGTAGGAGAATCGCTTGATCCCGGGAGGCGGAGGTTGCGGTGAGCCGAAATCGCACCACTGCACTCCAGTCTGGGCAACAGAGTGAGACCTGTCTGAAAAGGAAAAATAAATAAATAAATAAATAAATAAGAATATGCAAAAACATATTAATTTGATATTTAAATAAATAAATAATATTTTAAAAAGAAAAAGACGGGTGCTTTCCTGGAGAGAGAGAGAGAAGAGAGGAAGACATATGATCTAACGGGTTGGCAATGATTCAATTTTTAAATTATTGGTAGGTACACACGCATGTGCTGTATTACTCTTTGTAATTACAAATATGTAATGTATCTCATATTTGTGCCTTAAATATACACCCAAGCTGTATTTTTTAAAAGACCTTATTTTACCTTCCGGACTTTCTAGACTGCGTGTCCTGCACTTGTGGCTGTGTCTGTTTGCACCAGGAGGACGCTGCTTTCTTTGCCCGAATCCAGGCCGGCTCAGCGGCTGCTGGGGTCACCTGCATTTTCTGCTTATGCCCTGTCTACTTTGGATCCACAAAATACTCCTTCACCACATGCAGAGAAACAACAGCTCCAGTACCTTCCACTTCCGTCTGACCTTGTCTAGGAATATTTTCTTACAGCCCTGCACCTTGTTTCTTAAAGGGCCCATGCACTTTAACCATTTATGTTCCCAAACCTCACGAAACACTTTTTAGAAAACTTGTGCCTGGGTCAGGCTTCCTACTGAAAAGCCTTCTCCTGTTCAGACAGAAATCTGCTCTGTACTGTGTCTTATTTTTGTTTCGTGTCTGTTTTTGGTGATGGGGAGGATGATAGTTAATCTGCCTTTACGTGGAAGTCCTCCAATTCTTGATTACTATCCAGACTATTTTCATCTCTGTACCTTTCTTGAGGTGTAGCAAAACTCCTACTTGGCATCCACAATGATCAAAGAGAAACGTGCAGGGAGGTTAGGCCTTACTGCTCCATCTCCAGCAATTCCTTATCCTTTGCAGCTTTAGTGTCACATGAGGCTGATAACTTTAGGGGCTGGTCTATAAGGTTTTTTATTTTTCCTCTTAACCCATCAGGAAGAGCAGCTACAACTCGAGCAGACATTGAGATCTCATTTCGATTGTTTTTCTTTGCACAGAATACTTTCACCACCTTGGACATTGTCTCCTGCCTTTCTGGACATCCACACAGCCCTGTGATATGCCTTGGAGCTGAGTTTTACCTCTTTGTGTGATATTTCTTTCCTGGGAAAGGCTCACACCACCTTGGAGCTTTGCAATTTCGGCTTGTAGGTCCTCACTTATAAATCCATTCACTCCCAGAGTCTACATTGAAATGATTTCTTTTGCTGTGTCTCCACTGCTGGCTGTAGCCCCTTGAAGGAGGGAGCTGGCTTTACCATGCCTGGCCTTGCATAAAGTGCAACCTGATGCTTAATACATACTGACTAGGTAAGCACAACCACTTCCAGAGCTAATTCCAGCCTTTTCTCCTGCTCCCTGATAACTCTACCTTCATACCAGGACAGCATTCTCAGAAATCATTTTAACCACGAAGACTTTTGTTCAAATGAAACAGAATAAGTATAAACTAGAAAAAGTGCAAATATATAGACAACTGTTATTTTTTCTAAGTAATCACCCAAACCCTCACCTCATCTATTAACCAAAAACTCCAGTGTGTTTCATATGAAGCCTCCCTTCCGAAAGAAAATAATCACAAACAACAACAACAACAACAACAACAACAACATATCTTCTAGGACCCCAGGGGTGACTGCCCAGAGTCTCAGCCTGGCTACCTGCTGGGCCCCTGCATGGCTGCTGCAGCTGGACTTTGGAGAGCACAGTGGACCTTCCCCACTGCTGCCAGGAGCCTTCCCAGGGATGAATTCCTCCTCTGACGAACAAGGATTTTGAGACAAGAGAGATCCCCTTGGCCAAGGATGCCCCAACCAGGGCTCACAAGGCCGCTGTTCTGAGTGTTCCACTTGGTTCCCAACCCCAGCTGGCCCCAACAGGTACCATGGAGCCTCCCAACCACCATCCTTCCCTCCCTGGGCTCCACCCCAACCTCAGGCAGCTTTTCCTTTTACACCTACAAAACACAAAGAGCCTAGCTGCCCTCATCCCCTTCCTTAGACCACGGCACTCCCCTCCCACCCTCCCAAGGGTAGCCCCTCTTTGTCTCTCTTCTGGGTGAGATTGCCTTCCTGAATCCGTGGTGACCGAGGAAAGGAAACATCTCACAAGCTGTTCACAAGGCCACCTCAGTGCCCCAGAAAGCCTGACAAGCACAGATAAATTAAAGCCATCCTTCTGGGGGTAACAGAGGGGACTCCTGTCCTGCCCTGGTCCCAGGGCTTCCCAGAGCAGTCTGTGAATCACTGCCTATGTGGCGCTTATGCTTCCTGAGCCATTGACTCCTCCATCCCAAGGGTCTTTGGAGACTCCATCTCATCCTCAGGTACCAGTCTTTGGAGTTCTTTCTTGCCACAGGCAAGAGAATTTGGGGTCATTTGATTTGCTCAGATGGTGCCATGGTAAAGAGGACAACTCCAGGCAGCTTCATGTCTCCTCTGCTGACGGGCAGATTGTGTCCTGGCAGGAGATCATCTGCTGTGTTTGCTACCCAGGAGGCTCCCACACTTCACCATCAGAACAGCGCCCCTGGCTTAGGATTCTTGGCACCCTAGGGGTCAGCCCTTTTGTGTCTGTTTTTGCTCCTCTACGGTAATCTTTTCATGCAGCCTCGAGTTAACAGCACTTGTTTCCTTACCTGTCTCCATCCCAAGGCGGTGGACCTCTTTGAGGACTGGAGCATTTTCCTCACTAGTTCATTCAATAAGCATTGGTTTCTGTATGCCAGACACCCGCCGTTCTGGGTCCTGAATCTCGTCTTTGGATACCTAGAGCATTACACATTGAGACCTCGGTCCTGCCAAAAGCCAAAATAGTCTAATAAGGCCCACTGCATGGGGTAGTTGTCAGGGCTGACTTAATACAAAAGAGGGATTTAGAATAGCACCTGTGTTGACACTGCCCATGAGTCAGCAGTCACAATGAGCACAGTGTGGATGACGTATGGAAAGAAAGGGACGGCTCATGTAGAGGGTGCTGTGGTGCTGCACCCAGGCCCCTCGGATGGGGCACTGCATTTTCCTGGAGCTGGGGTTGCAGTGGTATGGGAGATTGGCTGCTGGCTGCTCACAGCTACATTCTCTTCTAGGAACTGACCTTGGCCAAAGGAATCTGCCTTGCCCAAGGTCATGCCTCCTTCCTGGGAACAGTTGGTACCCTGAGAACGGTCAGTGCCAGTGTGCAAAATCCAGGCCCCTTCATTCAGGATGTCTCTAAAGGGCATCCTGGCCCAGCACTCCCTGTGGGATGGGCTGAGGCCTCTGCTGCAGCCACGTTGCAGCTCAACTTCTCCCTCCGCTGAATGCCACCTTCATTTCCCACAGCACTGTTCCCCAGTGCACTCCCCCAGACCTCCTCAAGAGACTCAGGGACTATTTCCAAGGACCCTGACCTATGACAATGACTCAGTGTACACACCCTATACCCAAGCCCCATCGTGGTCATTGCCACATCCTCCACAACCCAAGAAATTAGACAAAACAGGTAAAATTCGACTTCTCTCTGGCCAACAAGACCACGTTAAAATAAAACACACTTGAATTGAATTTGGAGTTATTTGAAATTAGAGCTAGCTAAAGGTATCTGGACTGAGATGGTTAGAGAGGGCAGGTTGAAGACAGATGTTTTCTCTCCTCTCCTTCTAGAAACCCCAATAAAATAACAGGGAAGGAACACACAATATGTAAACAGGCAATCAATGAGAAGAATCACTAGCAGAAAAGATCTTTCAACAAAACCCTTGGAGAAGGAAAGCAGAGATGGTGAGGCATGAAAGCTGCAGGACGGCCTGTTTGCCAAAGGTCTGGGGGCGATGGGGGCCCGTGAACCCTGAAGACTCTAGAGGGAGGTTGGGGCAGGGACTGCAGACAGACAGAGTGACAGGTATGATGGGTCTGTTGGAAACTTTTTCTTTACAGGTTTTCCAGACCTATTTAACTTTTAAAGCCATTTGCTTGTACTCCACAGCTTAATAACAATTGAAAAGCATTTTAAATAGGAAAAGATAATTTTGAAGAGAATCAAATAAAGTCTCAAACAAAAGCCATAGGAAAGAATTGCAGTGAAGGGGGGTGAGGTAAGAGTTTTCTGGACCTTTGATCTTTCTCTCACCTCCTGTGGGGATTCCTAGACAGCTCTGTGGAGACCCCAGGGATAAAAGTTTGAAAACCACAGTGCAAAGCAAAGGACTAGAGAATTCATCTTCTTGGAAGCAGCTGTGTCCCCTTTGGAAAGCGTGGGTTATATTCCCCAGCACTCGGTTGGGCGTTGTACATGGAATTAGCTGGACTGTCATTTCAGTGGCTCTCAAATCTCTTTCTTATCAGAAACCAGAGGCATTAGGGCTTCAATGAAACAGAAAGGGACATCCTAAAACAGCTTATGGACGTGGAGAGCCCTGAGAGCCTTGTGGGGTTTGTCACATTCATGAGCATTCTTCAGCACCGGGGAAAGGGGTCTAGATGACTTAGGAAGGCAAAGGCCCTGGGAATGCTTCAGAAGGGGGGCTCTTGGCAGGGTTCTCATTCTAGGCCTCCCACCACCTGTGCGGGGCTGCCACAGAGAAGGTGCAGGTAGAAGTATAATGCGGAAGGAAGACATTTTAAAGAAGAGGTCTCAATGGTGATAAGGGGCAGAAGTGAGTTAGTGTGCACCAAAGTATGAATGATCTGGAATGATTTGGAACATACTCTGTCCAGGCAATTGAGGAGCTGCGAGAATGTCTGTGTTTCACCCAGGAGAGCCTGTGGGAAAGCAGGTGGCACTCCCATCTAGGGTGCCGTCGCCTGCATCCAGGCCGGGGTGCAGAGAGGTTGCTTGAGTGGAAAAGTGAGAGTAGAGACGCTGTAAGATTAAGGGAGCAGAGAAGTCCATTCCCTTAGTTAATGGCATTCCAAGCAACCATCATGCACGGCTTTCTCATAGCATTGTTCTAAAGACACTATAAAGGTTTGGCGAAACAGGCTAAAAATGGCCATTTATGGTCAGGAGAAATCAAGGCTCCAGGCTCCAGTGGTGGTGACCGTCCAGGTTCTGCTGATAGTTCGTGCCTCCCTGCCTCTGTCTTATACTGGGCTTTCACACTGTGGATTTCATTCAGGCTTCATGCACCCAGCGAGGTCGGCCCAGCAGGTGGGCTCGTGTTGCAGGGATGCAGGCAGAGATTCCGGGACCTGGAGGGCTTTGCTAGTCAATGGCAGCAGCAGATGTTGAAGCCAAGGTCTCTTCTGCTGCTGCCAGGTCCCAGTGCCACATTCTCCAGTAGGGAACACACCTCAGGCCTGGGGGGGTGCATCCCTACCCACCACCCCCAAGTTGCCAATGATGCACGTGCTTACCTGGCCTTATGCAGTCCTTCCGCCACAAGCTGCCTGTCTTCCACCTGCTTAATCTCCACCTCCTGCCACAAGCTCTGCCCCCAGCCCGGGCTCCCACTTCCCCCTATTTTTCGATTGTCTACCTCTTTGCCTGACCCCAGCACTGACCTTATCAAAACTTACCTATTCTCTGTCCTTTTCTTTTCATTACTGTTTCCAAAGGTCTCAGCCAGGTCATAGGATGAACTAAAATGTGTGAAACCCCTCCAGGAAAGATGTATTTGTTCTGACTGTATTTTATGTGGACGATGGCTTAGCCCAGGGCAAAAGCCTCATAGTGGCAGAAGACACTTGAGCAATGAGATGTTCCCTGTGCTTCCTTGGTTTGTTTCCTCAGGAATGTTCAGAGATAGCTTCCTGGAGGGTTACTCTTATGTGTCTGTCTATGGTTTGGAGCTTGCTGAAACCTAGGTTTATCCTGAAAACTGCAGAGAGCTAGCTGTGGTGAACATTCTTGTTTAAGTCCTGGAACAATTTGTTCTACTACATGGTTACCAGCATCTTCGTGGCTTTTTTTTTTTTTTTTTTTTGGATGGGGGGTTGCGGGGGAGCAGGTCTGATTTGAGTTACTGGCAGAGTTGTTAGAGGTCAGGATACATGGATGGTTCCTTCAGCCTCTGCACTCCCATTCATCCTCATCCAGCTGTCAGATCCCCATAATTTCCACATTGTCTTCCTAGATGCTCAGCATTTCATTAAAGTAGCCAATCACAGCATGCTCCATCTTCCTCAGGAGCTGGAGCATGAACGCATTAAAAGCCATCACTCTGAATATTCCACGCTACAGACTTTGTGTAATAAATACAGTGTGGAATGCAGGTGGGAATTTCCTGACTGTGTGCTGGCATACTCCGTGGTCTCGCTGTCCCTGCGCACACTTTCCCAGGCCTGGTCCCTCCATTTCTTGAAGTAAAGCACAGCCCTTTGCTCCATCGTCAGGGGCAGCAGCTGGGTCTTCCCCTCAGTGAGGCATACCTTAATCTGCAGACATCAAGAGGCGTACAGAACCCCAGTGCTGGGAAGACCTTGGATCTGTGCTCAAGATCACACAGTCGAAACGGAGACATGGAGAAGATCCCAGTTCTGGTGTGTCAGAGGACTTCTCCGGCTCCTGGAAACCCATGGTTGTCAGGACCCATCACTGGAAATCTTTTTAAAAAATTAATTCACTTGTGATTCAAGTTCCTAATATTCTCCATTTGACTGTGTTCTGGGTCAGTGGTTCTCAGCCTTGACTGCCTACTAGAATTACCTGGCGTTCTTTTTAAAACTCTGAATGTCTTAGCCCCATTTCAGCACCAGCTGGGAACTTGTGGAAATGCAGACTCTCAGGCCCTACCTTAGAACTCCTGAATCAGAGGCTCTGATAGGGTCCAACAATCTGTGTTTTCACAAGCCCTCCAGATGATTCTAACACCCACTCAGGTTTCAGAACCTACCCCCACCTCAGAACAATCGATTCAGAGTATCTGGGGTGGGGAGTTAAAAGCTCCCCAGCTGATCCTCAAGTTCAGTGAAGGCTGAGCTGGGGATAACCCTGCCTGGAAAGAAGGAGCTACTGGAAGTCAGAGAAAGGGGAATCATCAGGTGTGAGAGATGGGAAAGGGAGAAATGGGAGGAAGCAGAGGAAATCAGTAAGTTGTTTTAAAAACTACTTGGGATTTTGTTTCAATCACATATAGTAAAACATGACAGACATGGAGGAAACGTCCTTGAAAGAAGAGTTTATTACAGTTCCCTAGAGCAGGGGGCAGGGCATACCATGGGGTCACAGGAGGAAGCACTGGAGTCAGGGAGCAGAAGGGGTAAGGAGAAGCAAGGGGCAGAATCTTTCTTGTGGTTTTCATGGGAAGGAATGGATAAGGCAGGGTAGGTATGCCAAGCAAGCTTAGAATTGCAGGTCTGAACAATTTCAGCACACCCTGAGCCATAGGGATAGGCTCTAGGTGTCTGGTATCTGACCATGGGGTGATCTGGGGGAAGGGGGGAATATGGGCTCTGGATTGGTTGATTTGCACACCAAAGTTATGCTGGGCGCAAGTTGGTTGTTGTTGCTGGGAATTAGCTAACCCTGAGAGGGATAGTTCTTCCAAGCTCCACAAAGCCCCAAGATATAAGAGTATAAAACATAAAATTAAAAAAAAAAACATGATTAATACAGAATTTAAGTCACTCAGATCCAGGTTTGCCTCTCAGTCCTGCTACTTACCAGCCATTCAAACTTGACTTCTTCCTCTCTAAAATGGGGATAATAGCACCTACATAATTTCTACATAGGGTTTATAGAAATTATACGAGATGATGGACCACAATGTCTGGCTCAACTGACAAATGTTTAATAGATGTGATGATAATAAAAATGCACAACAGAACACTGGACTTGGAACCTGAAATAAGAAGCCATGAGTCAAATACAGCTTACACTTTGGAGCTTAAGAAAATCATAGCCGGGCATGGTGTCTCATGCCTATAATCCCAGCACTTTGGGAGGCTGAGGCAGACAGATCACTTGAGGTCAGGAGCTCGAGACCAGCATGGCCAACATGGTGAAACCCAGTCTCTACTAAAAATACAAAAATTAGCTGGGCATGGTGGCGTGTGCCTGTAATCCCTGCTACTTGGGAGGCTGAGACAGGAGAATCACTTGAACCTGGGAGGCACAGTTTGCAATGAACCAAGATTGCGCCACTGCACTCCAGCCTGGGCGACAGAATGGGACTCTTTCTCAGCTAAAGAAAAAAAGAAAATCTTGGCCTGGCATGGTGGCTCATGCCTGTAATCCCAGCACTTTGGGAGGCTCTGGTGGGTGGATCACCTGAGGTCAGGAGTTTGAGACCAGCCTGGCCAACATGATGAAACCCTGTCACTACTAAATATACAAAAATTAGCAGGGCGTGATGGAACATTCCTGTAATCGTAGCTACTCAGGAGGCTGAGACAGGGATTGTTGCTTGAACCCAAGAGGCAGAGGTTGCAGTGAGCCAAGATCAAGCCACTACACTCCAGCCTGGGTGACAGAATGAGACTCTGTCTCAAAAAACAAAAAACAAAGAAAGAAAGAAAGAAAAAAGAAAGAAAGAAAAAGAAAGAAAGAAAGAAAAAATCCATAGAGCAACTGACAAACAAGTGGCAGACAAGAAGTGGTGGACGAATGGACATGGAGAGCAGGCTACTCTGAGAGAGAAGGTACATTCATAACAGTGAAAGTCACACCTGAGGCCTCATCAGGGAATGGGGAGAAAGAGATCTTAGGGTGGGGGAGGTCAACAGTGCCCGAGAGGTGATAGTTGAATCATAGGGCTTATAATAAGAGATGCAAAACAGTGGCGTTTCAGGAAGGTCAAGACAAAAGTCCCTAGAGAAATCAAGGAGAGCCACATCTTCATCCAAGCAGGTCATATCACTTTGTTCTCTGAGCACCTTTGGAAGAAGACAAAGATGATCCTTTCCTCCTTCTTCTCAACCCACCTGGCTGATCTGTTCAAGTTGGAGACCATCTTTTGGGTCTCTGTATTTATAGGACCAACATGATCCTTAACCCAGTAAATAATTTTTTAATGTAATGAGACTGAAACTTGGGGATAATTTAGGCATCATTCTGTTTAGAGAAGTGCTTTAACTTTGAGGGTGATATTGGAGAAAGCTTTTATCCTCTTTCATTTTTAGGCTGTGTGCATGTGTGTGTGTGTGTGCAATAGAAGCCATGGGGTGAAATACATGAGGCAGAAGGCACTGAGCCCGTCCTTCCTGAAAGACAGTCCAGCAGAGCCTGCAGCCCAAGTTCTGGAACTAGTGTGCTATCTAATTGACCATGTGACCCGTTGCATGTTCCCTATTCCATCTTTATGTTGGTATCTTCTTTAAAAACAATTTTGGAATAGATACACTAAACTTATACTTCTTGGGCTTGGTGATTGAGCACTGAAATTTTCTGGGGCCATAGCTATCTTTTAAAAATATTATTATTGAACAGATGTTATGAATTTCATTTTGGAGGAGTGTATTCATCCCTATGGCTACTATAATAAATTACCACAAATGTAGTGGCTTAGAACAACACAAATTTACCATCCTATAGTTCTGGGGGTCGGAAGTCTGATATGAGTTTCAGCTGGCTACAATCCAGGTCTTGGCTGTTCCTTCTGGAGGCTCTAGGGGAGAATCTGTTTCCCCTCCTTTTCCAGCTTCTAGAGGTTGCCTGCATTCCTTGGCTCATGGTCCCTTCCTGCATCTTCAAAGCCAGCAACACCTGGCTGAGCCCTCCTCCTGCTGCCACCTCTCTGGCTCTGTACTTCCCTCATCACATCTCTCTCTAACCCCCCTGCCTCCTTCTTGTCCCTTATAAAGATTCTTGTGATATTTTGGGCCCAAGCAGGATTATCTCCAGTGTCGTTAACGTAATTATATCTGCAAAGTCCCGTATGCCATGTAAGGAACATACTCACAGGTTTTGGGAATCAGAATGTGGACATTTGTGGGGGTGGGAGTAAAGAGGGCATGATTCTGCCTACCCACCATGAGAAAGAGATGAACACACACACAGGCACAGGCTTGTGGGGGGAGCCTGGACTTTTCTCAAGATATGCAGAGAGATGCAAAGACAGCGTCTGCAGGATTCCTGCCTGATGGAATGTGGGTGCAGTTGCTTTCTTACTGGCAGCTGGCTCTGGTTCCTCACTAGGTGGATGGTTAGGGGAAGGAAAACACAAGAGCAGTCACTGAGATGGAAATGTGGTCATTTGGGTTTATGTGCTTCTGTGAGCAGAGGAGGAGAAGTTTCTCTGAGTTTGGACAATCTTCCATCTCTCTTATTAATCTGTGAAAGTCAAGAAAAGTCATTAGCTCAAGAATGCTCCTCATCCAATGCTCAACCTGTATATCCAGTCAAAAGATCATAGATCGAAAGCACTGGAACCTCCTCCAAAATGGTGGCCCCAGCCCCACAGCCTTATTTGGGAAAACTGAGGCTGAGAGAGGTGCCATAAACTACCCAGAGCTGGAAATGCCTGCCTTGAGTGGGCTTAAGCTGGAATGGAAAGCTTACAGAATTTAAGACTAGTGGATGGAGACTTTTGTAGAGAGAGACACAGTAGAAGTAACTGTTTTAGTTAGAAACATCTAGGCAGAATGAGAAGAAATAAAATCCCATTTTCAGGTCATTAGTTTTTTGTTTTATTGCAATGTGCTGTGTGTTCCAGGAAGATGGTGTCAGCAGGCCATCTGTAGGGCATGCAGGTGATCTTCCTGAGAGAGTGCTGGACGTGCCAGTGCAACCTTGTTTAACCCTCCTCGTTCCCAAAGGACCCTGCCTAAGAGACCACAGGCCACGGTTACACACACTCCACGCGGTGCCAAGTGAGCCACTGACAGAAGGAGAAAGAAACCACCCAGTGATGTCTGCCAAGCTCAGACACTTCCCCTCCAGCGCAGCGTCCTCTCCCCCGAGACTGTGCTCCCAAACCACTACTGTTCAACAAGCTTTCCCTTGAGTTAAACGTTACCTAAACGTTAAGCACAGTTAATGTTTATGACCTCCGAGTTGGAAAAATTAGAACTGACTACTACTATCTGTTGAAGGAGGTGGGCACTCAGTCACTGGGGATGGGGAAGAAGTGCTGAAATCTGGAAAATGGAAGTCCGGGAAACTCATTTCCTGAAGGTCTTGTATCTGCGAGGCACCGTGCTTTGCACATTCATTGAGTCTTTTCAACAACCTTATATTCCCAGGTATTGTTATCTCATGCAGAGAAGACTGAGGCTCACGGGATGGGGGCCAGCACTCACTCCTGGCCAGCCTATGTGGGGAGTGAAGTTGGGATGTAAGTCTGCTCAGACAGCACCTGTAATTCCTAAGTCCAAAATATTCCTCAGGTCTCGCTCTGGGACTGGGCACTGAAGGCAGCTGAGCAGAGGTTCACGGGCTCATGGCCTAATAGCTGTCACAGAACAGGCCTGCTTGTTTTGGAACTCTGAAAAGTCTCTTTTGTAGAAAATGCAAAATGAACCCGATTCGCATACACACAGTGTGTGGTGTAAGTAAGCCCCTTCTGCTATTTGAATGTTATTCAAATAAAGGATTACAAATCATCTCGCAGCTTACATTACCATTTCCAAATGCAAAAACAAAAAAGGATCCAGTGTTTAGAACAGGGGATTTGCTACTGGCCCATGAAAAACAAAGACATTGTTTTCATTTTGAAATAATAGAAACTCAGGTGTGGAATGCACTGAAGAGAACATTCTAGACTAATCCCTTCTCTTTCCCCAACCTCCTACCTACACAAAAGCACAAATCCCTTCCAAAACATCTCTGACAAGTGACCTCAAACTCCTTCAGTGGTGAGAATAGCCCTCTCCTGGGCAGCCACCTCCGTTTGGTGTGATGGTGGATAAGCCCACAATTCATATTTTAACAATGTAGAAAGAAGCAAAGCTGGTGGGTTTGATCCTCTCTTTCCTCTTCTCTGCCTACCCCACGGGAAAGGAGACCTGTATTATTTTCCTGTTGCTGCTGTAACAAATTAATGCAAACTTACAGCATTAAATCTACACAAATGTACTTTCTTACAGTTCTGGAGGTCAAAAGTCTGAAATGGGTCTAATGAGGCTAAAATCAAAGCATCAACAGAGCCGTGTTCCCTCTGGAGGCTCTCGGGAAGAGTATTTTCTCGCTTTTCCAGCTTCTAGAGACCACCTGCTTTTCTTGGCTCATGGTACCTTCCTCTGTCTTCAAAGCTGGCAGCACAGCATCTTCAAACCCCTCTGACTCTCAGCCCTCCCTATTTCATTATAAAGACCCTTGGGATCACATTGAGTCCTCTCAGATAATCCAAGATAATCTCTCCATTTCAAAATCCTTAACTACATCTGCAAAGTCCCTTTTGCCATATAAAGTTACATATTCACAGTTTCCAGATATTAGGACACGGATGTCTTTGGGAGCCATTAAACCTCTTTTCTTTATAAATTACCTCGTCTTGGTTTTAAAGGCAAGTTGATGCAACACCAGGTGGAACCCTCCTAGGAGCTGAGGAAATACAGGGCAGGCTTGCAGTGGTAGAGGAAGAAGTAGATGCGACACCCCAGTATCCTGGGAAGAGCCAGGAGATGCTGGATGTTCCACGATGCTGGTAGAAAGGAACCCGTAGGCTGAGGACTCTCAATCTAATCCCAAAGAGTCCTATTCCAAACTTGGCACAGAAGCAATACAGACTCCCTTCAAGGGATGCCAGAACTTAGACAATGAAGATATCAACAGGGCTCAACGTAGGCTGGAGAACAGGGAACTCTGCCAGAAAAAGCTCCAGGGCTTTTGCATGGCTCAGATGGTGATGAGGGAGCCCCATTGATGGCTGGAGTGGTTCTTCTCTGCATCCTAGCAACTGAGACTTGGGCACTGAGCATAGTGTTAGTATGATTCAGAAAGATTAAATAATGCAACATTTCTTTACCTGAGTGTAGAAATCCCTGATCTACAATTGTGCTTCATTAATGGTTCTACACTGTTAGAATTGCAGCTAAGAATCAGCCTCAGTGTTTTCTTCCAATGACAGCAGCAGAGGGGCAATTCAAGACCCACCTCCAACCCCACCTTCTCTAAATGTCTTCCCTACAACTCTAGCTACAGCAACACCTCCCTCCTCCCCTAGCATTTACTGACTCTCCTAGTATTTGGCATTTGGCTCACATGCCCTTGTGCTGTACTTCTATTGTGTGAGGACACACTCAATATCCTGCCTTCTCAATCTAACTGTAGACATTGAGAAGGGCAAGTGTACACGTTGTGCATCCCTGAGTCCCCTTTCAGTGCCTGTACTACCACTAGCATGGTAGATCCTAGAAAAAATGTTTATTCACAATGAAGATTCCAAGGAAGCCCAAGAGGATCACATCTGGAAAGTACAAACCTGTGCAATGGAAACAAGAGCACATGGAGTGATTTAGGATTTGTGGCTTTGGGCTTTGTGACGTTTGGTGTATAGTTTTTCCATTGGCTTAGATTCCCATATGCATTAGGTCATTCTTGCATGACTATAGAGAAATACCGAAGACTGGGTAATTTAAAAAGGAAAGAGGTTTAATTGGCTCACGGTTTTACAGGTTATACAGGAAGCATGGAGCCAACATCTACTTGGCTTCTGGGGAGGCCTCAGGGAGCTTGCAATCATTGGGGAAGGCAAAGGATCACATGACAAGAGCAGGAGCGAGAGGGAGTGAAAGGGAAGACCCTAGACTTTTAAACAACTGGATCTCACATGAGCTAACTGAGCAAGAACTCTTCACCAAGGGGATGGCGCCAAGCCATTGATGAAGGATCTGCCCCCATGATCCAGTACCTCCCACCAGACCCCACCTCCAATATTGGGTACACATTTCAACATGAGATTTGGAGGTGACAGACATCCAAACCATAATACCCACTACGCTCCATTCTCCATTTAACTCTTGGCCTGGATTACACAGTATGATCCCTCCTTCAAACCATCCCTTTCCCTTCTCCTCCACTCCCTGCTTCCAGTCACACAGAACTCCCTCATCTCTGACAATCCCAGCACCTTCTCACAACCCCACACCTTTTCCTACACCCTCTCTGGAAAACTCCTATGGACCATTCATGCAAGCCCCTCTTCCTGGGGAAGTCTGCAGCCCTTCCCCAGGTGGTCATCTCTCCTGACTCAGTAATCAGTCCTGCCCCAGTGCTTCTCAGACCTTAGAGCATGCAAATCCCCCAGGAGATCATCTTAAAATACAGAGCCTGATCCAGGCAGTCTGGGGCTGTGGGGATTCTGCCTTTGTAACAAGCTCGATGATGCTACTGGTTCAAGGCAAGCTCTGAGTCTACAAAATAAACAATGACTTAGTGCATTTTACTATCATTTGTTTGTATGTAAACTTCTACCAGAACAGATCCCCAAGGCAGAAACTTGGGTTTCCTGATTCATTCAACCAATATTTGTGAATGGAGGAGTGAATCTCTGGGTCTCCAATGTTTCGCTCAGTGCCTGAAACACAGCAGGTGTTCATTAGGTGTTTATTAAGTGGAGAATAGATGGACTCTGTAGAATTTTAGGAACAGCTGCCTTTAAAATAATTGGGTTAATTAATTCCATCATCACTTTTCAAATAAAAATATTTGGGAGTACACTTGCATGCTAGACTATCAACCCAGCTTTCCATTTCAACAAGAATAAAAATAAGACCAACTATTTAACTAAAGAAACAGGATATGTGGGGTTTTGCTATTCATTTTAATGAGAAGCAATAACAGAGGCCCTGCTTTCCTCTGCTGGAGTTAGGGCATTAGGAAAGATGACGATGGGACCCTTGCTTTCCAGAATCTTCTGTTCTCCACCAGCTGCTGCCTAATGCCCTTAGTGCCTCTGATAGCAACCTGAGGTCTGGCTCTCTGTGGCTGTTGAGGTTTAACTGTCAACAAATGAAGCTATAGGTGGTCTGATTGATTTGCATATTTCTATATCCTTTTCCACCAACAAGTATGTTATAGTTAAAAAAAAAAAAAAACAAATGCCAAGCATACACACTAAAAAGGGATGGAAATTTCCCACAATTTCATTTTGATAAAAGAAAAACTTCAGCTGAATTAAATGTAAAGAAGTTTAATTGAGCAATGAACGATTTGTGAATCGGGTAGCCCCCAGAATCACAGCAGATTCACAGACTCCAGCGCAGCCACGTGGTGGAAGAAGATTTATAGACAAAAAAAAGGCAAATAACATACAGAAATCGGAAGTGAGATATACAAGGACTGGATTGGTTAAAAGTTGGTGTTTGCCTGATTTGAACACAGTTTGAACACTCAGCAGTGTGTGAATGGTTGAAGTACGGCCGCTGGGATTGGCCAAGACTCAGCCGTTGTTACAGGCACATACTCCTAAGGTAGGTTTTCAATCTTGTCTACCTATTAAGCTACCTTGCAGTTTGTCCACAAGGACTCAAATATACAAGTACGGAGTCCTTCTTAGGCAATATTTAGTTCTCTTTAACAATTTGAAGACCACATTCTCTGGCCCTAAAATGTGTGGATAATAGGATCCTGCTTTTCTCACTTAGCTCCTCCCCAGTCCGTGAACAGAAAGTGCTACAGTTGGGAAGAAGGAGTGAAAATGAGACGCACTGGCTGAGGAATAAGTACAGCCCCCCTTCTCCCCACCCTTAGGATGCGCGTTAGTCCAGGTGCTTTGGTCAAAATCAGTAGAAACAATCTGGCCAACTTGAGCAGAAAAAGAATCGAATGGAAGACGGGAGGCAGCTGATAATCTGGGAGGAAGCTGAAAGGATGAGACTCAGAGCAGACGCTGGGATCTAGGGTGTGGGAACCAAAGGGCTGTCTCCTCCAGAGGCCGCTGCCTGGACGAATCACCCTCCACCATGCTTCATCCTGGCATCACTCAGCTCAAGACCCACATTCCCTGGCAGGACATTCTGACTGGTGCAGCTTGGGTCACAGGTCCGTCCCTGGAACAAAAGTGAGCAAAGTCCTTGACTAAAATGCCATCAAGCACACCCAATGCAGGGTAGGAGTTTCTCAAGAAGAACTGAGCAATACTGTCAGAAAAAAAGAGGCAGGGAGGCTGAAGCAACAATCGTCTCCCACCACGCACAGCGCTCGACGTCACTCCTAGTGCCTAGAAAGAGGCAATGCTGAAGTAGGGCACTTACAATACAGTCAGTCCTCATTATTCACGAGTTCCGTATTTGTGAGTTTGCCTGCTCAAGTTTGCTTGCTCACCAAAATGCATTTGCAACTCCAAAATCAATACTGTGGGTGCTTTTGAGGTCATTCACAGACATGGGCAGGGTGGTGAAAAATTCGAGTTGCCTGCCACTTACCCAGCTGCAGTGGTACAAGGTAGCACTCTGCCTTCTTGCTTCAGCTCCTCTGCTGTAAAGGAAGTGTCCTTTTCACCGTCTATTTCATACCACTCAATGTTTGTGATTTTGGTAGAGATTTCACTGTGGCCCCCAAGTGTAGTGCTGAAGTGCTTACTTGAGTCTAAGTCCAAGAAGGCTGTGATGTGCCTTACAGAGAATACTCATATGTGTATTAGAGAAGCCTCATTACAGAATGAGTTATGGTGCCGTTGACTGTGAGTTCCATGTTAATGAATCAATGATATGTATTCGATTAGGTGTCTTTAAACAGAAACACACATAAAGCAATGTTATGTATTGGTCTGTTTATGAAAATGTGACCAGAAGCTTGAAGGAACCTAACCCTGTATTTCTCCTGGGAGGAATAGATCAGTATTCATTAATTCAATGTTCAAGTAGCTTTATGGAATATAAGTGCTATGAATAATGAAAATTGACTGTATATATGTTTAGATTCTTGGTCTTTGGTTTTTCGCTTTCTATGCTATGTTTTCCTCAGATTTATAGTTATTTCATTTTACTTCAAACCAGCTCCGTCTCACAATTCTTGCACATTTATGAATTTATTGGCATTTAATTAAATGCCATGTCAACATCTTGAGGCTTCTCACCCTAGGGTAGGGAGAAGAAGAGTTGATTGGGGAGACAGGCATAGTCTTCCTCAGAGTGAGTGTCTTCCTATCAGGTTTAAAAGATGACAATCTTTTTCCCATTTAAGGAAAGCAATCAGCTCAGCTCACACAAATGCTGCATTTCCCTTGCAAATGAGCTTCATTACCAGCTTGTTTTATGCTTTTCCTCTTAGCTAGAGTGAGCTTCTTTCTTATGGCTCTGTGTCATAGTAGAAAATGGTCTCAGCCCTGAATTATGTTCCCATCTATAGCCACATTTAATTATGGGTTTTGCCAGGAGAATGTGCTCTGAATGCTCTGTGCGTGAGCACTTCAGAAGGAGCTCTCTGCTCCTGTGAGACTTCTCTCAGGATTCTCCTGGATTTATAGAAAATATCCTTTCTACATATTTAACTTATCTTCAATGTTAAACCTATTAATTCCAGGCTTATAATTATTAAGAAGCATTAGCAAGTGGCTTGGCTTGAACTAAAATCAAAACCAAAGTGAGTCCAAAAGTCCCAATCTATGTAATTATTCCCTAATGGTACCATGTGACAATTATTAATACTCTATTCCAGGCATAGACCATTATACAAAATTACTTGTTTGCTTAGGGGGAAATTTTCCTACAATGGTATTGATAGAAAATTTTATTTTAAATACCAATATTTTCTATGTTCAAGCTATCTCATTCTATACTCATTATAAAAACAGGTAATAGGAATGTGTTAGTAATTTACAAAATAAGAAACACGGGTAGTCAATTAACATATAAAAGCATGACTGAGCTAGCCAGTGACAAAATAACATACAAATTTAAACAGGCTATAATTGTTTACCTATTAAGTGGATAAATACTGTTTATTAAGTAATATTAAACCAGTATTGATGGGTGTGCAGACAGACAGGCACACTCGGAAGTTGCCAGACAGCAAGGGGATGGGACATCCTCCTGCAGGGAATCAGGCAGTGTGCGTAAGCACTGTGAGTAATGTACATCTCCATACATTTATCCATGGGAATGGTCATCAGCCGTTTGGTTAAACAATTTTGGTCAAGGATATTCAATGAAGCATTGCTTTTATAGTAAAAATTTGGGAACACACTGCATGTATGATAATAAGGGAAGAGTGACTACATTTTGGCCTCTCCTTGTGACGGGATATTATACATCCACTAAAATTGCATTTTTGAACAATGGGTAAGTGCTAATTAAAACCACAGTGATCTTTACACATTGTATGAATGTATCACATTAGCACATATACCCTGAAAATATGAACAGTTATTATGTATCAATAATAAAAACACAGTGATATGTCATTTTACACCCATCAGACTGGTGAATATTTAAAAGCCTGAAAATCTTGTGTATTAATAGGAACTTGAAGCAACGAGAATTCTATACACTGCTTGTGGGAATAAATCTGTTACAACCACACAGAGCTCTGCTGAGTAGTAGCCAGTTAGATAGAAGACACACCTGCCCAAGAATCCCACTCCAGCTGTGTTCCCTGGAGAAACTGTCCCATGTATGTGGAGAAGGAAGACGAGTCCAGGAATGGTAGTGGCAAGGGTGTCTGCACCCGAACGAACATGGGGGACATTGAGCATGTGCATGAGCAGGGTGGTGGAAACGTTGCAACTCATTCATACAATGGCACACTGCACACCCGGGAGATGAATGGCCAGGACTGACACACCTCCACATGGATCCATCTCCCAAATAAAATAGTGGGAGACGAAAAGCACACTGAGGAAAAATATGTAGAATAAGACACCATTTAAGTTTAAAAATAATGCTGCATCTTGCTTAAGAATACAAATGTATGAGGGAAAGGTATAAAGAAATATTTAGGATGATCACCCAAATATAAAAAGAGGTTGCCTCTTAGTTGGGGAAACTGATGCCAGCTGGGAGGTGTGCACAAGGACCTTCAAATGTATTACAGTATTTTATTGCTTTGCTGGAGGGCAACTACAAGGATGTTCTCCCTCTCTTTTTGTAAGCGCTAAACAATGCAAAATATTTTTAAAAGAAGACATAGTGGTATGAGAAGATACAATATAACTGAAATAGGCAAGTACATTCAATAGAATTTCACATATGTGTATAAATGTACATATGTATACACACAAAAATATGTCCATAGCTATTACTTCTAGGCATTGGGCTTATTACTCATGTTCATTTTCTTTTTCTCACATTTATGCATTTCTGAGTTAAATATATTATTTCTATCACAAGGAAAAAAGTATTGAAATGTTTTTAATTTAAAACTCGTAGCCTCTTGGGCCCTTGATCAGTGTGTATTTAGTCAGACTCAGGTTAAATTGCAAGCTTCCGGGAGCTCTCAGCAGACGTGCTTCTAGGTCCGACTCTAATACTGTGGAAGCATTTAGAAAAGGCTCTTAGTGACAAGACACTATTCCCCTCTGAGACGAAAATAACCCTAGCGGTCAGGATTGGGGAGAGACACTTATTAGGAGTTATGTCTTAGAAAAGCCATTTATTGAGAGAGGGAAAAACTACATCTGGGGAAAGGAAAGAATGCTGATCTCAGTCATTTTAAATCCCTGCACACTTCCCCAGGAAGCTTCTAGAAATGGTTAATAGTTGGTGCTCTACGAACTGAAGGAAACCTTCAGAATGCTTTTCAACCTGGCTTTGTTTTTCTCTAGCACCTCTTCTTCAAAAAGTGTTCATTCACGACAGAGGGGTTAGAACAGAAAGGAGTGACTCAAAGCTGTTGAGGGTAGGAAAGGGCCTGGTATCCACCTTCTGAATATCATCGGATGTCAGGCATGGGAGTTTGGGGCAGTTTCGCACAGAGAGGCTGGGACTTAGGCAGACTGAGTGATCCCTTGTGTGCGCCTGTTCTGCACAGACCCTCCCTTCAGAATTCTGTTTTAGAATATGTAGGTCACACAAACAAGCAGAATAATAGGGTTCAGTTAGCTCTGCTTATAAACTGCAAAACATTTCCAGTGTGCTAAAAATGCCACGTGCATAATTGAGCGAGAGCTACTTTGTTTTCAAATCTGCTCTTGTGATATCTGAGACTCGGAGTCTGGGAAAACTGACAGTATTTTCCTCTCATTTGTCCAGGGTTTTCCCCAGTTCTTTTTGACCTGAGGTATACTCTCAGCCAGTGTGCCCAGGTAGTGGCTGCTGGGAACTTGGCAAACCATCACATTTGCCCATTCTGAACATCAAGGATGGGCAAAAGGTGGACACCTTGTGCTGTCTAGGGAGACTCGAGATGTCCAGTGTCCA
This sequence comes from Homo sapiens, assembly GCF_000001405.40. Classification (NCBI taxonomy): domain Eukaryota; kingdom Metazoa; phylum Chordata; class Mammalia; order Primates; family Hominidae; genus Homo; species Homo sapiens. The sequence goes on from NC_000002.12 coordinate 105,635,217, forward strand.
GCTGAAGAACAAGATGGGGGAAACCCCAAGAATGAATGCTAGTGATGCTCTGATTTGTAAAATGTGATGCTATGTTTATTTGTCAATATTTTACTGAAGAGTAACAAATACAGATGATTGTGAAAATCATTAACATACATCTCAATACATTTTCAAAAGGTAGCAGCAGGTTTTAAATGAGGATATGTGTGGATAAGGCAGTGGCTCATCTTTCCTTTTGTCTTCAAGGGAAAACACAGGCTCCTTACAATCATGCCCACGCAGCCTGCACCAGAGGTGAAATCAAAGCAACACAGAGTATTGTACTGCATTTCAGTCCAGGAGGCTCAGTGCAGCCTCTACAAAATGTATCTGTGAAACGGTCCTCGGCAAATCCTTAGCCCCAAATGTCAAGCCAGCTGGAGCAGCCACTGCCTCCTGCAGACTCCAGGCTCTTGCAGGATAGCTCCTGCCCAGGCCCCTCGTCTCTGCTGCCTCACTCCATTTGGACCCTGGCTTGGCGAGCTGTAGGAGAGAGAGGGATGGTGAGAGAGGAGATCTGATTTGTGTGCTGCCACTGCTCAGGGATGGCGAGGAGAGGAGTAGTGGTGGAGGAGCCAGCAGGGAACACCACCTGCTCATTCCTTCCCTTGCTGGACATCTCTGCAGCTCCTCTCTGGCTGCATTTCCCAATGTTCCTTCCGCATCCTTCTCTAGTGGCCTGGGCGAGTAGAGCCAAATGACAGTGTGGCTTCTGAGCCTGTGATGACAACCCTGGGGGACGATGTTGAAGGCGGCAAGGATTTCACTTCTTTTCATTCCCTAATGCAGGCTTTGGATGAAGAGAAGTGGTTGGAAGGAGGGAAGTGGAGCATCATGAATGGCTGGACAAATGAACACAGCACCTGCCATGTGCCAGCCCTCAGATTGCTGCAGAGGGCACCTGAAGCATGATTTTGCCTTACCTTAAAATGTCACCTGTAACAGATCTACGAGTCCTCTGCCTTATCCTCTCGGTCCCAGGCCCACAAAGACTCTCCATAGCCCCTGCTGCGAGGGCTGCCTCGAGGTGCACACTCATGGCCAAGGACTGACAGTTATGAGGGCATAAACCCTGCAGCTTTCCTGCCCCCTGATCAGACACCTGTGGGCATAAGCCTCACTGTCCAGAGCTCCCCGTGGGATTGAGTGGGCATAACCCTGCCTGGGTCTTTGTTGATATTGCAGCTGGTTGGGCTTTCATCCCTCCTCACTCCCCAACAGTGGGGTTTTCTTGTCAATGCTCTCTAAGAAACTCCTTTGAGATGTCGCCTCAGGGTCCACTTCTGAGGAAACCCAGACTAAGACAGTGCTATTTTGATTCCTCATAAATATTTTCAATCCTCCAATTTTGATTCATGAAACTCAGAAAATGAATCTTAAGTAAATGTCTGCTATTGTCACATCCCATGTGATCTCTAGTTTTACTTTCTTAAGGATTTTCATGGAAACCCTGCCTCGAGGCAGAATTACAAGACGAGTGATATTGAAAAGGAGACAATCTATTATCCACATGACTGTTTTAACCAAATTACCTTCTAAGTTGTGACACAGGGTCCCTCAAAATTTGAGAAAGAATTTGAGTTCTTGTCATCTGTATTAGTTCACCGAGAATGAATCCTCAAATGATAAATGAAGGGGTAAGAAGATGTGTACAAATGCAAGGCTGCCCTCTGAGCCCCACAGGGTGGTGTCTGCCCTGTACCAAGAGACCCCCTCACCAGGGCCTGCCTCTGCAGCCCCTGTGATCACCTAGCAAATCCACCATCCCCCACCACAGACTGTCTTTATTAGATAGAAGTGAAGGCGCAGCAGAGGGGAGCAGGTCTTTCTCCAGCCACTGCACGCATATGTGATCTTTGACCTCATCCCCTGTGCCACCCTGAAGCTCAAGAGAGGCCCAGATGCCATTGATTTTCATGTGCTGATGTCGCTTTGGTACAACAGTGCCCTCGATATATACAATTCATGATTTAAAAAAAAAATCAAGGCTAAATTTATAAGATGAATTTGCCTAACTCTCTGGTTTTTTAAAGCATATTACAGTACTTTTATTGTTGCCAGGAAAGCTGTTGACTTAGGCTTCCTGGTGATGCCATGGAGGTGGGTGAGTTCGTCCAGAGAAGGTAAAAGCTATAAGAGTTCATTCTTTTGAGCTTTTATACTTAACGCTCTGTGATGTAAAATTTGTAGCAAATTCCCTGTACGTGTTTTTCTTCAGAGTACATGTGACACATTTCCTGATACCTGCTAAAAGTTGATTTTTAACAGAGTAAAACATTTTGGAAGAAGGTAGCATGGAGTGTCGTGTAAAACTGCACTCTAGACATCCACACCTGCTGCTCTGAGGTGTGTATTCTATTTGATTATTGAAGTAGGGTGGAGGTGTTTGTTAAATATTTGGAGACATGTGATGCTTAGGATGTGTTTGTTTTGTTTTTACATATATCCCTGTTTTACAAGGCAAAAAGATTTTTTAGTATCTCCAAATTATTGTTTTTCTCCATTCTCTTCACCCAATTTCTTTTTCCACTACTTTTTTTCATTTAATCCTGCCCGTAATCTGATATACGGACCACCAAATCATCTCCATTGCAAATCACCTGAGCTCGCTGACTTTCCAGCCAACATATGGACAGCCACTTGCCCCTTTTACCCCCCACACACATGGTGACGGGGCCATTGTTTTATGGCCCAGTTCTGGAGGACATTTCCTCAGTCATCATTCCACAGGCTTTCAACGGGTCTCTGAGAAATATGCTCATCTTCTGGAAGGATAATTTTTTTTTCTCTTGTGATAGCCTGAACATCAGTCTTTGGATAGTAATTGTTGTGATTTTTATGATTAACATATCTGGCAGCTCATCCCTTTATTCACTTGCTTATTATTCATGCAACAGGCCTTTATGAGTTTGCTGCATATCATTATTAGACTTTACAAATGGCTGCCAAAAATGACCAGAAATCTTGGGGGATGACAGCACCAAATAGCTCATAGGAAAAGAATAGGAAGTGTGAATTGATCACCTTCCTAACACTTAGGGGTAAACCAGAGAGTTAGCCAAAGAAAAGAAGAAATGAAGATAAACCTAGAATCGCATCCCTCTTCAGATTTGATATACAAGAGACCCTCTTAGCCCATCTCCACCCAACAGGCCAGCTGGACCAATCATCCCTCATGATTTATTGCCCTGGAAAACACACAGACTCAGGCCCAGCATTGGGCTTGTGGCTGGAGGGGCCCCTCCAGGAGACCTAGGTCTGTCTGACCCTGCTTGTTGAATCATATGTGTCCCATAAGCAAGTTGTGTTCATTCCCAACTCATTTATGTCCTTTCTTAAAATCGTTCTTTTTCTTATTTATTTATTTATTTATTTATTTATTTATTTATTTGAGACGCGGAGTCTCACTCTGTCGCCCAGGCTGCAGTGCAATGACATGATCTTGGCTCATTGCAACCTCCACCTCTCAGGTTCAAGTGATTCTCGTGCCTTAGCCTCCTAGTAGCTGGGACTACAGGTGCCTGCCACCATGCCTGGCTAATTGTTTTTGTATTTTTAGTAAGAGACTGGGATTCTCCATGTTGGCCAGGCTGATCTTGAACTCCTGACCTCAAGTGATCTGCCTGCCTTGGCCTCCCAAGGTGCTAGGATTACAGGCATGAGCCACCACACCTGGCCTTAAAATTGTTCTTAAATGTTAACTTATTCTTAACATTGCATAATTTGCTTAAACATCTCAACTTATGAAATAGGAGATCAAAAGAAAAGAGAAAAGTTGCTTGAATAAAAAGTAAGTCGAATGCTTTGGAAAGAATCATTAGCACTAACCTCAATAATCCACAATTAACTTACATTTATAACACATTGCATACAGACACAGTTCGTAATAATAAAAGAAAACTCTGGGCCAGGCGTGGTGGCTCGCTCCTGTAATCCTAGCACTTTGGGAGGCTGAGGCAGGTGAATAACCTGAGGTCAAGAGTTCGAGAGAAGCATGGTCGCATGGTGAAACCCTGTCTCTACTAAAAATACAAACATTAGCCGGGCATGGTGGTATGTGCCTGTAGTCCCAGCTACTCAGGAGACTGAGGGAGGAGAATTGCTTGAACCTGGGAGATGGAGGTTGCAGTGAACCGAGAGCATGCCAGTGCACTCCAGCCTGGACAACAGAGTGAGACTCCATTAAAAAAACAAACAAACAAACAAACAAAAAACCCTATGGAGTTATTTTTTAAAAGGTCAACCATTTACATTTTTTAAAGGTTAATATAATTCACAACATAGGCAAATGACAAGAAGAACCAGTTCATAAAAGAAGCCACTATATATTACAGGTAAAAACTTTCATCATAAGTAGTTACTTTAAAAATGCAAATTAAAACTATATTTACTGATAAAACAGGCAGATGAATATTAAAATATGACTCAGTGCCACATTCTGATTCACTCTTGAGATAAGTCTGTCCTGGAAAAAGTTTTCTTACAAGCAACCGGTCCATATGTATCAAGAGCCCTAAAAACCATTAATTCCTTTAAATGCAGTGATTCTCCTTCCAGTAATTTATTCTAAATCAATAATCAGATATTTGGCCAAAGATGTATGCACAAAGACATTCATTGTAGCACTATTACAGCAAAAGATTTGAAGTCACCCAAATGTGCTAAATTAGGAGAAATATACTTATGTGTGTGTATATAAATATGTTTTCCATATCAATATATATTATCTCTCTATACACAAAAGTATACAATATATAAATATGTTTGTTGAATATATATATGAATATTACATAGTCATTAAAAGTTGGATACTTAAACAATAGAAATGATTCATGGAACTGCTCATTTTATAATTTTAAGAGAAAAATAGTTTCTGAAGTTATACATTCAAAATTATACCATTTTTAATTTAAAAGTTACTCTAAAGATTTCTATTTCTAAATTGAAAAAAGAATAAGAAAATATACCAGAATGTTGACTAGGATGTTGAAATTATTTTTCTTCTTTTATATTTTAATTTACTTTTCTAATTTTCTGCAGTGAATACATGTATCATATTTAAGAGAAAACTATTTTATTTTTTAAAAGGTGTTAATAAAAGATCTCTCTCACACACACACACACGCGTGCGCGCACACACACACACACACACACACACACACATGCTAGGAACAGCTGGTGATGCTTCCCAGTCCAAAAATCCAGCCATGGTAGTTAGAAATGGCAGGTGTCAGAGACAAGGCTCATTTTTGTGCTGGGAAGAACACTGGGTGGCTCTAATCTGGGTGACCACATGATTTCACAAATATTTCCAAAGGCCTTTTTCAGATTAATTTCACTTTCTATAAAGAAAAACACATATAACCAGGTTTACAGAACAACTCATTTAAAGCCAGTTATTGGAGGGTTGAATAATTGGATGCTCCCTCATATTTCACTGGCATTGCAGTCATAAATTCCACCGATTCTCCTGCCTGGACCATCCAAGACTGGAGCCTCTTCCTTGTGACTGTCTATGGTCCCGATGACTTGAACTAGCAAATTGGAATACAAAGACCTTGGTCTGCATCTCAAAATTAAATCCAGCCTAGAGTTAATAATAAAGTGCTGGGATGATTTGTTTCTACTTAACAACTTGATAAATCACCAAACAAGAAATTTACCAAAAGGTACAGAAGGATTTGAAAATGTCTGCAAATTCCATAACTGCAAAATTTAATCTGTGAATCCCATAATTAATTTTGTTTCCAGTTAAGCAACCCAGAAAGCAGCTGAATGCTCCTTTCAATCAACATCACTTAATTACTTGGAGTTCCTTTGTTCGATTATCCTGGTTTTTCCAAACATGACAGTCTGATATGTTTGGAATAGTATACACATTAGAGAATGAGAAACGGGTGAATAGGATATTGGTTTATCTTTAATTCAGAGTTCCAAAGATCTTAACTCCCACTTATCCACATAGAAATAAACTGATTTTAGAAATGGAAGTACTAAAAATTGTTGTTTTTTTAATTAAGTGAAAATATTATTCAAGCAACATAATATTCAAAAGTATAAAACAATTCATACAAAATTTCCCAATTCAAAGTAACCAGACTCTTAAGTAAAATATTTAGAAGAAGCTGGTCCATTTGATTCAATAAAAATTTAAATTAGAAAAACCTCATGCCTGTTAATGGAACTGGGAAGACAACTTGCCTTTTTCTCTGAAAAGGACGTGGGGGCTTTAGATAACCATATGTTTGCTTGGAGTCAAAAATGAGTCATGGCTGCCAAAAAAAGCCAGAGCGATATTAAGCTGTATTAATAAAAGTACAGTGTCCACTGCGAGGGTGATAATAGTCCCTTTGTGGTGTGCACTTGTTGGAGCGCGGCCCATCTGGGGCACTGCAGCCGCTCTGACAAATGAGGCTGCCCGGGCAGAGGCCCCAACGTGCTGGCCGCCTGGAAGGCAAGTCAAATGGTGAGCAGATGCGAGGGCTGGAAAAGGCAAGGGGAAGCAGGGTGGCATGTGACATCCGTATTCTAGCATATGAGGAGCTGTCATGGGGGAAGCGGATTCTGCAGACTGTGTGGTTTCCAGGGCAGAACTAAGAGCCAAAAGATGGAATGTGCAAGGAGGAAGATTTCAGCTCCCCATAATCAGGCTTTGCAGCTCTTAGAGGAAGAGGAGTACTGAACCCCCATCGGCAGAAGCATGGGCGATGGTGGGGTCTCAGTATTGGAAATGTGAGGGATTTTGATTCTATAAACTCATCTTTTCTTACATGGAAGAAAATGCAAGTGTATGTTAGCAAAATATTAGTGTTGGAGGAGACCTTTTCATATTTTTTATTTTATTTTATTTTTTTAAGTTCCAGGGTCTATATGAACGATGTGCAGGTATGTTACATAAGTAAATGTGTGCCATGGTGGTTTGCTGCACCTATCAATCCATCACCTAGGTGTTAAGCCCAGCATGCACTAACTCTTTTCCCTGATGCTCTCCCTTGCCACCCATGGAAGAGACCTGTAAAGATCTTCTGAGACAATCTCCTCACCTTACAAGTGAGAACAGCTTGGCCCACAGCTGTAAAGATCACACACATGTAACTCAGAGGGTTGAGAGGAAACTGGGACCCGCCTCTCCTGATGGTGAAGGTGGTGGCCTTCCATGACCACATAGCATTACTGCTTTATTTTCATTGAAAATAGACAACATTTGCCTCTCCACCTCACATGTTCACATGGGATGCAGGTTGAGCTGGGGATGAACAAATTCTCTAAGTCTCTAATATTTGTGAAGGATGCTGCTCGGCCATAAAATGTGAATGAAAGGTACATTAGACTAACTCTGACAGTGAAGAGTCTACCATCTGGTTGGAAAGGAGAGAAACTATATACGAGTCAAAATAATCCCATGGCAAGGCAATTTATAAGAGTCAAATAGTCAGTTTGGATGCCAGATGCCCTAGTATTTCAGAGGAGGAGAGGCTGGGCTGGATGAAGGGAGATATAGGACTTGAAGACAGAGTAAGGTGCAAAGAGTAGGTGCAAGGGAGAAAGGCTTAGAGGAGGGAAGGTTGGATCAGGGTGAGGAAGACAGCAGGCGGTCAGGCCCGGGGCAAGTACTTCCTTCCACTATCATTACACAGTCCTGTGGTCATTAAGTAGAAGTGTTCATTAGGGAGGAGTTAATTCACAATGTCAATAGCCAGGAAGATATACCTCACAGCACATTGTCCACATCAAACTCCTCCTTAGGGCTTGCTATTATGTGACCCCCCCCATCAGGAGCTCTCAGGCTCCAGGAGCTGGACATTTCTTGCCAGTATGGTTTGGATATCACACCATGACCCGCTGGGACTTACATGCAGCAATGTCCAATTGGAGAAAGAGACCAACACATGGAAAATACGTTCACTTTACCCAAACTCGATCAGGCGAGAGATGAGGGTTTATGGTCATCTGAAAAAGAATCTCTGTGGCATTTTTTTGTGTGGCTTCCGAAACTCCAAACGAAAACCTTGACTATTCCCAGCCAAAGTGTGAAGCCTATCAGGATGTGATACTCCATTACAGGTGTAGCCAAAGGAAGGCAAGTAGTATGCTTTGTTTAACCAGATAGATTTGTCAAGGCAAAGTAGACAGTAAATGCTGCAATCCAAAAGCCAAGGCAAATGGAATGATCAAGAACTATCAGAGTCCTTCTTTCCCAGAATTTTTCTCTTTCCCCGAATATTTAGAACGAGAGCAAGACAGTAAGTTTGAGACTACATAAGCTGCCTCTCATGCACCGTGCATTTTCTTTTTTCCAAACTGAGGCGACAGTGATGGTCTCTAACCCTTCATCATGTTGTAATCACAGGAAGCACAGCTCTGTATAAACATTCCAGTTGATTTTCAGAACAGCCCATCCCGGGTGTCTATAAAATAGCTGTAAGGAAATTCTTGCAAATGAATAACAAACAACTCCAGGTGTTCAAATGAGGAACGTTCCCTAGATGCTAATGCCCAGACAAGCTCGGGTAGTTTTTCCAGGCAAAGTTGGTATTTTTAGTTTAAGAAACCAAGAAATAAAAAATGAAGGTCTTGTTTACACTCCCCTCTTGGTTCTTTGCGAGATCTTGAAAGGGGTGACTGCAGAGGCTGCATTTTAGGGACCCTCGGCTCTTTGAGAACAACACTTTTCTCCCCGTTACAAAGCACTTGTTTGTATTTATCTCCAAATGACACAGTGGCGGTTTATTCAGTGACAATCAAAATCGCAGTTTCTGAAGGGTCCTGACTCCGGGGAGAGAGAGGTCTATTGTTGTCCTCTGTCCACATGCCTGACCGCTTTGAGAAAAAATTAATGACTTTGGAGACTGATATTTCTGCAGACCCCAAGAAAGGGACAATTTTCTGTTTTTGCTGACCGGAAAACTCTGGCATGTGATTATTGTACCACAAATGAAACTTCTGGACAAGGATGCTACTTTACCAAGCCTGGGATGGTGCATAACCCACGCGGTGAAGGAAGAGGACTCTGGCTTCCTAAGTGTTTGTTGCCTTGCATTTTCTTGCAAAGATGAGCCGTCCCAGTTATGGTTTCCCAGAATACCGAAAGACACATCCCACTTACTCATGCCCAAGGAGCACAAGCAAACTCCACATCCTTTATTGCCTGGAATGAATTACAGCATGAGAAATTGGAGGGGGAGGCAGGAGTGAGGCGATGGGTTAAGGCAGCTGTGCCTAAATTAAAAATTCACTAGACTTGGCGTCAGAAAACCTGAGTGCGAAACGGTGCCTGGCACGCAGCAGATGTTTAACTCAAACAAAATAATGTCAACAACGAAGGCACAAAACTCACATTTTTAGAGAAAAGCAAACAAAATACCAAACAGGATGACTCGAGTAAGATTTGGCTTCCTTCCTACGAGATGTTTCTTTTTTATTCAGCTTTTCCCAATTTTGAACACAATGGTGTTGAACCACGGCAGCCCTTTCTCTTTTCAGACGAATCGGGGTGGACCTCTGTGGTTGCTACCTAGTCTCAGCTGGTTTCAGTAGAAATAAACCTGCATTCAAAGCCGGACTCTGCCACCTCCCAGATGAGTGCCTCTGGACTGCTAACTTCCCTGCTTGCTGCAGTGTGGGTAATAAACCCCAAACAGACAGGACTGTGAAGAATCACTGAGATAATGGGCAAAACGGTGCTAACTATGTGCTCATGGAAGTTCTATGAAATTATAAAACGTGAGAATAGAAGGAGGGGAAAAAAGGACTACCTGTTTCTGGCTGGCCCAGGTGCAACAGTCCCCTCTGAGCAGAAAAGAAGGCCCGCATTTTACTCAAACTGGTGGGCGTCTTGTGAGGTGTGGCGAGCCCAGGGGATCCGCCTTTTGCCACCCCTCCCTGTACTTTATTCTGAGGGCATTTATTTAAAGTGGGTCATCATTCAAGACAACTTTGCTTGCAAGGCCTTGAGAAATGCTTTGTGCTGCCCATGCAGCCACGGCAAAGAGAGGTCCCACCAGGATGGTCTCAAGGTCCCCAACTCCCACATCCAAGGGGGCACCCAGTGAATCAGAGGGAGAGGCCCCCGCTCCCTCTCCTCCCACTCGGGCTCACAGGGAACATTCACTCCCCCACTCCCATCATCCTCATCCACTCCAGCAGAAGCATGAGCATTGCTTCTGAGTCCTGTTACATTCTATCTTGGAAGCAGAAAGCCCACCCCAGGCGGTAAGCATGCTCAGTCGCCAGCACGTCCGCCAGTGTCTCCGGGACCCACTCCTTAGCAGATGGCTCTGGGGACCCAGAGAATTTGCTCAGAAAGCAAAATTCTGTTGTTACACTCTGTAAAAGCTTCTGGGAAAATCGTCTTCGGAGTTGTCTTTTAATTAGGGAGTCTTCCATTTTTGCTCGTCTTTAAAATCCACATCACAGTCTTGACTGCTTCCTTCACAAGAGTCATCAGCCTCAAATGCCAGACCACAATGCGCCCTGGGGGCGCAAGGTGTTATGCAGATCCTCCCAGTCACTCTCCCTGCTTCAGGGAGCCCGGTTTGCAGGGCCAGTGTCCCTCTCAGATGATCAGTTCCTGAAAGGCTGGGTGCAGGGGGAGAGGATTCTTATTCATCTTTTGACTTCCCATTTTCTAGTGCACACCTGCTACATAGGAATTAATAATAAATGAATGTGAATGAACAGGACTGTTGTTACACAGTAAAGACAGGATCCAAACAGCTAGCAAGCTGAAGTCCTTGTCGATCAAGAGACAGGAGGCATTGCAGCAGTCAATATGCCTCTTTAACTGTGCACCTATTACATGCAGAGAATATTCCAAAAAAAAAAAGCCTTCACCAGATGTCCCTTATATAGCTTAGACATATGTTTTCCAAAAATAGTTGTTCTAAAGCATTTCTCTCACATTGGTTTCTCACTGTAGTCTTGGAGAAGGTATTTCTATAATGTTTAAGGGATGGGAGAGAGGCAGTGAAGAGAGAAAAAGAAAAACTGGAAATTACTCATCTGATAAAGAATCTATTTTAAGACTCCCGTGGACTAAATGAGGCTGCCTCTCACTAAGCTCCTAGCACACCTGATTTATTCTGTGAAATGAATGTTGCCTCCTCTCTTCAGCTAGTCATAAGGGTGTTAGGATTTGTTCTGCATAGGGACACATCCACTTAAACTGTGATTTCAGTAACAGGAATGTAAACAGTTCAATGGCATGACAAACGCCACAATAAACTTAGTGCCTTTAAGCCATGCTACGAAGGACAGCAGGGAACTCTAACATCTCTCCACACCTTTGAGACCATTGATTTCTAGTACCCAGATGATGAATAAAACCATAATCGTTAAGATGGAGCAGATAGGACTCACAACCTTGCTAAATAAGTATTGGCAGCGATCTGTTCCCAGCTTGCATAGAAGGTCCGTGCCAGAGTGGAGAACATTATTGATCTATTTGGAAAGAGTGTGGCTTTCATTTATTTTAGATCCTTAGCTATTTATCTTCAGGCCTGGCTTGAGGCCAGTAAGAGAGGGACTGGTACGTAATGATTAGAAAGAATTACTTGGCGTGAGGGCTCTGGGCTCAGCCCCAGCCTCTGCCTCTCCTCCTTCTACTTGTACATTGGAAAGTCTCTCAAACCTCCAGGTGTACAATGGTCAAATGGGAAGAGCAAAGAGCTTTGCACACAATGCAGGTTTGGTCCAATGATAAAAGGCAATGATTCTGGGAGTGTCGAGCATCCCAGAGGGGGCAGCCGTATAGTCCATTGCAGTGGGTCTTGGGCTTGTGCTTGCATGGAAATCATACAGGGTGCCAGCTCCCTCCTCCTCGGGCTTCTGGTGCAGTAGGTCTCAAAGGGGACTGAGAACCTGCATTTCGAACAAGTTCCCAGGTGATGTCTGAGCTGCTGGTGCAGGAACCACTTTAAGTATCCCCAAGTCTAATGGCTTTAGTAACCCTAGAGTTGGGTAATGCCTGATTGAAATCCCAGCTCTTCTGCTTCCTGGCGGTGTGATTTCGGCCAACCTTCTCATCCTCTCAAAGCCCCAGATTCCTCATATGTAAAATAGGTAAGAACCCCCACCTGCCTCTAGGGTGGCTGTGAGAATTAAATGAGACGCTGTGAGCAAAGGCCAGTGCCCACGGCTATTCACAGTTCAATATCGCGTTTGTTGCTCCTGTCTGCCATTCCGATGAAAAGTTAGGAGGCTGGGGAATTTGATCAACTTTGTTGTCCACAGTGAAGTTCAAACTCTGTTCCAGAATTTTGTATGCGAGGAATGAATGAGAAGGAACGGAAGTCAGGGTCTCTATGATTGTTGAGGCTTAGGCTAAAGCAGATCGGATGCCAGGCAGGAGGACAATGGAATTCCCCAGGAGCCAAATAAGGTGCACAGTGCAAGTCTCAGTGCAACCTTGTGTTGGCAAAGGTCCCGCCTCTGGAGCCAGGAGGCCAGGCTCTGGTCCCAGCCTCCCCACTGACCTGCTGTGTGAGACCTCAGTTTCCCTGAACGTCTCTGGGACATGATTTCCTGATTCACAAAATGGGGAGGTTGAATTGGATGACCTCTTCTGCCTCTGAAGTTCTAAGAATCAGACATGGAGAGCAAGGCAGGAAGGAGTGATTCTTGAGAGGGGAGGAGATGGCACAGCCCAGGCCCTGGAGGACGATGAGGAAGTGCTGGGGCGGGGAGGGAGCGGGAAGGACACAGAAAGGGGTAGGGGAAAGGAAACTGCCTTTGTAATTCTTCCAGCCTCCAGGAAAAAGGAGCATGTCATCTTGTCTCAAGCTGGAATTGGACTGGATTCTGCAAATGGCTCCCATGTCTGGTAGGTGCTCAAGACTGGTGCAGCTAAACCCAGGACAAGTTAAGGCTGCCAAGTTACTGGAAAATGAGAGGGACCACAGGGACTACATGCCAAGGCCAATGTCCTTGAGAGGGTTCTTTTTGTTCCAAAAGAATAAAGGAAAAGGACCGAGGTTCTGCCAGTCCTTTGGGGATATGTGTGGTCCTTGCAGAGCCAGCACCATCCCAAGAGACCCTGAACACTTGGTGAAATGTCTGTTCTGACCACTTACAGTTGAGATGTAGCTAGTCTTTAAAAAAAAAAAAAAAATGCCGGGCGCAGCAGCTTACACCTGTAATCCCAACACTTTGAGAGGCCAAGGCGGGCTGATCACCTCGGGTCAGGAGTTCGAGACCAGCCTGGCCAACATGGTGAAACTCCATCTCTACTAAAAATTAGCCTGGCATCATGGCAGGCACCTATAATCCCAACTACTCAGGAGGCTGAGGGAGGAGAATCGCTTGAACCCAGGAAGCCGAGGTTGCAGTGAGTCGAGATTGCGCCATTGCACGCCAACCTGGGCAACAAAAAGCAAAACTGTCTCAAAAAAAAAAAAAAAAAAAAAGCTGAGCTTTTTGAAAAATATTCCTATTGTGGTTCCAATTTTGCTTTTCCTTAAGGAGAAGGACATGCAATACAATGTACTGATAGAACACAAGCCGCCGTGCTCCTTCAAGCCGCCGTGCTCCTTCAAGCCACAGTGCTCCTTCCAATGGATTGAGCTCCAGAGGGCTCTAAATTCATAATCAGCAACTCTTTACCCTCCAATCTGATGAGGAAAGTTGGAGATAGATGATAACAAGAGATCTCTGTCCTCTAACGCCCCTCTCTCTTTGTTTCCTAAGTTCATCTCTCACATTCCCTACATTTGTTCTCTGGCACCACCTGCCTCGGTTTCACACCTCATCTCCTCTACTGGCCACCTTCTGTCCACCTTACAATCCTGGGACCCAGCAGCCAGCACCATCTCCCTCCTGTATGCATCTGCTCTCCATAGCAACAATTAGCTCTTTGTTATATGAATAGATTATCCTATTCCCTGTCTGTGCTGGCCGGTGTAGCACACTGTCCTATCTAGCTAATTATATGCATAGTTACATCAAGGTAGGATAGCATACCATCTTGTCCCATGGTTATAACATGTGCATGTGTGTGTTACCTAGCCAGCTTGTTTAAGAGTTCTTCCAGGGCTATACTTTGTAAGAGCTAGTGCAAATGTGAAAAACATAATTAAAATAATAGCTGCAATAGCTGGACAAATAAACTGTGGCACATCCAGTAAATGAAATAGTATTCAGCCCTGAAAAGAATCTATCAAGCCATGAAAAGACATTTAGGAACCTAAATCCATATTAGTAAGTGAAAAAAGCCAATCTGAAAAGACCACATATGGTACAATTCCAACTATATGACATTCTGGAAAAGACAAAACTATGGAGACAGTAAAAAGATTGTTGGTTGTCAGGGGCAAGGCAGAAGGGAGGGATGAATAGGTGAAGCACAGAGGATTTTTAGGGCAGTGAAAACATTCTGTAGGATCCTAGAATGGCAGATACATGTCATGCTACATTTCCTCAAACCTATCGAATGTGAAACACAAGAGTGAACCCTCAAGTAACCTATGGACTTTGGGTGATAATGATGTCTCATTGTTACCTCATCTAATGCAGCAAATGCACCACTCTGGTGGTAGATATTGATAATGGTGGAGCTGTACACATGGGCGGGCACTGGGTAGATGGGAAATCTCTGTACCTTCTGCTCAGCTTTGCTGTGAATCTAAAACTGCTTTAAAAATAAAGTTTATTCAAAACTGTATAATTAGCCAGGTGTAGTGGTTCACACCCATAATCCCAGCACTTTGGGAGGCTGAGGTGGGCAGATCACTTGAGGCCAGGGGTTCAAGACCAGCCTGGCCAACATGGTGAAACCCCGTCTCTACTAAAATTAAAAATAAAAATAATTAGCTGGGTTTGGTGGCACACACCTGTAGTCTCAGCTACTTGGGAGGCTGAGGCAGGAGAATTGCTTGAACCTGGGAGTTGGAGGTTGCAATGAGCTGAGATCACACTGCAACACTCCAGCCTTGGTGAGAGGGAGACTTCGTCTCAAAAAAAAATGTATAATTATAAAATGGCTAACATATATTGAGGACTTCCCCATGCCCTCATATAAAGCACTCTATATGTTATCTCTTTCGGTCCTTAAAACAACTCTCTGAAGTGTATACCATTATTAACGCTGCTTTATATATATGGAAAATAGGGCCCAGAGAGGTTTAGAAACTTGTTCAAGGTCACACAGAAAGGACTGGCTCCATAAGCTAGAGAATGTGGCTTTTTTTTTTTTTTTTTTTTTTTTTTTTTTTTTTTACAAAAAAAGCATCTGAGCTAGCATTGAGCACTGAGTTTTCAGCAGATCCTGGAGGCGTCTGCCTCTGCTCTGCATAGATGATGAGCAGCTGATTGTGCTGTCTCCATGTGGATGCAGATGAAGTTTGTTACAGAAAACTGAAAGTACCTCTCCTTGCCATTGGTAAGCAAACAGTGAGTCACTGACTGGAGCTTGATGGAAATAAGATCACCAGGCACTTGTATATAAACAAGTGTGCTTCTCTCGCCATGACAATGATTCATTTTGAGCAGAGAGCTAGAATTTCTATTCCCACGAGGCCTAACCTGTATTTTTGTGTGCAGTCTGCTTCTGCCCTGTTGTTTAGGATAAGCAGCCTCTTAGGTGGTTTAGCCCAGCGGTCCCCAGCCTTTTTGGCACCAGGGACCAGTTTGGTGGAAGACAATTTTTCCA
Source organism: Homo sapiens (assembly GCF_000001405.40). Lineage (NCBI taxonomy): Eukaryota > Metazoa > Chordata > Mammalia > Primates > Hominidae > Homo > Homo sapiens. The sequence continues at coordinate 105,650,881 of NC_000002.12, forward strand.
TGGACAAGGGGGTGGGGGGTGACAGTTTCAGGATTATTCAAGCACATTACATTTATTGTGCACTTTATTTCTATTACTGTTACATTGTAATATATAATGAAATAATGATACAAATCACCATAATGTAGAATCAGTGGGAGCCCTGAGCTTGTTTTCCTGCAACTAGACGGTCCCATCTGGGGGTGATGGGAGACAGTGACAGATCATCAGGCATTAGATTCTCATACAGAGCATGCAACCTAGATCTCTTGTGTGGGTAGTTCACGATAGGGTTCTCGCTCCTATGAGAATCTAATGTTGCCGATCTGATAGGAGGTGGAGCTCAGGTGGTAAAGCCAGCCATGGGGAGTGGCCGTAAATACAGATGAAGCTTCGCTTACTCGCCAGCAGCTCACCTCCTGCTGTGCAGCCTGGTTCCTAACAGGCCACAGACCAGTACTGGTACTAGTGTGTGGTACAGGGGTGGGGACCCCTGGTTTAGTCAACTCCTGATTATTCCTGAAAGGTGTTTTATGTGGTACATTGGATTTTCTTTTGAGTTTTTCTGGAAAGTTCTTTCCCAGTTTTTTAGTTGTTAAAATGCACTCTGTAAAGTTTGTTATCCTCATTCCCTCTTTTGATTTCAGTTGAACATAAGCTGTGTAGCCAGTCTCAGGCTGGAGAAGGGTGTGACCAGGCATGTTGAGGGGAGTTTCAGAGGCCTCCTGGTCCAGCCTCACAGGATGGGGGAACTTTGGTGCCTGTCTGGTGTGAGTGCCTCACTTGTCGATGAGGGCCCCAGGGAGGTTTTCTGACCTGCATAGGCCTCCTCAGTCAGGGACAGACAGGTTTAAAACTCAAGGTTGACCAGGTGCTGTGGCTCATGCCTGTAATCCCAGCACTTTGGGAGGCTGAGGTGGGCAGATTGCTTGAGCCCAGGAGTTCAAGACCAGCCTGGGCAACATGGGGAAATCCCGTCTCGACAAAAAAATATAAAAATTAACCAGGTGTGGTGGCGTGTGCTGGTAATGCCAGCTACTCAGGAGGCTGAGGTGAGAGAATTGCTTGAGCCCAGGAGGTGGAGGTTGCAGTGAGCCAAGATCATGCCACTGTACTACAGCCTGGGCAACAGAGCAAGACCCTGCTTCAAAAAAAAAAAACAAAAAACCTACCAGCTGAGGGCTGCTCTCATGCTATGCTCTTTCTCTCCAATTGTCCTCTGAATCTATCCTGTCTTCTCTCACTGTACCACGTGAGTTTAAATTCTGAGCCTTTCAACTACACCTGGGCAGGTCTGCAGGTCCGGCCCAGTGCCTAACCCTCCCCGTCTTATCTCACGGCCTGCCCCACCTGCCTGGCTTACGAGCGCAGATGTTTTCAAACTGCTAGGTGCTGAGAAGTGAGTTCTCACCAACTACTAGGTCAGCTCCCAGAAAGGAAGCCTAGTTCTTTATGGACAAATGAAATTGAGCCCTGGAAAGGGCCTTAGCTGGCCGTCCAGTATATTTGCTCCTGGTCTTCCTCGCCACCACAAACCCCAGGAGAGGGAAATTTATTCCAGCTAAGGGAAAAAAAAATTCCCATAAAGTATCTGCCCTAAAATACATGTCTTAAATAGTGACACTGAGTTGCTTGAAAGATCTTTGTTTCATTTAAATGATAAAGCCGCATGGGCAAGCCAGCCAGCTGAGGCTGCGTGCTGGGCCTGTGGCAGCTCCGGAAGCCACAGCAGGACCAATGGAGATGCCTCTCTGAACTGAGTATCAGCTAAGCAGAGACAGGGGTTGCCTGGTAGAGAGGGCTATTAGCGATTCCTGCTTCCCAGGAGTGGTTTGGTCTTAGACGCACCTAAAGGAAATTTTCACTCCCTGAGCTCTCCCTTAGAGCAGGATGGAAGCAGCTGCCCTTCCACTCCAGGGCTGGATTCCACTGCTTCTCTCCTTCCTCCCCTGACTCTTTTCCTAACCCCTCCAGTGTGGGTGTCCCCACTGGTCCTATTTTAGTTTAAATCTCTCCATGGCAGGAACATACATTCTCAAAAGTCCCGTCTACCTGCAGCCCTGCTTCTTGTGGCTAAAAGTTTGCAATTTGACTGCTGTGGCCTAGCCACCACCCTTCTATGGCCATCAATATGGGTACCTCCCTTGACTCTGCTACCTCCTACTCTTTTTTCCAGGTTTCAGCTCTTTGGAGATGCAGGTAATAGGACTAGGTGTTGAAGGAGGCCTCATGGCCCGTTAAATAAGGCACCACAATTTCATGGCTAATATCTACTCTGAGCTACCTCTAAACACCATTTGTATTAAAAGGGCTGGAGGTGTGGAATTTAGAATTACATCCCAACGGTGACTTGAGGATTATGATTGTGATTGTAGCACTTCAGAGATGTGTGTACTACAGATGGGTGCTCATTTTCTATCCTGAGCATGGTAAGGAGTGTATGTGTTTGTGGTACCCATGGTTGGGGTAGTGGGTAAGTGTATAGGGATGAAAGATGAGTGCCACAGCCTCCTGGGAAATGGATTTCTGCAACTCAGAGCATGTTCCATGCTGGAACCTGAGACTTTGGTCTGCCAGAAAGTTACAATGGCCTAAGGCCTGGAAAGATAAGATATCACATTGAATATGCTCCTGGGGCAGCCAATTGCATGGAAGCAGATGTGGTTTCTGTAGATAAATGAAACCAGATCCTGACAAGATGACCTCTATAAGATAATCTGAGAAGTAAAATGAACCAGTTTAAAAAAAAAAAAAAAAAGATGTTCTGAGTTTTCAACTCCCCTGCCAAAGCAATGGTAAACCCCTTTTTTCTTTCTTTCTTTTTTTTTTTGCAGACAGAGTCTCTGTCATCCAGGCTGGAGTGCAGTGGCATTATGATAATAGCTCACTGCAGCCTCAAACTCCTGGGCTTAAGCAAACCTCCCACCTCAGCCTTCCTAGTAGCTGGGACTATAGGAGAAAGTAACCATGCCTGGCTAATTAAAAAAATTTCTTTGTAGAGACAGGATCTTGCTATGTTGCCCAAGCTGGTCTCGAACTCCTGGGCTCGAGAAATCCTTCCACCTCGGCCTCCCAAAGTGCTGGGATTACAGGCATGAGCCTGGCCTGAAACATTTTTTTTAAGTCAAGTTTTAAGGAGGTACTCCCATCATCCAAAATATAACCTACCAAAAACAAGACTCCAGGGTTTAAGTTGGAAGAATATCCATGCAATAATAGAAAGCCACAGGTAAATGAGAAGGTATTTTGTTTATAACTATTTGCTTCATTGTTATTGTTTGTTTGTTTGTTTTTGGAATGTGTATTTGTAGTGATTCTTCTTGATTTCCAAATGGAAAGTCTATAAATACCAGATCTGTTCTTAGTAATCAATATCAGAAAAATCTGGCTGCATGCCGGGTGCAATGGCTTATGCCTGTAATCCCAGCACTTTGGGAGGCCAAGGCAGGTGGATCAGTTGAGGTCAGCAGTTCAAGACCAACCTGGCCAACATGGTGAAACCCCATCTCTACTAAAAATACAAAAAAAAAAAATTAGCTGGGTGTGGTGGTACGCACCTGTAATCCCAGATACTTGGGAGACTGAGACAGGAGAATTGCTTGAACCTGGGAGATAGAGGTTGCAGTGAGCTGAGATTGCACCACTGCACTCCAGCCTGGGGGATGGAGTGAGATTCTGTCTCAAAAAAAAAGATCTGGCTGCTGAAACTAGTCTGTGAATTGTGGAATTATAGGAGCAGCTTTGAGGAAAACTCAGATAAAATCCAGCTTTCTTTACACAAGTCTAACCGGCTCATGAGAAAGTCATATGACGTCATGATCACAGGCTGTAGATGGAATTTTCAAGATGTATCCTTTTGTGCAAATCTTAGTGTTTAGAGAAAGCCTTTGTGATTATATGATCAAAGAAGAGTCTCTTTGCTTTCATTATGACTGAAAAGAGAATTTTGACATAAAAATTTCCATTGCAGTCTAGCAGGGTCCTATGTGGGTCAGGGGAAGGGAAGGAATTCATCTCAGCCTAACTTGAGCTCAGTCTAATGAGCTTCTCTGACTTAATAAAACAACCTTTGTTCTAAAGCTATACTGAATTTTAGCTAAATATTTGGTAAATAATTTTTTCTATAGCATGTCTTATTCATTCTTTGAAAATTTTTGAAAGTTCTTTAAAATCAATTAAATATAGGTTTTTGGTGTAAGCATAAAATTAAATATTTGAAAACAAGTATAACTTATAAAATAAGCAAAGTAATTGTTTTCATAAATTTCTTGCCACATTTTCCTTGAAAGGCACTTAAAAAAGAAATGCTGTGTTTTAATCTAACAAAGGAATATAGAATGCATTTTAATAAAATAAATCTCTATGATCCATAATTTAATATATTTTTAAAAGGCAACTTCTCAAATCTACATGCATTTCATACTAGTAAAATATCATAATGACATGGATATTCCAATACTTTTTCCTTCTCATTTTAAAAAAATTACCTTAACTTTATAATTAAAATTCCAAGGAGGCAAAAACCATGTAATTACAGATCATTGCCAGAGAAAGAATGACTTGCACTTTTAAGGACAAAAACAATTTGAGTGAATCAATGTATTGCATAACAATTGTATTCTACTTTCACATTTTTCCATAATATCATGCAAATAGAGATGGATGGTAAGTACTAGTGTATCTGTTGGGTCTGAAGAGGAGAGAAAACCAAAGTCCACATCCTCTGATATTACTTGTTAAGGAGACTTTTGTATTTTCAAAAAAAGATTGGAAAATTATCTTGTATTGGATGGCATCTAATGACATTGTCTTCAATCTCTTCATTCCTAGACATGGAGTTGCAAATGTTCTTGAGTGGGATGGGAAAAAACAGTGATCAACCAGGCCTTGCCTATGTGTGTCTTCACTGTTGCCTGTGTTATGGTATAGGTATGTAGGTACATTGCGAGTTTTGTACCTTCAGCCCCAGCCAATGTAGAGGCCAGGGAGAAGCTACTGACGGAGCTGCTTCAAGAAAGATCCCAAGTCTACGCAAATCCATTGAACTCATCCAACTTCTTTTACTGTAGAAGGTAGGTGACCCAGCAGTGACACTGCATGGGATGTAGCCAACTGTGAGCAGAAGTCCAGTAGGAGACAGAAGACCTCCTCTCTTTCTTTCTTTCTTTTCTTTCTTTCTTTCTCTCTTTCTTTCTTTCTCTCTTTCTTTCTCTCCTTCTTTCTTTCTTTCTCTCTCTCCCTTTCTTTCTTTCCTTCTTTCTTTTTTTCTTTCTTTCTTTTTCTTTCTCTCTTTCTTTCTCTCCTTCTTTCTTTCTTTCTTTCTCTCTCTCCCTTTCTTTCTTTCCTTCTTTCTTTCTTTTTTCTTTCTTTCTTTCTTTTTCTTTCTTTTTCTTTCTCTCTTTCTTTCTCTCCTTCTTTCTTTCTTTCTCTCTCTCCCTTTCTTTCTTTCCTTCTTTCTTTCTTTTTTCTTTCTTTCTTTCTTTTTCTTTCTTTTTCTTTCTCTTTCTCTCCTTCTTTCTTTCTTTCTTTCTCTCTCTCCCTTTCTTTCTTTCCTTCTTTCTTTCTTTTTTCTTTCTTTTTCTTTCATTTTCTTTCTCTCTTTCTTTCTCTCCTTCTTTCTTTCTTTCTCTCTCTCCCTTTCTTTCTTTCCTTCTTTCTTTCTTTCTTTCTTTTTTTTTTTTGACAGAGTCCTGCTCTGTTGCCCAGGCTGGAGTGCAGTGGTACGATCTTGGCTCAGTGCAACCTTTGCCTCCCAGGTTCAAGTGATTCTCCTGCCTCAGCCATCCAAGTAGCTGGGATTGCAGGCACATGCCACCACACCTGGCTAATTTTTGCATTTTTAGTAGAGACAGGGTTTTTCATGTTGGCCAGGCTGGTCTCAAACTCCTGCCTGACCTCAAGTGATCCACCTGCCTCGGCCTCCCAAAGTGTTGGGATTACAGGCGTGAGCCACCGCACCTGGCCAGAAGATCTTGTCTCTAGTCCCATTTCCAACATTTAATTGTCCATGAAACTTTAGGCAAGAACTCAATTCCTTGGGGATCTTGGTTTTTTCATCTCTAAAATAAGGCGATAGGTCTAGATGGTTCCTGCAGATCTTTCCAGGGGTAAAATTCTATTCTAATTTAAAATAACTGCCATCCAAAATTATACAACGAATAAAGTAGACCTAGTTGCAGACCAGTCTCTGACTGAGCAATAATTTCCAAGCATTAACGTATATCTATGTTAAACTTGTTAAACATTAATTTTCCTAACCTAAAGTGAAAGTTGGAAGTCTAGGAGTTAATGCAAAGATGCATAAGTTGTACAAGGAAAGCTAATGGGGTAAGCCATACATCAAAGACATTAGGATTGGGGGTACCACATCTCATATTTTTTAGATAGACTATGTGTTTTCATGGTACAATACATTGCGGCCTTTTAGTTAAAGGGAAAATAGGGTTGTTGTTTTTTTTCTTATTATTTCAAGTGTCTGTTTTTTTCAGTAACCACTGTCTTCAACAAAGAATTTCTGTTTTTAAAAAGTGCATCTTTAAAAGGATTATACACCATGACCAAGTGGGATTTATTCCTGGAATGCAAATATGGTTCAACATATAAAAATCAATCAGTGTAATAAATCCAATTAACAGAATTAAGGAAAACCCCACATAATCACCTCAATTGATACAGAAAAAGCATTTGACAAAAGTCAACACCCTTTCATGACACAAAGAATCAACAAACTAGGAATAGAAAGACTACTTCAACATAATAAAAGTCATATCTGAAAAGCCCACAGCTAACATCATACTCAATGGTGAAAGACTGAGAGCTTTTTCTCTAAGATCAGGAATAAGACAAGGATGTTCACTCCTGCCACTTTTATTCAATATAGTACTCAGTCCTAGAGAGAGAAATTAAGCCAGAAAAAAGAAATAAAAGGTATCAAAAATGGAAAGGAAAAAATAAAATTATGTCTTTTTCAGACAACATAATCTTATATGAAGAAAACCCTAAAGATCACACACACACACAAACTGGTAGAACTAATAAAATGAATTCAGCAAAGTTGCAGGACACAAAATCAACATGCAAAAATTAGTTGCATTCCTATACACTAATAATAAATAATTTGAAGAGAAAATTTTAAAAATTCCATTTATAATAGCACCAAATAGAATAAAATACTAAGAATAAACAACCAAAAATAGAAAACGCTTGCACACTGAAAACTACAAAACATTGTTTAAAAAAAAGGTAAAGAAAGCAAAAGTAATTGGAAAGACAGCTCATGTTCATGTATTGGAAGATTTAACATTGTTAAGATGTTAATACTGCCCAAAGTGAAAAATGAAGTGCAATACCTGTCCAAATCCTAATACCATTTTTTCAGAAATAGAAAAATCCATCCTAAGATTCATATGGAATCTCAAGGGACTCTAAGTAGTCGAAACAATCTTGGGAAAGAAAAATAAAGTTAGAGGTCTCACACTTTCTGTTTTCAAAACTAATTATAAAGCTAGAATAATCAAAGCAGTGCAGTACTAGCATAAAGACAGACATGTGGACCAATTGAATAGAATAGAGAGCCCAGAAGTAAACCCTGATGTACATGACCAAATGATTCTTGACAAGGGTGCCAAAACCATTCAATAGGTAAAGGACATTATTTTCAACAAATAGTGCAGGAAAAATGGAATATCCACATACAGAAAAATGAAGCTGAACCCTTACTCCACACCATATACAAATTAACTCAAAATGGATTAAATACCTAAATGTAACAACTACAACTATAAAACTCTTAGAAGCCCACATAGGGGGAAAACTTCACAACATTGGATTTGGCAACAACTTCTTCGATATGACACCAAAAGCACAAGCAATAACAAAAAAAAGATAGATGAAATGCACTACATCAAAATTTAAAACATTTGTACATTTAAAGAACACAATGAATAGAGTGTAAAGGCAGACTACAGAATGGAAGAAAAATATTTGAAAACCAGATGTCTGTTAAGGGCTTAAGTATTAGTCCATTTTCACACTGCTGTAAAGAACTGCCCAAGACTGGGTAATTTATAAAGAAAGGAGGTTTAATTGACTTAACAGTTCTGCATGGTTGGGGAGGCCTCAGGAAACCTACAATCATGGCGGAAGGGGAAGCAAGTGCATCCTACATAGTGGCATGCAACACAGCGTGTGAAGGAGGAACTGTCAAACACTTATAAAACCATCAGATCTCATGAGAACTCACTCAGTATCATGAGAACAGCACGGAAGAAACCACCGCTATGATCCAATCACCTCCCCCCACCAGGTCACTCCCTCAACATATAGGGATTATGAGGATTACAATTCAAGATGAGATTTGAGTGGGGACACTAAGCCAAACCGTACCAGCTTAATGCCCAGAATATACAAAGAACTCCTATAACTCAACATCGTCATCAACAACAAAAAATAACCCAATTTTAAAAATTGGCAAAGTACTTGAAGAGACATTTCTCCAAAGAAATTATACAAATAAACAATACACATATGAAAAGATGTTCATCATCACTAATCATTAGGGAAACGTAAATCAAAGCCAAAATCAGATTTACTTCCACCCATTTGGATGGCTACTATCAAAAAAACAGAAAACAAGTGTTGGCAAGAATGTGGAGAAATTGCAATCCTTGTACACTGTTGGAATTATAAGATGATGTAGCCGCTATGGAAAACAGTATGGAGATTCTTCAAAAAATTAAAAATAGAATTACCATATGATCCAGCAATTCCACTTCTGCATATATGTCCACAAAAATTGGAAGCAGAGACTTGAGAAGATATTGGCACATTCATGTTCATAGCAGCATTATTCACGTAGCCAAAATAGAAGCAACCCAAGTGTCCATGAAGAGATCAATGGAAGAGCAAAATGTGGTATAACAGACAACGGAATATTATTAAGGTGTAAAAGGAAAGGAAATCCTGTTACATGCTGTAACATCAGTGAACCTTTAGGAAATTATTCTAAGGGAAATAATCCAGTCAGAGAATGACCAATAGGACATATAATTCCACTTATATGAGGTACCCAGAGTAGTCAAATTCACAGAGATGAATGTAGATTTTAGAAGGCACATTTTAATTTTAACAGTATTTAACAGCACTGAAAAAATACTATTAACATATCAATCACATAATTCCACTGATAGCTTAGTTCAGCAAGCATCATAAATATGCAAAAATTACTGTAGAAACACTGACCAGAGACACCAGAACCAAGGAAACTTTGATGCTTGGAACAGTTTTGGGAACTATGGTAGGCTTGGTTGGGGGCCGCCGCACAGGGTTTAGAGAGTTGTGTGGGTACTGAGCAGGAATGTAGGGGCCAGCAGGAAGGAATGTTTCCAAAGACAATTTCACGCCCCTCATTCCTCCCTACTTCTGTGGAGTTGCGCTTCCCAACATTCAGACTCCCAGCTAAGTCGTTCTCTAATTCAGCGAAATCATATGTTCAATAGAATTGGTGTTTCATTCACCACATCCCCTTGTTATAAATCCTAGACTATGATGACAGAAAGTAAATCGATGGTTGCCAACTCACAGAGCTTGTGTTGTTGTTGTAGAATGTCATTTGGATGGAAATGTGAAGGTTATACACTCTCATGTCTTGCTCCTTTTGTTCAGCATCATTATTTTGAGAGTCATCGTTGTTATTGCATGAATCACTAATTCATTCCTCAATATTGCTGAGTGTGAGTGCACAACAGCTTGCTTGTCCATTCGTCATCACTTGACGAATATTTGAGTTATTAGGTTTTAGATATTGTGAATAAATCTGTTGTAAACATTTTTGTACAAGTCCTTCATGGAAATTGGTTTTCATTTTTTTTTAGGCACATACCTAGGAGTTGACTTACTGAGTCATGCTGGAGGTGTTTTACCTTACCAGTAACCGTCATAAACTCTTCCAAAGTGGCTGTACCACTTTGCACTGCCACCAACAAAATATGAGAGTTATGTTGCTCCATTTCCTCACCAATATTTGTGTTGTTGTTCCTTTCAATTTTAGCCATTGTAGTGGATATGAAGTGGTGGATTTTTAAACTTACATTTCACCTTTCCATGGACTTCCTGTCCATTCATGCATCTTCTTTGGTGAAGTATCTGTTCAAATCTTTTGCTCATTTTTTTAATTGTTAGTCTTTTTTAAAAAAATTGATTTGGAGGAGTTCTTTACATATAAATCCTTTGTCAAATATATATATATATATATATATATATATATATATATATATATATATATACTAAATATCTTCTCCCAGTCTGTGGCTCGCATTTTTATTTTTTTAGTGATCTTGTAAAGAGCAGGTCTTTAATTTTTATGAAATTAAAATAATATTTCTTTTGTGGTTAGTTCTGTTAGTGACCTTTCTAAAAAATGTTTACCTACATCAAGGTCATGAAGACATCTTATGTTTTGTTCTAGAAGCTTTAGAGCTACAGATTTTAGGCTTGATCTATTTTTCTTAAGTTAACTTCTGAGCGTGGTATGAGGTGGGAGTCTTGTTCCTCCCTCACCCCCTACATGTACATAACATACACATTTATCCAGTTGTTGCAGCATCATTTTTTAAATAGGCTATTGTTTCCTCATTAAATTGTTTTGGCACATTTGTCAAAAATCAATTGACTACATAAGTGTGTCTAATTCTGGGCTCACTGACTTCTTTGTCTGTCCTTATGCCAGTATCACACCATCTTAATTAATGTAGCTTTACCCAGAGTACAAGCTACATAATTTATGTAGCTTTATCTTGGAATCAGATAGCATGAGTCTTCCATTGTTTTTTTTTCAAGAATTTGGCCAGTCTAATCCCTAAGCCTAGAATTAACTTGTAAATTTTAGAATAAGTTCTGTGGAATTTTGATTGAGATTGAGTTGAATTATAGATCAAAATGACATCTCATCAGTAATGAGACTTCCAAATAATAAACATGGAATATCTCTTCATTTACTTAAGTAATTAATTTAATTTACTTAAGTTATTAAAATAATTAAGAAATTAATTCATTTTAGCAATATGTCTGTGTACAGGTCTTACACATCTTTTGTTAAATTTAGTCTGAATTATTTTATGGTTTTGATGGGACTTAATATAGAAATAAAATAGAATCTATTTAGGAAATAAAATTGCATAAAGAAATTTTATTAAAAAATTATTTTTGTATATTGACCTTGTATGCTGTGATCTTGCTTAATTTGTTAGTTCTAGCAGTTGCTCTGTAGACTTCAAAAGATTTTTCTATATACACAGTCACATCATCTGTGATTAAAATCAATTTCATACCTCCTTTTAAATCTGGGTCTCTTATTTTATTTTCTTGTCTTCTCACAGTTAGGGCCTGCAATACAAAGGTAGCTTGTTCCTGAGCACTCAATATTTCACCGTTAAGTATCTATAGAATTTCTGTAAATGCCCTTTATAAGTTTAAGAAAATTCTGTTCATAGTTTGCTGGGAATTTTGATCATGAATGGTTTTGGATTTTGCTGACTGCATTTTCTGCCTCTATTGGGGTAATCACCTATTGTTCTCTTCTAGCTTTGCAATATGATAAGTTACATTGATTGATTTTTCAATGTTAAATTCAGATAAGACAAACTCCACTTGAACATGATAAATTCTCTTTCAACACTGATGGACTTGATTCATTAGTACTTTATTAATGCGTTTCATTTTTATATTCATGAGGGATATTGGTTTGCAATTTTCTTTTCATGTGATCTGTATGTCAGGTGTGAGTATTAGTGTTATAGTAGCCCACAAGTGTATAGTGTATAGTAGGAAGTGTTTTCTTCTCTTCATTTTCTGAAACTTTGCGTAAAATTGGCATTATTTTTCATCAACCGATTGATAGACTTCATCAGTGAAATTATCTGAGCCTGGAGAGTTTTTCCTGGGAAAGATTTTGATTATGAGTTCAAGTTCTTGAAAGGTCACCAGTTATAGCCCTATTATGAGTTTTCTATTTCTTCATATGTCAGTTATTTCAAGTTGTGTTTTTCAAGAAATTTGACCATTTCATCCAAATTATTGAATTTACTTACATAAAGTTTTCTATAATTTTTTTATTGTCCTTTAAATGCCTACAGGATCTATAATGACAACATTTCTGATTTTCTTAATTTTGTGTTTTGTAACATTTTATCATGATTAGTCTTGCTAGGGGCTGATCAATCTTATTAAACTTTTTCAGGAACTAACTTGTGACTTTGCTTATATTCACTATTATATTTATGTTTTCTATTTCACTGACTTCTGCTTTTATCTTTGTGATTTCCTTCCTTCCATTCACTTTGGCTTTAATTTAGTCTTCATTTTGGCTTCTTAAAGCAAAAGCTTAGATTGTTGATTTTAAGCCTTTCTTCTTTTCTTCTATAGACATTTAAGCTAAACATTATCTTCTAAGCACTGTGTTAGCTGCTTCTTCCAATTCAATATGTCATGCTTCTTCCAATTCAGTATGTCACGTTTTCATCATTATTCAGGTCAAAGTATTTTCTAATTTCTCTTGTGATTTCTTCTTTGATATATGGGCTATGTAGAAGTGTGCTATTTAATTTCTGCATATTTGTGAATTTTCTAGAGGTCTCATTTTCATATTTCTAATTTAATTTTGTTGTGCTTAGATAACATTACTTAATCTTTTGAAAATTTTTGTACTTTATTTTATAACCCAGCACATTATCTAGCTTCATAAACACTTTGTGTATACTTAAAAAGAATGCATATTCTGTCGTTGCCGTCAACTTAAGTCAAATCGGTTGATATTGTTGTTCAAATCCGCTATGTCCATATTGATTTGTTTACCTAGTTCTATTAGTTTCTGAGAAAAGGATGTTAAAAATCTTCAAATGAAATTGTGCATTTTCTATTTCTTTCTTTAGTTCTATCATATATTTTGACACTTTATCATCACATACATACATACTTATAAAATGTATCCCTTTATCTCTGGTAATGATCCTTATGTTGAAGTCTACTTTGTCTGTGATTCTTCTAGCCACATAGCTTCTTTTTGCTTGGCTTTTGTGTGGTATATTTTCTTTCATTCTTTTTCTTTCCACTTATTAGAGTCTTTAGTGCACTTCTAGTAGGTACCATTAGTTGTGTCTTCCTTTTTTAAATCCAATCCAACAATATCCACCTTTTAATTACTGTTTAGTTTAACTACACTAAATTTAATTTGTTACATAGTAGAATTTAGGTACACCATTTTGCTATTTATTTTCTATTTGTCCCATGTGACTTTTGCCCTTCTGTTTCTCCATTCTTTTCTCCTTTTGGGTTAATTGAATATTTTTTAATCCTTGAATTTAATTCTCTGTTGGCTTTTTAATTATATATCCTACCATTATTTTTAGTAGTTACTCTAGAAAGTACAATATACATCCTTCGCTTAACACAGCCTACATAGATTTACTATTGTGCCACTTTCTCAGAAAAATATAAGAAATTATGACCAATAGAATTCCATGTTCCACCTTCATTTGTGCTATTGTTGTTATGTTCCTGTGCATCTACACACCATAAAAACCTCACAATGAAGTGCTATGATTTTTGTTTTAAACAGTCAGTTCTTTTAAAGAAGTCAGAGGAAAAAAATGTATCAGCCAGGCGAGGTGGTTCACACCTGTAATCTCAACACTTTGGGAGGCTGAGGCAGGTGGATCACCTGAAGTCGGGAGTTTGAGACCAGCCTGACCAACATGGAGAAACTCCATCTCTACTAAAAATAAAAAATTAGCCAGGCATGGTGGCTCATGCTTGTAATCCCAGCTACTTGGGAGGCTGAGGCAGGAGAAACACTTGAACCCGGAAGGCAGAGGTTGCCATGAGCCGAGATCACACCATTGCACTACAGCCTGGGCAACAAGAGCAAAACTCTGTCTCAAAAAAAAAAAAAATATATATATATATATATATATAAACACACACTTACCACTTCCAGAGTTCCTCATTCTTTCCCATAGATGTGATGCCAGTTTCATCTGGTATCATTTCCCTTCAGCATGAAGGACTTCTTTTGGTATTTCTTGTAGTGCAAGTCTATTAGCAACAAATTTTCTCAGCTTTCACTTACCTCAAAATGTTTTTTAAATTTCATTCTAATTTGTAAAAGATATTTGTTGCTGGATATAGAATGTTGAGTTTACAGTTACCTTTTGGGTATGGGAGGTGTCTTTTAGAAGATGTTGTTCCACACCTTTCTAGCCATTGCTGTTTCTGATGAGAAGGCATCTTCATGTAGTGTGTATTTTCTGCTGGCTGCTTACAAGAATTTCTCTTTATTTTTGGTTTTGAGCAATTTGACAATTATGTGCCTACATGTGGTTTGGGGATATTTATCCTTAATTTTCAGTGAGACTCTTAGAACTCTAACTTGATGTTTTTCATCTAATTTGAGATATTTTCCACCATTATTTCTTCAAACACTTTTCGTGTCTAATTTTCTTTCGTCTTCCCTTTGGGGACTCTAATTATATGCATGTTAGATTCCTTAATTATGCCTCATGAGTTAATGAAATCCTGTTCATTTTTTAAAACATTCTGTCTTTCTATTGTTTAGAGTGGAAACTTACTTTTTATTTGTCTATCACATCCTGCTAAAAGCACGCAATGAATGTTTTATTTTAGATATTGAACTTTCAATTCTAGAATTTCCTTCTTGTTCTTTTTTTAATTTACATTTTACTACTGTGTTTCTCCATCTCTTCACTCATGAAAACAATCTCCTCCCTTAAGTTCCTTGAACATCTTTAGGCTAACAGCTTCAAAAATCCTCTACTACTAACTCCAGTCTGTATCATCTCAGGTTCATTTTCTATTGACTGTTTTTATTCTTGACTATGATTCACATTTTTCTATTTCTTCATATGTCTAGTATTTTTTTAATTTTATACTGAACATTATAGATGATACATTGCAAAGATTCAACATTCTTTGTTCTTGTTCCAAAGGGCAAAGAATTGAATTGCTGGCCAATCACCTCAAAATTATTGAGACTTGGTTGTATGCTGTGTTGGGGCAAGTCTATTGTGGGTTTCCCCTTAGTATTAGAGTGAATTCTTAGTCCTGGGGCTCAGTATTTACTCCCAAGGCATGGACTTTCTGGGCTTTCAGTGGAAAACTCAAGATATTTACCAAACCTTGCCAATTTTTCAGGACTCGAATTCCAAATTCTGTCTCTTTTGAGGAGGGCAACAGCTAAAATCTCTGGTCACTTCTTTCAGCCTTCCAGTTGTTGCTTTCTGTTGGACTTTTTGGAGACTCCCACCAGCATGAACTGTTGTTCAGTCAAGGCATTGAGGGGCATTATGTGCAGAATTTAGGATTCATCCATTTATGGCTCCTTCCCTCCCAGGTTTCTTCCTTCAGTTCTAGCTACTCAGGCAGCTTTGATACATCAAATTAACATGTAGCTAAGACTGTAGCTTCCTGCCTTTCCCAGCCCATGGACTGGAAATGCCCTTGGGAAAATCTTTATAAATATAGACCTCACCAAGCATAGTTCCCTTCTTTAAAAATTCAAATCTTTTCCAATTTCTTCCTGTTATTCGTTGCTTGCTAGTGCCTTCAAATAATTATTTTATTTACAATTTTATTCAGAATATATAGTTGTTAGCTGCAGGATAGTCCAATATAAGCTATTCCACTATACACCAGATTGCTGACTTTTTACAGCATGCCATCATCTTAGCATACATGGAAGAAATCCTTGTAAAACAAAATATCATGTAAATTACCAAAAAAGTTTACATATACATTTCAAAAACAATTACTATCCCAAGATTTAGGTATGTATCTTATCACTTGAAAATTGGTTTGCGTTTCCTTATAAAATTATCTGAACATGCCATCAAAAATAGATAGACAGCTATAAAAATGATACATCAAGACATTTGTATTAGGATTCTATTACTGCATGACGAATTACCACAAATTTAGTGACTTAATACAACACTCATTTCTTGCCTCACAGTTTCTACAGATCAGAAGTCTAGTCATGCTGTAATGGGGTCCTCTGCTCCGGGTCTGACATGGCTTCCATCAGAGTGTCAGACAGTCTGCAGTTCTCATCAGGAGCTTGGGGTCCACTTCTAAGATGATTCAGATCATTGGGAGAATTTAGTTCCTTGTGGTGTAGAACAGATGGCAGCTTTCTTCTTCTTCAAGGCCAGCAGGAGAATGTCTCTCTGATGCTTCACCTTCTTTTAAAAGGATGCCCTGATTAAGTCAGGCTCACCCCAGAGGCCTGACCCTTTTGATTAGCTCAAAGTCAACTGATTAGAGACTTAATCACAGATCCTGCCTACCCTCAAGGGGGAAGGATTATATACGATATATACACCCATGGGCAGGAATCTTGGCAACAGTCTTAGAATTTTGCTCCACCACAATGTTCATTGCAGCACTGCTTGTAGTAGCAAAAATTAGAAACAACCAAAATATCACTCACTGGGAGCTAGATAAATCAATTATAAGTTATAATAAGTACTGTAGTAAGTTTAGTACTAAACTTACTAAGACAAAAAGGGTGCTTAAGATATTTGAAGTGAAAATTGCTCTCGGATTATTATGGTTAGTATAATTCTATTTGTGTAAAAACATACATATATACATGAGATGTGATACATCTTATGCTGTTATTCAACACATAGAGGGCAGAATGATATCTTTCTGCATTTCTCCATGACTGAGCCCAGTTTGGTTCACAAACCCTCACGTCTGCTAATGTCAGAAGGCAAACTTGCCTATTTTAAATGTGAGAAATTCAAGATTTACATTCAAGCCAAGTCCTGATTTTCCCCTCTTCTTTCCCCCTTCCTTCTCCTGAGGGTAGACCACATTTCTTTTTTTTTTTTTTTCCTTTTTTTTTGAGACGGAGTCTCGCTCTCTCTCCCAGTCTGGAGTGCAGTGGTGCGATCTCGGCTCACTGCAAGCTCCGCCTCCCGGGTTCACGCCATTCTCCTGCCTCAGCCTCCCGAGTAGCTGAGACTACAGGCGCCCGCCACCAAGCCCAGCTAATTTTTTGTATTTTTAGTAGAGACGGGCTTTCACCGTGTTAGCCAGGATAGTCTCAATCTCCTGACCTCGTGATCTGCCTGCCTTGGCCTCCCAAAGTGCTGGGATTACAGGCGTGAGCCACCGCGCCTGGCTGGGTAGACCACAGTTCTAAGGCTTTGTGTGTGGCTGGGCATCAGAGGGTGACAGTGCTGTGCTCTGCCCTAGCACCTTCACTGCTATAGCTCATCACTCCTGGCCTGGGTGCTATCCCACACTGGTATCCATTACCCCCATGGTCCTGGGTCCATAGCAAAAGTACCCCTCAACTCTCCCATTGCCCCCAGTAGAGGAAAGAGGCTGCCCTAGGAAACTTCTGCCCAGGTAGAACCTTAGCAGTTGCCATATTAGATATGAGATTTCACTCTGACACTTGCAGCCTTCAAGGACACACCCTGGGGAAACCAGATAATCCTTCAGACTTCCCTGAAGTTTTCATTGCATTGCATCCTCCCAGTGTTGGTGCCTCAGGACGGGCAAGGATAGGTGCTCTCACTGTGTACGACCTGAGCACATCACCTCAATCCTATGACTCATGGCAACTCTCATTTTCTTTGCAGAGAGAAAATCACTATTGCCCCATCCACATTCTTCTCTGTTCCATGTATTTGGCCATAAGCCTCATGGTTTCAGCTATGAAAACAAAGACCACCCAAATGAGAACAAGCAAAGGCTGTTTGTTCAGAGCTTGCTAGAGCAAGGGAGCCGGCCACCATCACTTGTGTTGGCAGAAACTCAGAGGCAGGCAGAGGAGTGGGAAAGCTTCATGTGAAAGGAAGAAGGCTCCAGGTGTGCCCTGATTGGAGACTGTTGGTCTGGAGGAGCTGAAAGGTCCCAACTAGAAATGAGACCTCCTATGTGATTGACTGGGGAGTCATATTTGGCTTTCTCCTGTGGATCCTAAGTTGGAAGTGGGGTGAAAATTAGGGCAGCTGTCAGTTATGAATCAAGTCTTGTCTGTGTGAGCTGATTGTTACGGGTTTATGGTTGGCCTTCCTGGATTGTTGCTAGAGACAGTGGTCTGACTTCCTACAAACATGACTTACAGGAAGCAGGGTAGATTCCTGGGCTGGTTACTGTAGATATTAGGTTGGCTTCTTTGGACGCAGGTGGTGGGTCAAGTTCTATATATATATATATATATATATATATATATATTTTTTTTTTTTTTTTTTTTTTTTTTTTTGAGACAGAGTCTCTCTCTGTCGCCCATGCTGGAGTGCAGTGGTGTGATCTCGGCTCACTGCAAGCTCCGCCTCCCAGGTTCACACCATTCTCCTGCCTCAGCCTCCCAAGTAGCTGGGACTACAGGCTCCTGCCAGCATGCCCAGCTAATGTTTTGTATTTTTAGTAGAGATGGGCTTTCACTCTGTTAGCCAGGATGGTCTCGATCTCCTGACCTTGTGATCTGCCCTCCTCAGCCTCCCAAAGTGCTGGGATTACAGGCGTGAGACACTGCGCCTGGCCTCAAGTTCTTTTTTATATGGTCTGACCATTGACTGTTTGTATGCTCAGCCTTTTATATCCTTTAGCTGTTTCTATCCATAGGCTTATCTCTCAGAACAAAGCCTGACTCAGGCAAAATGTATCTGTTTTTACTGCAAAATCTTCTTATCAGCATCAGTCACAACCCACTCTAAGACACAGAACCAACCCTGGATATTTCAAACCCAGGGAATTGATCATGGGGGTGTTGGAGGACCAAAAGGGAACCAGAGGATGCTACCAACAACCTCAGAAGCAGCTCCTGCTCTAGGACTGATGTAACATGGGAGAAGAATGATGTTACCAGGAGCAAGAATGAGGGCTCCGGTTGGGGAAGCTCCAGGCAGCTGGTGCGCAGGGCTCTCTGGAAGGCACATGACCCAGAAAGTGTGAGAAGACAGCAAAGCTTGTCTTGGTAGCTCAGAGGGGTCCCAGTAAGGTTGGGGCTGGCAGTGCTGAGAGAAGCCCAAGGCTGGGGCCATTGTCTGCTGCTCCTGGGCAAAGCTGGCATCAGAAATAGAGTGGAAATTCCTTCTCTCTCCTCCCACCTGCTTACCTCCCATTGACAGAAACCAACTGGAAGACCTCTGAAAGGAGGGTCTGGGGAACATATAGGCTGCTGTGTTCCAGGGCAGAGGATAGGCTTGGAGCTCAGGGGTGCTTGGTAAAGGAGCCAGTGCCGTAGCTGAGAGGCAGCTTATCCTGGAGCTGCTGTGACCATCTCCATGAGGATATGTGGAAAGAGAGAGGATAAGCATCCTCCATGTCACAAGAAATGATCCTGCCACTGTAACTTGTAGGAGCTGGCTACACACACATAGATTTCCATATACATAGGATCTGATGAGAAGGATTTGCATATCATGCTAAGAGTGCTTCCCTATGGATAGCAGAGAAGAAAGGCCAGGGGAAGTAACGCAGTTAACATCATTGTGCCGTGCTTGGTTTTTTCACAATAAATATATTAACATTACAACTTTTAAAAACCTCAACAATGTCCCTAGCAATGCACATCGAGGCTCTCTCTGACTCATGCTGGCAGCTCACGGTCACAGGGTGCCATGGAAGGTGTGTGGCAGCAGCCCCGGGTGCTGTAGTTTGGAGCCAGCATCAGCCAATAGTCCCTGGCTCTCGGCCCAGCTATGCATGCACCTCCATGCTGAGAAGAAGTGAGACCTCGGTGCCTCCATGCTGAGAAGGAGTGAGACCTTGGGGGATGTTCTGTTCTACATGACGTGCCCATGTGTAGAAACTTCCAGAACATCTGCAGGAGCTGTGCATCCGCTGATGTTCAGAGAGTTTGTTTAAAGAAAAAGATATGTGCTTGAAAGGAAATGTTGTGGGGAATATGATTTTTCTGATTTCTATTTTCCTTATTTGCCAGCTTTTCCTATTCCTGCCACCTCTCTCTGTCCATCAGAGCCTCCCAGGGTAATCTCTTATTTTATGTCCCTGAATGAACTCACAGTCCATAGAATATACCACTGGAACGTGCTTCTCAGACTTTCCTGTGCCGTGAGCACCCTCTCCACTCCCCACCAGGAGCTTGTTTATAAATGAAGATTCCCGGGCCTCCCCTATGGAGATCTCATAAAGGACGAGTAAGTGGGGCTCAGAAATCTGCCTTGTAGACTCTCTAGGTAATTGTAAGTCCACATTTGAAAAAACAGCTTCAGAGAGGAAAAAAGTCTAATTCAGGAGTCATCACACCCTGTTCTGACACACGGCCAACACGATTATAGCAGGGATGCCAACTGTGTTGGCTTTATTTCTGTGGGCTATTTGTTATTTTAAAAATAAAGAGTACTTAATGTATTTTGGCCCTAAACTTGTGGCTTGGTGAACAGATTTGAGCTAAGTGAAGAAATTGCCGAGCTGGCTGATGGAGGCTTGTGTTCCCTGGGTCCCATCCGCCTTCCCAGGCTGTGCTTCATCAGCTCCGTGAGTCATGTGGGGCAGCGGTTCAAGAAGTGGTGGCTGTGACGAGAG